>NC_000014.9:40236713-40861713 GCF_000001405.40 Homo sapiens | reverse complement strand
GGAAGTAAAAGATCTCTACAAGTAATACTACAAAATATTGCTGAAAAAAATCATAGATGACACAAATGAAAAAAATTCCCTGCTTATGGATTAGAAGAATCAATGTTCATACTGCCTCAAAAGTAATCCAAAGATTCCATGCAATTCCTCTCAAATTATCAAAGTTATTCTTCACACAATTAGAGAAAATCTGTTCTAAAATTTATATGAAACCAAAAAATAGTCAAAATAGCCAAAGCTATCTTAAGCAAAACGACCAAAGCTAGAGGCGTTGCATTACATGACTTTAAACTACACTATAAGGCGACGTTACCCAAAATAGCATGATACTAATACAAAAATAAACATATAGAACAATTCAACATAATAGAGAAGCCAGAAGTAAAGCCACATACCTGCAACCCACTGATTTTTGACCAAGTTGACAAAAATGAACAGTGGGGAAAGGACATCCTATTCAGTAAATGGTGCTGGGAGACTGGCTAACCATGTGCAGAATTGGACTTCTACCTATCACCATGTAAATAGTAACTCAAGATGCATCAAACTTAAATGCAAAACCTCAAACTATAAATATTCCAGAAGAAAATGTAGGAAATACTCTTCTGGATGTTGGCCTAGGCAAGGAATTTTTGACTATGTCCTTAAAAGGAAACACAACAAAAACAAAAACTGAAAATTGGGATCTAATTAAACTTAAGAGCTTCTGAACAGCAAAAGAAACTATCAGCAGGCTTGACAGAATGAGAGAATGAGAGAAACCTACAGAATGAGAGAAAGTATTAACAAACCATTCATCTGACAAAGGCCTAATATCCAGAAACTATGAGGAACTTTAACAAATCAACAAGAAAGATTAAAATAACCCCATTTTAAAGTGGGGAAAGGTCATGAATTGACACTTCTCAAACAAACATGAAAAACACTCAGCATCGCTAATCATCAGAGAAATACAAATCAAAACCACAAGGAGATACCATCTCACACCAGTCAGAATGACTGTTATTAAAAAGCCAAAAAGGCCAGGCATGGTGGCTTACACCTGTAATCCCAGCACTTTGGGAGGCTAAGGCAGGTGGATATTGTGAGGTCAGGAGTACAAGACCAGCCTGGCCAACATGGTGAAACCCCATTTCTCCTAAAAATACAAAAAGTTAGCCAGAGAGTAGTGGCATGCAACTGTAATCTCAGCTATTCAGGAGGCTGAGGCAGGAGAATCACTTGAGCCTGGGAGGCAGAGGTTGCAGTGAGCTAAGATCACACAACTGCATGACAGTCTGGGTGACAGAATGAGACCCTGTCTCAAAAAAAAAAAAAAAAAAAAGGAAAAGTCAAAAAATAACAGATGATGTCAAGATTGTTAAGAAAAAGGAATGCCTGCCCTTTGTTGATGGCATTGTAAATTAGTTCAGTCTCTCTGAAAAGCTGTAAGAAGATTACTCAAAGAACTAAAAATACAATTATCATTTGACCCAGAAATCCCATTACTGGATATATACCCAAAGGAAAATAAATTGTTCTACAAAAAAGACATCTGTACTCACATGTTTATGACAGCACTATTCACAATAGCAAAGGCATGAAATCAATGTAGATCCCTATTAATGGTGGATTAGATGAAGAAAATGTTTTACATTTAAACCATGGATTATTATGCAGTCATAAAAAAGAAAGAATATTCTTTGCAGCAACATGGATGCAGCTGGAGGTAGTTATTCTAAGTAAATTAATGCTGAAACAGAAAACCAAATATATATTCCCATTTACAAATGAGAAGAAAACGTTGGACACACTCAGATAAAAAGTGGGAATAATAGACCATGGGGATTTCAAAAGGGGTAGGCAGGGAGGAGGCCAAGGATTGAAAAACTACCATTGAATGCTATTTTTACAGGATATCAGGGGTGTGGATTTTTCTGGCTGGAAACCTCTGTGGCCATGGTGCATTTGCCTGAGTTCTTCTCTTGCACCCAGGAAGAATGAAGTACAAAGACAAATGAAGGGTGAAGAATATGAAGAGTTTTATTTAGTGTTAGAACAGCTCAGAGGATATCCACAGTGGGTAGCTCCACTCTGTTGGCAGGTCATCCCATGGAGTGTTCAGCTGTCAGCAGAGAGGAGGCCCTAGAGTGGAAGGCTCCTCTCCACAGGCAAGTCATTCAGACATCTCTGCAGGTCTCTGAAGCTCTAAGCAAAAAAGGTAGCTCCTCTCTGCCGGTTGCTGATGTCTCCAGCTATCAGCAGAGAGGGTACTCCTCTCTGCAGCTGGTTGTCCCATCCCATCATCACTCTGCCCTCTTTGTCCTCTGGCCATCCTCTGCCCTTCTCTGACTGAGTCTAGGGCTTTTATGGACCTCAGAGTGGAGGAAGTCTGTGCTGACTGGTCCATGGGTGGTCATGGGCACAGGACTCTGTTCACCTCCCACTGCCATTCATTGCCTCAGGGCTTGGCTCCAACCCCTCTCCGAGATCAGTACACCTAACTGCTGTTAGCATAGGGACAATGACTGCTCTTAACAGCTTCTTGCTAACAAAGGGTGTTGTTTCAGGAAAATGACAGTTAGGTCTCTCTCTCAGAGGCCTGTCTCAGGATCCCCAGTACAAAGGAGCCATCATCTGAAGCATGATTTGCATGACTATTTGGAGTTTGATGGCCCATCCCTGTTTCTTCTGAGCTGCAGTCAGAGATCACTGGTTGGTTCACCCTAGATTTGTCAAAAGCTAAAAATAGCTCAAAAGAGAAATGTTATCAATTCTAAAAAACAAAACATAAAGATCAGCATTGTTCCATGCAAAAAGCAAAAAGTCAAAAAAGATTAGTCTTTCAATAGTTCAGTTCACACAGTCACCTCCTGTTCACAATCTTCAAAATTATCAGAAACTTGCACTTTAGGGTTATAATCTATCCTTTGAAGGGGCTCAAAACAAGACAACATTTGTCTGTGGATGTCAAAATGTCCTAGGGTAGACACAGTCAAAAACACAATTGACAAAGAAATTTGGTCACCTCTGTGACATGCAAAAACCTAACACAATAACCTTAATTATGATTGATAACACAAACTCAGACAACAGAACTCTAGAAATCCCTGTCAATTTTGGAACACACATTAACATTTTTCTCTAAAATATAACCTGAAGATCAAACACTACCTTATTTCAACAATCTTGTGTAGCTAAACATGTCAAATAATCCTGTTTACTTCTCCTTTGAACACTCAAGGGACCCTGTGTAGCATTCAAATTTAGGGGTTAGGAAAGACAATTTTGACTGAAAAGGCTCAAAACACTTAACAGAATTTCATGTTATCATAAGATATTCATTTAGCCAATGATGGCTCAAATTTATTTTAAAAAGCAAAAACCTTTACTCATTAAGAGGGAAGACCTAGTTTTCCAAATAACCTGTCTCTTGTCCTCCACTTCATTTTTTGGTAGTTTGCACACAAAAATCTTTCACTGCACAAAAGTTTTGTTCAAGAGGGAGCCAAATTTCACCCTTACATTAGTCTATTAATGCCACCCCCATTTTTTTAAGTAATACCTTACAGAGAAATCCTCAATAAATGCTTGTTGTGCTTTTATTCCAATGTTCAGTTTGTGGAAAACCAAACATGATTTTTTTTAAATTTAGTCAATATGTTCACACACAGGATTCCTTTTACAAAATTAATTTTTTATAAACCTTCCATAACTTGTTTTAGCCTTTAGGTTTATCTTATCTGATTTAAAACAATCATTAAACCCTGCGAACTAGGCAGAAATTTACATTCTCAGGCCTTCTTATATTATTTTACTAAAGACACATTTTACTTTCCTTACACATCTTGTATGTAAGTCTATTTTCAGTAGTCTCTATTACATGTTATAATGGTAGACAAATATAAATTCAGTCAAAAACATATGCTGACAATTACTTCTTAATTTATGAGTGTCCCTTTACTTATAAGCCAATTTGATAGACACAACATATAACAATAAGTGTACAAATAAACACATCTGGACATGTATACACACACACACAAAGATTCAATAGCTTGGAATCCTAAGCCATGAGATAGCAATACAAGCTCACCGGTTTTACTTTGTTTGCCCCAGTAGATAATCCAATAAAGATTGTGAACCAAAATTTTGGGTTCACAGATTGCTTTAAATCATGGCAATTTGATTTAAGGCCCCACCTTCCCAGACTCCAAAGAACAGTAGGGCCAAACAGCACCAAAGAGAACATCACATGTTAACCAGGCTCCGTGTTTAGAACAGCAGCATAAAAGCCTGGATACATTCAATGCCATTCCACTTTGCCATTCAACAGTAAACTTCAGATTCCATACAATATTGGGGCCATACAGTATTGCAACTGTGAAATTTCTAAGGAGGGTTTAGTACTAGACCCCAGAACCTCTGCCACAGAATCCCCTTTAGAGAGGTTGAGGTCCATAGGATCCCCCAGCACATCACCCTTTGGTATTCAATCTTGGACTGTCAGACATCTCTGACCTTAGGTGGACACCAGTGCCACTTCATGTTTTCCCTTCAGAGGCAATGGCCTACTATGAGCTTTATAAGTCCATGCTTTCCCATGCTTCCTGTTCCACTAGAGTGATAACCATGAATTAAAAGGCATTACAGCTTTATTTTTCTTTCAAAACATTTGATCTAAGCACTTATTTTCTTTAAGCCAATCAGAGCTCTTGTATAGAAACATGACACACATGACACATATATATCTACACAGAGAAACAGACAGAGGTCCAGATCTACTTAATTTCAGGAGGAGGTCCATCCTCCTTCCCTTGATCCCTGGGGCTCCTAGATGGTGATGGCAGTCTGAATCACCAAAGCCAGGGAAAGGAAACACAGGACCCATCAGTCCTGCTGCACCATTAGGGAGACCGGCCCTAGACCCACCAACTTGTGTCTTGGGAACAGTCCGCCCTCCAATGGCCCACGTTTGCAGCAGTCAACAGGTGCATCTTAGGAACTCTGGGGTTTGTGAGCCTGTAAGGTGACTATTAGAGCCTTTTTCTTTAAGTCAATCAGTTAGAGCTCCTTTTCCTCTCTTGGGCTTTCTGATCCTTATTGTAAAAGACTATGGTGGCCACTTTCAGGAGGTCCTTCAAAGCACTATCTGGTCCTATGACCTGTTTCTGCCACTTCAGCTTCCTCCTAATATCAGGGGCTGCCTGAGTAATAAACTCATCTCCTAGGACCAGCTGTCACTCTATTGAATCAGGAGATAGAGGGGTGTGTTTTACCAAGACTCCTCTTAGCTGTTTCAGGAAGGCAGTGGGACTCCCATCCAGTCCATGATCCACCATGGATAGCCCAGTGCAATTGAGAGGTCCAGTCCCAGTCCTTCACAAGCCCTCCAATATGCACACCTGAAAGAGTTACTTCTTTCATTGTCCCTTTTCATTATTGGGGCCCCTTTTAGAGTCCTCCAATAGTACTGCCTATTTTTCCAATTGGATAAGGCTCCTCCCCTTCCCTGGCCCTATACAAGATGTAAAGCTCTGCCACTTGCCAGGAGTGGCCTGTTTTTCAGTGTTGGTCAGGGTTTGATACAAAGAGTTCAAACACTTGGGTTGAGCTCTGGAAAGCCTTTTTATATTCATCAGGGCCATCTGAAAACCAGTCAAAATACCCCTTAATTTCACTTAAGTCCTGAAGAGAAAATGGGACCTGGACCTTAATGGGGCCGTGTTCACCAGGCACCTGTTATAGGGGCAGCTGAGAGGGGAACCTGTCTAAAACCAGGATTCTTAAGGTGGGGTAAGCTGAGAAATAACCTGGATAGGAAGGACCAGAATGGGTTGATTCCCTGCTGGATGTAACTTTGGAGTTTTCTTCCTCAGTTCCCTGGGATTGCCCCTTGAAGACTCTCCTGAGGTGGGTACAACGACATTGAATCAATCAGACAATGTTGGCGAAGGTCTGGGTTACCCTGCAAGGCAAAGAAGGCCTGCTCATAAGGGACCTTGGACCATTTTCCTTCGTGTTTACAGAAAAGCTTCCTTCCTGAGGTAGTGCTTTTTTGTGCCTCAAGGTGCTTCGCACTAAACTGGAAATGACAAGAACATTTTCTTACAAATTTACTGCAGATACCAAAGCACACTTTGCTTCATCTGTGCTACTCTTGACCTTCCATTTCATATTTTCGATGACTAAGCCAAATGCTCATTCTACACCGTAATATCTCTGGTTTGCAACAACACCCTTAACATTTAACATTGTATGTAAAAGAGATAGGAACCATGACAGTTGTGAAGGAAACAACGACAGGAAAGACTAAAGATCCTAGTGCCAACACCCAACAGGCAGTTGGGGACTGAAGTTAGTCCAGCGGCCTTTGCATAACAAAAAGGTGTGGCCTCAGCCAGATACCTTTGGTTGCCCCAAGACCTCCTTCTGGTCCCAAGTGACAGCTTCCCTTTGTGAAGGGAAACTGGGTTAGAACAAAGCCAATATTTCCAACACCTGAGGGTGATGGAGGATTGACAGTGTTCTCCCCAGCAAGCCTGTCCTGTGTCTTAAGTCCGGCCACAGTAGTCGCTTTTACTGGCTGACAGAGGCCCAGTATTTTTCCTTCATCTTGACTATTGTGGAGTTCAGGGACTCCTAAAGAAAAGACAGAAAGCAGAGCTGCTTTTACTCACCCTTCCGCAGATCCCAGATGAGTCCCCAAAATGTTATGGGATCTCAGGGGTGTCAATTTTTCTATCTGGAAACCTCCGTGGCTGCAGTGCCTGTGCTGAGTTCTCATCCTGCATCCAGGAAAAATGAGGTACAAAGACAGACAAATGAAGAGTGAAAAATATGAAGAGTTTTATTTAGTGTTAGAACAGCTCAGAGACCCACAGTGGGTAGCTACTCTCTGGGCAGGTCCTCCTATGGAGTGTTCAACTCTCAGCAGAGAAGAGGCCTTGGAGAGGGTGACTCCTCTCTGCAGGCAAGTCATTTGGACATCTCTGCAGGTCTCTGAAGCTCTCAGCAGAGGTAGCTCCTCTTTGTCCTGTGGCCATCCTCTGCCCTGCTCTTGCTGAGCCCAGGGCTTTTATCGACCTCAGATGGGGGAAAGTGTGTACCCATTGGTCCATGGGCAGCCATGCGCGGGCGTGGAAGAGGCACCATGAGTTCTCACTCCAGTCCACAGGACTTGCAGCCCAGCCCCCAGCCTTCAGGCCCTCTCTGGCCTGAGGGTGGGGGCTTATTGGGAACCCTGCCCCCTTCTGCATAGGACTCTGTTCACCTCCTGCTTACATTCATGGGCCCAGGGCTTGGCCCCAACCCCACTAAGAGATAGGAGTGGGTGCCAGGAGCAGAGCAGGCAGTTGGAGCAGACACCCCTGGGCCTACACAGATGAGGGGGTCCTTCATGGGGCATCCAAGCATGAAGGCGGCAGAGATGCGCAGGTCCTGCACCTGGGAGGGCACCCACAGCTGCACCTAGGAGCTCCGATCCCACCAACTCAGACGACGCAGGGCTCCCGCTTGTCCCCAGCTTCTTCCTGCTTTGTGGAGTGGGAGGCCCAGGTCTCACTGCAGCTGCACCCAGAGGGCAGATCCTCCCTGTTCCTGGATCCCCTAAAAGCACAAGGAGGCTCGGACCCACAACCACAGTTTGGGTGGCTATAGACCCCCAAGGAAGGTGGGGTTCCCACCAGCTCCAAGTAGTGTGCAGCCCCAGTCACACCTCCTTGCTGCAGCCACTGCCATCATTATGTTCATTATTTGGATGATAGGTTCAATTGAAGCCCAAACCTCAGCATCACATAATGTAACAAACCTGCACATGTACCCTCTGAATCTAAATAATAAATAAATACATAATGAAAAGTACTTAGAAAAAAACAAAATAATTTGGAATTATACTATATATCCAAAATTTCAATAAATAAAAATGTTTTTATATTGGTATTTATAAGAGGCCAAAACAAAATTTATCAACATGCAGAAAGTATCAAACACAAAGACAGTTCATGATATTATGAGAAAGATAGTGTCTTAGAATAATAGTGATATATAAATCCTTGGAGTAAAGACAAAGAGGGCATCCCTTCAAACTTCAACCCTCCATAAAATCATTGTATCAATAACATACTGTCATCTGACAGAAATAACTGCAACCTTCTTTGTAATTATTAATATTAATGATATCTTTCAAGTGTCTACAAATTTTCTTTCAAAATCTCAGCATATTTATTTCTTATTATCAAATTTTATTATAAAGGTTTTGGTTTCAACATGCATTTTTGTACTTGTTTGGATAGGATACAAATACATTTTCCTTTGCTTAGAATTTTAAATCTATTTTATTCCTATACAGCCATAGCTCAGTGAGAAACATAAATCACGGTGCCATATTTTATTGGTATTGATAATTTATCAAAAACTACTAATTTTATGATAAAAATCAACCTTTGATTATTGACTATTTGAGAATTTTGAGTATTTAAAATTTTTTACCATGGTAAAATATATGTAACATAAAATTTAGCATTTAACCATTCAATTCTCTGGCGTTACTTACATTCATAAAGTTGTGCACCTCATATCTATCTCCTAAAATTTATTAAAAGAAAATTTAAAATTAGCTGTAACAATAATCTTTATAAAACTCTTACAAAATTCAACCAATGAGCTTTGACAAAGAAGCCAAAAAAGTATTGTCATTGTCTTCTTTTGCTATCAATAATGACATAAATTGGTAATAATTTACAGCATTTGTTTATAAATTTGAGACACATTTTAAACTGCATAATTTTTATAGCATCACAAATATTGTATTATGCATTATACAGTAGAACACATCAATAAAGAAATTACTTTTCTCTCACTTTAAAACTACAAATAGCCCTGATTTTTGACCTAATGCCACTAACTATCATTATATGGAACTATCCATAATTATATGGAAGAGTATGTGGTGATACTTCAAAGACCTAAACACAGAAATACCATTTGACCCAGCAATCCCATTACTGGGTATTTACCCAAAGGAATGTAAATCATTATGAAGACACATGTATGCCTATGTTCATTGCAACACTGTTCACAGTAGCAAAGACATGGAATCAACCTAAATGCCCATAAGTAATAGACTGGGCAAAGAAAATGTGGTACATATATACCATGGAATACCATCCAACCATAAAAAATGAGGTCATGTCTTTTCCAGGGACATGGATAGAGCTAGAAGCCTTTATACTTAGCAAACTAACACAGGAACAGAAAACCAAATACCACACGTTCTCACTTATAAGTGGCAGCTAAATCATGCGAACACATAGATGCATAGAGGGGAACAACACACACTAGGGCCTATTGGAAAGTGGAGAGTGGGAGGAGGGAGAGGATCAGGAAAAATAACTAGTGAATACTAAACTTAACACCTGGGTCATGAAATAATCTGTACAACAAACCCTCATAAAACAAGTTTATCTGTGTAACAAAGCTGCACATGTACCCCTGAACCTAAAGTTAGAAAAAATAAATAAATAAAAGCTAATGTCCTCGTATCTCACTAAAATTCTTCATTGATAGATATAAATAATTCCAAAATATTCATGACATGAATTTGATTATTTACATGGTTGATTAAAGTAATACAAACAAAGATACACAAAGTATTATTGGAGAACATAATATAAAACTCATCTAAAGCTACAGAAAACAGTAATCTTTGGATTTTGGCTTAGTTTGTACTGAATATTTTTAGAAAGGTTTCTGTTCTACAGACAAATGTTTCATGCTCAAATTAAAATTGTTTACATTTTGTAAAATATTTTTATTACTCTTATTCATAATTTTTTAAACAAAGTTTTCATAATTAATCTTACTGTATCTTCATCTAAAACTGTTTTTCTTTTTCTCTTCAGGAATCCATTATTATATTCAGGAATCCATTATTACAATCCATGATTAGATTGTAGCTAATCTAATTTACAATTTTAGATTCTTTTAAAATTATTCAAACATTTTAATTAACCATTTATTTCCAATTTTTGCTCACTAATTTTATCAATGCTTGTTTGACTTTGGGAGGAAATTTCTTATGAAATGCATTAAATATGTCCTAATGTTCTACACATAATTATCTCAAAACATTTTACACAACAGCCTTTGTGTTGGGTACTGTCACAGCACATTGCTATAGCCTTTTTATAAAGTTTTTGATGTATCTTTTTTCAGGTTTTATTTTACTTGCAAGTTCTAGTCTTTATACTAGCTTCTGTATTTATGCTCAGTTAAACATTGGCAGTATGTCTTTGTTTTAATTTATGAATATGTTCACACATAAATTTTAATTAAGTATAAAAGTAATTGTTACAATGTAATTAATTATGATTATTTCAATTTAATTATCATTGATAATTTTCATAGGTATCAGTGTAATTCATGCCATCTGAATAAAATATTAAAATCATCACATGCCAATTTTACATCAGCATATAGAAAATATTATACAAATTAAATCAATCAATAGGCACAAAATGGTTAAATATCCTTTTTCTGTTTATTACTGTAAATAAAGTATGCATCTAACAGGTACACCACAGTATAGCAATATCACATAATGCAAGTTAAAGTAAAATGAGATCTTACCAGAACAATAGTATGTGGTTTAATAAAAATTATGTGCCATAAAAATTACTTTATGTTGTAAATTTAAATTTAATTGAAATCAAATTTATTAAAATAAAATTTAAAATTCAGTTGCTTAGTGGCAGTAGCCACATATTAAGTGATTAATATCCACATATTGCTAGTGGCAGAAACGTCTTAGTGCAGCCCTAGATCCTTAGATAGCCCTGTAATTATAATTGTACAAGTTGCTTCTTATTGAACTTGGGGAAAAATGTGTTTTCATCCAGAGTATGTGAATTAACTTTCTGGTATTGTGTCAAAATACAAATGACATAAAATTCACCATTTTAACTGTATTAGTTCAGGGTTCTCCAGAGGGAAATAACTAATAGGATATATACATATGTGAAAGGGAGTTTATTAGAGAGAATTGGCTCACAGGATCACAAGGTGAAGTCCCAGGATAGGTAGTCTGCAAGCTGGGGGAGAAAGAAGCCGGTAGTGGCTCAATCAGAGTCCAAAAGCCTCAAAAGCAGGGAAGTTCATTCTGTGGCTGAATCCCCAAAAGCCCCTGGCAAACCACTGGTGTAAGCCCAAGGGCCCAGTGGCTGAAGAACCTGGAATCTTAGGTTCAAGGGGAGGAGTGGAAGGAAGCATCCAGCACTGGAGAAAGAAGAAAACCAGAAGGTTCAACAAGCCAGCTTATCTCACCTCCTTCTGTCTGCCTTGTTCTGGCCCTGTGGCAGCAGATCAGATGGTGCCTACTCACATTGAGGGTGGGACTTCCTCTCCCAGTCCACTGACTCAAATGTCAATCTCTTCTGGAAACACCCTCACAGACACACCCAGAAACAATACTTTACCAGCTATCTAGGCATCCTCCAATCCAATCAAATTGATACCTAATATTAACCATTACATTAACCATTTAAAAATGCACCATTCAATGGCATTTAATATATTCTCATTTTAATACTATAAAGGTAACTGAAATCTTTTAAAATAGGAAATTAAGAAAATAAAATGTTATACTTCTGTTCTCTGTTTTCTTCTTTTGATGCTAGATATTCAACAATTGTTTGTGCATTTGTCTTATCTAAAAACTTAATGAAAAATGTATAGCAACAATTTTTTAACTTACTCTGCCCTCTCATCAATAAATTGCTCAGGTAAGAAAAATATTTTCTTTTTATTTCTGATGAAGAAATGGAATATGTGATATCATTTTTGACGCTATTTGATATTTAGTTTTGTTGTTGTTGTCATTATTTTAACCAAAATCATTTTCGGGGTTGACAGATGACATTCTCACTCCCTGCTGCTATTTTTTTTTCTTGAACTGATGTCACTGGAAGTTATTGTTAGTTCCCTATGGACAACAAATGTGTCCATGCTCTCCACAAAATCAATTTCCTCTTGTTTTATTTATTTATTTTTGATTCTTCTCATTAATGTTGGCCCTAGAATTTTATTAAATGTCTATGACTAAATACCTAAAAACTATATTAACAATAGTGATTGGGAGCATCTAAAATATATATTTTATGGCTTTAGGAATGTAATTATTTTGCTTTGTCCTGAAACCAGACTCAGACTATTTCAAAGTATATATAGCACAATTTGTTTTATTTATAATCCATTGCCTTGGCAAAATAGATTACCTACCAATTGGAGTGAAGCTTTAAGATATAGTGAACCATAAAAGATATTCCAGAATAGAAGTGTCAAATATACTGATCATCAAGATAAATGAGCAAACCTACAGGGCATGATTAAATTAAATTTTATTGAAATCCACTTGGGAAAAGAGTCTACACTTAATAGTCTGTCTCCTTTCTTGTCAGCTATGGAGAAGCACAATTTTTGTGAGCTTTATTCAAAAATTACATTTTGGACACAAAAGATGTTGTACTTACTGGACAATCAAACATTCCCCACAGCATTGAAAGGCAGAATACATAATCAACTCATGCTACCACAGAAACAAAAGAAACTTATTTATTTCAAAGGGGTTGTCTCCATCTATACCTTCTGCAAAACAGAATGACATTTGATATTGATAATTCAGCCATATTGCTGAGAAAGAATGACAAAGTTAAAAAGTTGGTGTAAGTGCCTTATTTTTATTGTTTATTTTTAAATCAAATATTTTCTATAAGAAATAGTAGTCTTATTTTTCTGTCTTCAAAAGTCTAGTTCTTGTGGATATAAAGTCTTTCATTGTATCAACATTATTTTCACCACCTGTTTCATTGTACATTTCTGTCCACTCATTTTGTTTACACTTACAGAAACAACAGGATAATAAACATTATTAAACATATAAATAGCAGTTATCAGAGCACATATTAATACATAAAAACATAATTTTACAGTGAGTATCCAATCAATGAAGCATAAATTTGGAAGAGCTACTAAATAAATATTTCTTGGGATACTGGACCTATGGGACTCAGTCCTTTCAATAATAGAACAGGTTTTCCTTTGTCTTTCACCCAGTTAAAACCACCTACCATTATAAAGCATATGTTCAGTTTTACCTTTAGTAAGTCTCAAAAGATAGTTTTAGTGACTATCCTGATGAAAGTAATAAATAAACTGAATAAAGAAAAGAAGCTTTACCTTTTTATATCTCTTTCATCATTCCTATCTCGTTTTAAATGAGCAGCTTTATTCTATTTTTCTAGACAAGACTCATGTTGCATTAGTAGGCTGTGCAAAAACATTACCGACAATGTACCTACCTGACTGCTTATAGAATTTTTTCTTAAATTATCAAAAAAATTCTGCAATACTATTGCCATCTAATTTTTTATTTTTTTGAGATGGAGTCTTGCTCTGTTGCCCAGGCTGGAGTGCAGTGGCGTGATCTCGGCTCACTGCAAGCTCTGCCTCCCGGGTTCACATCATTCTCCTGCCTCAGCCTCCTAAGTAGCTGAGACTACAGGCGCCTGCCACCAGGCCCGGGTATTTTTTTTGTATTTTTAGTAGAGACAGGGTTTCACCGTGTTAGCCAGGATGGTCTCCATCTCCTGGCCTCGTGATCCGCCTGCCTCGGCCTCCCAAAGTGCTGGGATTACAGGCGTGAGCCACCGCACCCAGCCTGACATCTAATATTTTTTAAAATTGTTAAAAGTCTGGCACATGATGCTCTGGTTTGAATTGTTTTTCCCTTCTCAAACTCATGTCGAAATTTAATTGCCATTGCAACAGTAATAAGAGTTGAAACCTTTAAGAGGTGGTTGGGCCATGAGGGGCTCCACCCTCATGAATGGGTTAATGTCATTACCACAAAAGTGGGGGCATTATTACTTAAGTAGCTTCCTTATAAAAGATCAAACTTGGCTCCTGTTTGGTTTTTCTCTCTCTGTTTCCCTGTCTTGCCCTTCCCAATTCCACCTTCTGCCAGGGGATGACTCATCAAGAAATCCCTGGACAGATGCAGCCCCAGTCTTGGGCTTCCCAGCCTTCAGAACTGTGAGCCAAATAAATTTATGCTCACTATAAATAACCCAGCCTATGCTATTCTATTACAGCAAAACAAACTGGACTAAGACACAAGAAAATCTAGAAATAATTTTAATTAGTAGGTAAGAGTCAGGCTATGCATACAGTCTGTCAAAAGAGCAACATAGTAGTCCAATGCAGTGAAAGCATAAACAGTATCTTGAGAGAATACCCAAAATACTTTATTATCTTGCTCAATTTTCATATTTTAGGAATAACTCACAAATCTACTTGATTAAGCCATGTGACATTGCTTTTTCTGCAAGTAAGAATGATTATCAATGTATTAGTTTTCTTTGCTGCATAACAAATTGCCAGAAACTTATCGACCTAAAAACACACCTGATTATTATTTTCTAATGCACGCATTGGTTATTATTTCCATAGATCAGAGGTTTGGCTTTTCTGTGAAGGGTCTCTCAATGCCAAATTCAAGGTTTTAGTCGGGCTAAATTCTCATCTGGAGGCTTTAAAAAAATCTGATTCTAAGCTCATTCATTTTACTGGAAGAATCCAATTATCTGCTTTTATGGATTGAAAATCCTTATTTCATGGCCCTCATCAGCAAAGGGCTGCTCTCAGCTTCCAGGGGCCTCTCAATTTTTTCTCCCCTGCTCTTCTCCTTCTTTTAAATTAGGATGGGTGCATCTACTTTTTCTCTCTGAATTTTGTGATTTCTTCTACTGTTACCAGCTAGAGAAAACTCTGTGTTATTAATGGTATCCATGGCTGGGAGCAGTGGCTCAGCCTATAATCCCAACACATTGGGAGGCTGATGTGAGCAGATCGCTTGAGCCCAGGAGTTGGAGACCAGCCTGGGCAACACGGCAAAATTCCATCTCTACAAAAAAGTACAAAAATTAGTCTGATGTGCTGTTGATTAAATTAAATATACCTACATAAACTCCCAATATTTACATTCACTGTGCTATGTAATATAAGGTAATAATGGGAATGATAACATACCAGCTATTACAGGGGGATTTTTTATGTGATCCATTATAGGAATTTTACTTACTGTCATTGGTAATTCTAAATATATATTGTTCAAAACAATCTAATTCACTGGGAGGTTGAAATTTGAGAAGAAACCTTCACATTTTAGTTCACTTTAGGAAAGTTAAAGTCAGGTAGGAACATTTTCCATAGGACAGGAAATTAAGCACAATCATATAGACTACACATACAGCATTCTGTTAAACATAGTGGAGTTACAATCTGTATTTCAGATGCAGATTTGGTTTCCCTTGAGTCTGTATGTGGTCAGGGCCAGCTACATAATTTGTTAGGTGATCTACGTTCAAAAAGCAGAAACCACCCAGCCATCCCATTATTGCGTATATACCCAAAGGAATGTAAATCATGCTACTATAAAGACACATGCACACGTATGTTTATTGCGGCACTACTCACAATAGCAAAGACTTGGAACCAACCCAAATGTCCAACAATGATAGACTGGATTAAGAAAATGTGGCACATATACACCATGGAATACTATGCAGCCATAAAAAATGATGAGTTCATGTCCTTTGTAGGAACATGGATGAAGCTGGAAACCATCATTCTCAGCAAACTATCGCAAGGACAAAAAACCAAACACGGCATGTTCTCACTCATAGGTGGGAATTGAACAATGAGAACACTTGGACACAGGAAGGGGAACATCACACACTGGGGACTGTTCTGGGGTGGGGGGAGGGGGAGAGATAGCATTAGGAGATACGCCTAACGTAAATGACGAGTTAATGGGTGCAGCACACCAACATGGCACATGTATACATATGTAAAAACCTGCACGTTGTGCACGTGTACCCTAGTACTTAAAGTATAATAAAATATATATATATAAATAAAAGCAGAAACCAAGTGTATTTAACTGTACCAAAATATAAAGCTTTATTCCTTCCACTGTATTTTCTCTTTCAATTTGCCAATGTCATTTATGTTTGCTCTATAATGTTGTTCTAAGTAAAGAACAATTAAAATGCTAAATTGTTAACATGAGTATTACTCCTTACCTCTATTTTGTGCAACACTAATTTCAAATGCAAACATAAGATCATATATCCCATGTGTCAAATTATTAAAATTATTCTAGAATAAATTTATACTGCATAACTCACGCATGCATCTGTGTACATTTCATACCAGAACAGCAGAAATACTGACCCAACTAACTCAACTCTTTTTACTTTCTGATGTGTATGTATTCTACTAGTTCTCTCTGGCTTTGGTTTACTGTTGAGTAAGGCAGGAGTTATAAGAAAAGAAATTATAGGTTCCCTTCTCTTTCTCTTTGTTTCTGATTACCTATGTCAGTAACATGAGTAAGAAAGCTTGCTATAGTGTTCCTTGGTTGTATGTATTCCTGGAACACCAATGTCTTCCTTGTGAATGAAGCAAGCCCTAGTTCAAACAAAAACTGTAGTCATCCAGTGGTGAAAAAAGATATCCTTGCCTTGTTCTTGATATTAAAAGGAAAAAACTCAGACTTAATTATTGAGTACCATATTGACATATCAAAAGGATGTGACATTTTACATTTTTTTCAGTAATATAAAAAGTTTTACAATTTAACACTATTTTTCTCCCTTTTTATCTTTTTCACTTTGAAGTATTTTTGGTTCATTTCCTATATCTTCTTGTTGACAGTGACTGTTTCATGAACATTTCCTTTTGGTAAACCTAGGATATACTCTCCACAGTCTTGCCTAATCAAAAATATCTATTTTCCACACTAACCATGAAAATATGTCTTTACCAGGTATAGTATTATTATGTTCCTCTCCTCAAATTTCTGTCACAATAGTATGTAGATAATATTCAAAAGTCTTCAGGCTTCAAGGGTTTCAATACATTAGGGAGTGATATCTAATATCTTTTACCTTCTTTTTAACTTATTCTTTTACTTAGAAAATGTGATATTCTCTCTTTATCCTTGGAATTATTTTTATTTTCAAAAACTACATGAAACTTTCAAACTTAGGAATGAATCCTTCTTTAGATAAATATATATACACACACACATATATAAATCCTTCTTTATATGTGTATGTATATATTAATTCTTCTTTATATGTATATATATAATCCTTTAGATAAATATACATATATACATATTATTGAGTACCATATTGTCATATCAAAAGCATGTGACATTTTATATCTCTTTCAGTAATATAAAAATATAAATATTTATATATACACATATATATACCCACATATATGTGTATATATATATACACACACGTATATATACATATATATATGTATATATACGTGTGTGTATATATATATACTTTTTTTTTTTTTTTTTGAGACAGAGTCTCTCTCTGTCACCAGGCCAAATTGCAGTGGTACAATTTTGACTCACTACAACCTCCGCCTCCCGAGTTCAAGCGATTCTCCTGACTCAGCCTCCTGAGTAGCTGGGACTATAGGCGCACGCCCCCATGCCCAAGTAATTTTTGTATTTTTACTAGAGACGGGGTTTCCCCGTGTTGGCCAGGATGGTCACGATCTCTTGACCTCATGATCCCCCCGCCTCAGCCTCTCAAAGTGCTGAGATGACAGGCGTGAGCCACTGTGCCGGGCCAAAAATATTTTTTCGATTAATTCATTTTTCACATATTATTTTTATTTACATCACTTATACACTTGTTAGGTTTCCCATATTTTCCTATTAGATTCCTAAGATTTCCTTCATGTTTGTCTTCTTTTTCTAGATTTTCTTTTTATTTCAGCAAAATTCTTTCAGTTAGTATTCTACTCCACTATTTCAGATCATTAACTGCAATAAAGCATTGAATGCTAGATCCTTAAATGTAACATCAATTTATTCATTCTGTTTTTTTCTTGAGAAATCATGTAGTCAGCTGCCTTCTTATAGCAGCTCTACTTTATAGATTTTGTACAACATTTTCTTGTATTATCTTTCTCTATTGTTTTTCAGGGCCCTGCGAGAAAGCTTTTGTTTGTTTAATTATTCATGTATTCACTTATACATCAGGACTCAGGTCTTTATGATGAATCTTCATTGATGTCTGCAGTCCTGTAAGTAGAGAAAATAGATTAGTCTTCCCTACTGTGAGCCACCTGTCTAGAGTGGAAAGTCCTCCAGTCTCTTGCTGAAGCCTTCGTAGTAAACTTCATTTTCTCTAGTCACTGTATTCTCCAACATTCAGTGACAACAAAGATTCAGCATACCCAATCAGCTATTTCCGTTAAGTGTGCTTCCAAGGGGATCAAAGACAGTTATTTGTGACTGTCAAAGCAGAAATTGCACCAGACAAAGTTAAAAATGTAAAGAATACTTTAAGACTTTTGCAACAAAGGAGAGAGAAAAGAACACAAATTTGAACTGAATTTCATTGAAACAAAGGGCAGAGTATTTAAGTGCTAGAGTGAGCCATGGTAGGTCATCTTTTTGCTATTTGGATTTACCCAAAGGAAAATTAAAATTCCTTATGTCTTCTTTACAGAAGGTCATTTTACTTCTTTGAGTAAGGTGCCTATTTAAGTTAGCCTCCTACTCTTCCACAAAGACTGGAAGACAGACAGGGCTTCTTCTCTCTTTGTAGATGATTACACTTCAAAGGGATGGCTCCTAGGTGCTTGTGAAAGCAGCACTGGGTTGTAAAACTGATAAGAAACTTTTAGATAGGTTTACATCTTAAGATGACAGAGAAAGAATGTTCAATTAAAGTAAATGCTCTACAGAAAGGGAGGGAAGCAACCTCTGTAGTTAGATTTTCTTGATTCTGTAAGAGCCTTGGTTAGAGATACCAGGTGTCTAGAGGACGGAAGAAGCCTGTCTAAAGTTTAGTCAAGCTGAGGGAAATGTAGAGACCACCTTGGTCAAGACTAAATTCTTATCTCATATTGAATAAGCATTTAAGGAGAGGCAGATATTTGTAGTAAGGAATGAAGAAGATAGAAGCCAGACTCAGAGTGCCATTTGCTAACAATCCTGAGTATTCACTCAGCCAGCAGTCTCATCATCTTTTTTATAAGAAACCAAAGGAAATTGTTAGATACATGAATGTATTAAGTGCTACATATAAACTATTGTTGAAATAAGAGAATATTTATTTTTCCAGTGGCCACATATCTAAATGTAATGTCAAAGTAATCTTACATGATAAATGCTTTTACTAATCCAGATACAATTATCTATTAAAATGTCAGTATAGTCAAATGACTATATTTTTAACAATTCATGGTATTTACCTGTGTGTTTGGAAGACAGAATTTTTACTTTCTAAGGTTAAGTTAACATTTTTTATTACAAAGCAGTAGCTTAATTAAGGATACATCTTATTTTTGTTAACTCCCTAATATAAGAGAGAGATTATATGTGTTTGATAATATCCTGTTCTTTACTCAAGTGACTATCCTACTATGCACATAATTTTAATATATAATCTAAGGAAATGACATTTTTAGATCTATGCTAAATTGTGCAATTATTAAATTATACAGATGGTATTACTCAGAATAAGACAAAATTCTTGTTACGGTAAAAATGCTGACTTACTCAAAAATGCTAATGTCCAATTGTTAAAAGCTTCCTCTGAGAATAACTTTCATGTAAAATTAACTGTTCTAACAAGATTTGACATAAATGAAACCTGCAAGTGAATGAATAATTTATAGGTACAGTACTGAATGCCAGAAGATTCCTGGATAGATTTGCTTAATCTGAAATACCAGAATATGTTTCCTACAGAAAAATTAATCTTTAATCTCTAACAAATAACTTTTACCTCTATTATATGAGTGCATTTATCATATTCATTTGTTCACCCCTTCTTCACTTTATAGTTATAGCCAAATTTTAAGAAGGATATATTTCATATTTGAAAGCATTGGATTACTTTGTTGTGTTAATTGGAAGGTTGGGTAAAAATAGATGAAGAAGCATGAATGATCAGGTTTACTGAAAGGAAAATGGCTTTAACAATATTTAAAGTGATTAAATTTTATAATGAAATCCTCAGTGATCCACTGTGGGAGAAAATATGTAGCTAGCTTTTATGATCTGAACAGAGAGAATAAACAAAAAATAGAACACTTTATTTAAAAATTTTTCCTGAAGTTAATTTGTTAATTAAAAAAAATCCTTTTGGAAAATATAGAAAGTAAAAGACAAATAAAAAATTATAATATTTTAGCCTAATTTAATAAAAATCAAGATAAGAGAAGACATATATGAGGCCTTATTTTATGTAGTCTTACTTCAAAGATGAAAAATGTGTATTCTGTGTTGCTAAATTATAACAAATCAACTCTCGTTGTGAAGAGAAGTTTTATAAATTAATGAAAAGACATGGCTCTGATAGAGAATTGGGTACAACTTGCCTTATTATATGGGTATTTCTAACTGGAAAGGATTGTAGTCATTTCATAGAAGAAGCAGCTGTGGCAGACACTTCTCACCAAATATGGTGGTAAACAAGACAATGCTATTTTGAGTAACTCATCAAACAAATGGCAATTTTCATCCATGTGATACCTCATAATTTCTAGTACTTTCCTAGTATTTACATTTACAGAAAGTTCTATTTAAATAAACTTCGAGTTTCTTTTCAAACTTCATTCTTGGGAAATTAAATATTTTATGTATAAGATGGTCATCAGAGACAGCAATACTTATTTCAAAACTGCCAAGGACTCCACATGAATTAATAGCATTACATATTTATGAACTAAATATAATATTTACATAGGCCAAGAAGATTTCTATTCACTTAATTATAATTTGATAACTCTTTTGAATAAACTTGGCAACAGTGGCAAACCCAATAGACTATATTAGCATTTTACAAATGAATTACAAATTATAAAATAGAAAATTATTTCTGGTGACTTTAGGGTAATAATCAGGAGCCCATGTGCCTGAAAACAGCAATAAGTAGAATGTCTTACTGGTTGTTATATACATACATAAAATAAATTATTTTATAAACCATGCTTCATATTATTGTTAAGCTGTGACACAATTTGCCATCACATCATTCATTTGGATACATTTTAAATATTGGTGATTAGGAAAGCATTAATTTGTGTGACAGTTTATAAATTTGAATGCTTACTTTATAATCTGTAAATATTCACACTTTGTAAAAATTTATAAGAAATTAGTAATCCATTACAGCCAAATAATTATGAGGTAAGCAAATACGGGACATAGTCACATAGCAGTTTTTAAATATAGCTGACCCTGAGCAACTTAGGAGTTAGAAGCACCAACCTCCCATGCATTTGAAAATTCTTGTGTAACTTTTGACTCCCCCAAAAACATAACTACTAATATTCTACTATTGACTAGAACCCTTACCAATAACATAAAATGTTGGTTAACATATATTTTGTAAGTTATATATGTATTATGTATATTATATACTGTTTTCTTACAATAAAATAAGCTAGAGAAAGAAAATGGTATTAAGAAAATTGTGGCCGGGCACGGTGGCTCACGCCTGTAATCCCAGCACTTTGGGAGGCTGAGGTGGACGGATCACGAGGTCAGGAGATCGAGACCATCCTGGCTAACACGGTGAAACACCATCTCTACTAAAAATACAAAAAAAAATTAGCCGGGCGTGGTGGTGGGCACCTGTGGTCCCAGCTACTCGGGAGGCTGAGGCAGGAGAATGGTGTGAACCCGGGAGGTGGACCTTGCAGTGAGCTGAGATTGCGCCACTGCACTGCAGCCTGGGCGACAGAGCGAGACTCCATCTCAAAAAAAAAGAAAGAAAATTGTAAGGAAGAGAAAATATATTTACTATTGATTAAATGTAAGTGGATCATCATAAATGTCTTTATCATCATTATCTTCATTTTGAGTAGGCTGAGAAGAAGGAGGAGGAGGGGCTGGTCTTTCAGTCTCAAGGGTGGCAAAGGCAGAAGTGGAGGAGTTGGAAGGGAAAGCAGGAGAGGCAGGCACATTTGGTATAATTTTACATAAATTACATCATAATTTCTGTCTGACATTTTTTATTTTTCATTTTTCTGAATATATGCATATATGGTACCAATCCTTCTTCTACCATTTGCTTTAGTTTCAGTGCCCATATTATAGAAGAGTCGATCTTGTAAAAGAAGTCAAAAGCAGTCTTGAATATTGGAACAATTCTGTCAGATTGTCGAATGTCAATTTGTTTTCTGGCACTGCTTCTTGGGAGGTCTTCTTCGTCATTTTCTGGCACTGGCTTGGAAGCACTCATCTCCATCAAGTCACAGTTGGTTAATTCCTCAGATGTGGTGTCTATTAACTCTTGAATTTCTCCAAGATTCATAACTTGAAACCCTTCTTCCCCCACTGTTGTGGCCATATATGCAATTTCTTTCTGATTCCCTTGATTGTCTCTGTCATACATCCTGATCTGAACCCAGTTTTCTCCATCAGAAATTTACTGTTTCAGGCCTGACAGCTTTCATTGCCTTTTAAATGATGGCACCTTCAATTGTGTAATTCATTCATATTTTCATGATGTTTTTCTCTATTAGAGTTCTCTTCCATAGCATTGATAGTTCCTTCCATAGAGTACTGTGCATAATGAGCCTTACTCATCTTCATGACCCCCGATCTAGTGGCTTAATTAGAGACATTTGCTTGGGAGCAAGTAGACCATTTTGACACCTTCAGTGTTGAACTTGCAGGATTCTGAGTGGCCAAGTGTGTTGTCTCATATCAAAATAACTTTTAAAGACTGTGCTTTACTGGCCAAGTCCTTTCTGACTTTGGGAACAAAGCACTGATAGAACTAATCCAGTAAAAGGTTCTTATTGTCCAAATCTTCTTGTTGCGCAACCAAAAAAACTAGCAGCTGGGAAGCTGGTATTTATTTTTTCTCTCTTTCTTTCTTTGAGACAGGCTCTCACTCTGTTGCCTGTTGCCCAGGCTGGAGTGCAGTGCTGCAGTCGTGGCTCACTGGAGCCTCCTTCACCTCTCAAGACTCAGGTGATCCTCCCACATCAGTCTCCTGAGTAACTAAGACTACAAGTGTGTGCCACCATGTCTGGCTCATTTTTGTATTTTTAGTAGAGATGGGGTTTTGTCATGTTTCCTAGGCTGGTCTCCAACTCCTGGACTCAAGTGATTCGCCCACTTTAGCCTCCCAATGTGCTGGAATTACAGGTATGAGCCACCATGCCTGGAACCTTTTCTCTTTAAGGCCAACGAGTTATCAGGTTTATAGATAAGGGTAGTCCTGAGTATAAACCCAAATGCGTTTGCATAGAGCAGTAGAGGCAGCCTATCTCTTTCTGCTTTAAATTCTGGTGCTCACTTATTTTCTAACAAATAAATGTCCTTTGTGGCATTTTTTAACAGTATAGGGCACTTTCATTGGCATTAAAATTCGCTCAGGTAGATACTCTGACTCCTCAGTGATTTTCTTAATGATGTCTGGAAATTCTTTTGCTGTCCCTGGTTGGCAGAAGCTGCTTCTCTTATTATTTGGACACGTTTTAAGCCAATTTGTTTTAAAGATGGGATCTTGCTCTGCCATTGAGGCTAGCGTACAGTGGCAGAGTTATAAGTCACTGTGGCCTTGAACCAAACTCCCAAACCTCTTTATAAAGTTATCAAGCCATCCTTTGCTGGCAATAATTTCCCCCAGGTTTAGATCCTTCACCTTCCTTTTGCTTTAAGTTATCATATAATGACTTCATTTTTTCTCAAATTATATTAAAGTCTATAGGTATGTCTTTATTATAGCAATCCTGCACTCACATATAAGCCACATGTTCAATATAAGATACAAATATACTTTGCAAAAAGTACAAGGTTTCCACTCCTGCTGGCATAGATGCAACAACAGTTTCAGGAATTTTTTTTTTTTACAATGGTCCCTATGCTACATTCATTCATCTTGAAATGGTGGGCAACCATAGCTGCAGATCTCAATCTACAGTATATACCAAGCAATTCAACTTTTTCTTGTAATATCTTGACTTTTCTCTGCTTCTCGGTGTCACTTCAAGCATCACTGTGGCACTTTGCATGGGTCCCAGAGTGTTACTCAAGGTTTACAGTATTGTACTAAACATGATTAAAAAAAAAATAAGAACTTTAAGAGATCATGTTTATTGAAATATGCAGTTTACTGGACAGGTTGCTCACACAGAGAAAATAATGACATTTTAAGTTGATTCTTGCAACACTTGAGTGAACCACAATAGCAATAAGAGGTGGCTATAATACTATTACAGCAGTATGATATGTACTACAATTAATTTTATGTAATTATGACTTAATACTGCATCGTTACATTTATTTACATTTTTCTCAAATGTGAATGGTGCCTGGGAAAGGTGTGGTATGTTTTATAAGCGCACGTATAAATTTTGAAAAATTTTAGCTTTTCATAATTTATTTGTATATATTTTATGGTAGGAAATAAAAAGAGACTAATATTTCTGTGTGTTTTATGTATTCATAACACACTTAAATTTTTCTGAATTTAAAAATTATTTCTAGGTTAACATGGTTTATATGAGAGTTTGTTTAATTTGTTGCAAATTTTCAAAAAATATTTCAATGTATTTATTAAGCAAAATCTGCGTATAAATAGACCCATGCATTTTAAACCTGTACTGTGCAAAGATCAACTGTATATTATTTTGTATTCCACTTATTTAAAAGAAACAATTTATTAAGGCCTTGATATAGTTTGGATAGTTGTCCTTCCCAAATCTCATGTTGAAATGTAATCCCCAATATTGGATGTGGGGCCTGATGGTGGGTGACTGAGTCATGGGGGTGAATCTCTCATGACTTCGTGCTGTCTCTGCAATAGTGAATGTGTTTTCACAAGATCTGGTTGCTTCAAAGTGTGTGACACCTCCCCACCTTTCTTGCTCTTGCCATGTGACACACTCACTCCCATTTCATCTTCCACTATGACTGTAAGCTTCTTAAGGCTTACCAAGAAGCTAAGCAAATGCCAGCACCATGCTTCTTGTAAAGCATGCAGAAGCATGAATGAATAAACCACTTTTCTGTATGATTTCCCAGCCTCAGGTATTTCTTTTATAGCAACACAAGAACACCCTAATACAGGCCTTGTAAGAAAGTTGTAATTTGAGAAAAGCTTTAGATGTGGTTATTTTATACTGCTTGAGTTTTGCTTAATTTTTCCCTGCAAATTTTTTGTTTTACTATATTGAGAGCCTTTAAAAAAAAAGTTAGCATGATATGTCTTTATCCCTTTGTTTTTAATCTATCTTTGTCTTTATATTTAAAGTCAGGTTGTAAACTCCCCACAACCTATAGTGAGGTAGTGGAGATTTTTTTAAACTATGCTGACAATCTCTGTCTTTTTTTTTTAATTTTATTATTATTATACTTTAAGTTTTAGGGTACATGTGCACAATGTGAAGGTTAGTTACACATGTATACATGTGCCATGCTGGTGTGCTGCACCCATTAACTCGTCATTTAGCATTAGGTATATCTGCTAAAGCTATCCCTCCCCCCTCCCCCTACCCCACAACAGTCCCCAGAGTGTGATGTTCCCCTTCCTGTGTCCATGTGTTCTCATTGTTCAATTCCCACCTATGAGTGAGAATATGCAATGTTTGTTTTTTTGTCCTTGCGATAGTTTACTGAGAATGATGATTTCCAATTTCATCCATGTTCCTACAAAGGACATGAACTCATCATTTTTTATGGCTGCATAGTATTCCATGGTGTATATGTGCCACATTTTCTTAATCCAGTCTATCATTGTTGGACATTTGGGTTGGTTCCAAGTCTTTGTTATTGTGAATAGTGCCACAATAAACATACGTGTGCATGTGTCTTTATAGCAGCATGATTTATAGTCCTTTGGGTATATACCCAGTAATGAGATGGCTGGGTCAAATGGTATTTCTAGTTCTAGATCCCTGAGGAATCGCCACACTGACTTCCACAATGGTTGAACTAGTTTACAGTCCCACCAACAGTGTAAAAGTGTTCCTATTTCTCCACATCCTCTCCAGCAGCTGTTGTTTCCTGACTTTTTAATGATTGCCATTCTAACTGGTGTGAGATGGTATCTCATTGTGGTTTTGATTTGCATTTCTCTGATAGCCAGTGATGGTGAGCATTTTTTCATTAATTGGTCTATTTAGAGTGTTGCCAATTAAAGTGATTATTGATATAGTTGCATTAATATCTACCATGTTTTTAATTGTTTTCTTCTTTGCACGTTTTCTTCATTCATACTTTTCATTTTTTCAATGGTCTTCCTGAACTTTGCAAACTCTAGAAACTCCAGTTTAAAAAAGAAGCATAATTGAGATGCTAAGATAGGAGAAAAAATGGAATTATATAAACTGTTCAAGTAACGCAAAGTAAATTGAAAAAAAAGAGAAAAAGTTATTTTTCCCAAATAACATATTTTGACATTTTCTGCATCTCCTGGAAATGGAATGAATTTCTCAGTCTTTGTTTGCCTGATGGGTACTTTTGAAAGACAGTTTTTTTTTGGATAGAAAGTTCTAAGTTTTTTTGTCTGTTTTATTTCATAACTATTAATATCTCATGTCCCTTTCCTGTAGCTTTCATGGCTTCTAACAAGAAGACCAGTGTAATTCTTATCCATGTTCTTTTATAGATAAGATCTTCTTTTCCTTTGGTTTCTTTCAATATTTCTTTTTTTTATTCGGTTTTCTGCAGTTTGAATAGGATAAGCCTAAATGAGGATTATTTTCCAGTTGATATTTATCCTGCTTGATGTTCTCTGAACTCCCTAGTCTGTGGTTTGGTGCTTCTCATTAATTTTGGAACATTCTCCAAAAACATTCTTGTTTTTGAAATATTTTGACATGAAATATAGAATATACTCCATTTCCTCTTTTTCCCTCTTATTTTTTGATCACATATATTTTATACCTTTGGAAATTGTCTCTCAATTCTTGAATATTGTGGTACCTTCCATTTTTGTTTATCATTTTGTTTTAGTTAGGAAAGTTTCTATTGAGGGATCTTGCAGCTCACTGGTTGTTTCCTTGGCCATGCCTAGTCTATCAGTGATTGCATTAATGACACTTTTCATTTCTGTTGCTTTTTTTATTATTATTTCTAGCATTTCCTTTTGATACTTTCTTAGCATTTCAACCTTTCTGTTTATATAACTCCTTTGTTCTTCCATGTTGTTAGCTTTTCCAAAAGAGGCATTTACATATTAGTCATAGTAATTTTGAATCGCCTGTCTGGTAATTCCAATTCTGATGTTTGCTTTGTCTTTTGAGACTAAGCTTTGTTTTACCTTTAGCATACTGTATTAATTAGGGTTCTCTAGAGGGACGGAACTAATAGGATAGATGTATAGTTAGAGGGGAGATTACTAAGGAGTATTTAATCACGTAATCACAAGGTGAAGTCCCACAATAGGCCATCTGCAAGCTGAGGAGCAAGGAAGCTAATCCGAGTCCCAAAACTCCAAAAGTAGGGAAGCCAACAGTGCAGCTTTCAGTCTGTGATCGAAGGTCTGAGAGCCCCTGGCAAACCACTGGTGTAAGTCCAAGAGTTCAAAAGCTTAAGAACTTGGAGTCTGATGTTCAAGGACAGGAAGCATCCAGCACAGAAGAAAGATGAAGGCTGAAAGACTCAGGCCAGTCTAGTCCTTTTATGTTCCTCTGCCTGCTTTTATCCTAGACATGTTGGCAACTGATTAGATAGTGTATATATATACACTTTATATATATATATATACTGTGTATATATACACATTTTATACATATCATCTATGTATATAGATGTGTGTATATATATACACACACATCCATATATATAAAATTTATATATTGTACACTTGTGCATTCATATACAATATAAAGAACCACATATATTTGGATTTTTATATATATTTCTTATGTGTATGTACATATATAAAATGCACACTTTATTGCTAAAAAAATTCTAACAATCATTTGAGCCTTCAGGGAGTCATAATCCTATAGCTGCTGGAGCGACTTTCTTCATTGTTGATAGCTGCTGACTAATGTGTGTGTGTGTATATATATATATACACACATGCATATATATATACATATTCATATATATAGGTTATATATACACACATGCATAATTCACGTATATGTGTGTGTGTGTGTGTGTGTGTGTGTGTATACATATATATATATATATAGAATTGCAGGTTCAGTTCCAAACCACTGTAATAAATCCAATACTGTCATAAAGCAAGTCTCAAGATTTTTTGTTTGTTTCCCAGTGCATTTAAAAGTTATATTTATACTATATTGTCATCTAGTAAGTGTACAATAGCATTATACCTAAATATTTACATAAGTTAGTTTAAAAATACTTTATTGCTACAAAAAGCTAACAATCATTTGAGCCTTCAGTGAGTCATAATCTTTTACCTGGTGGAGGTTTTTGCTTCAATGTTGATAGCTGCTGACTGATTAGGGTGGTGGTGGCTGAAGATTGCATAGGCTGTGGCAATTTCTTAAAATAAAACAAAATTGGCCATATCAATTGATTCTTCCTTTCACAAAACATTTCTCTGTAGCATATCCTGCTCAGACTCAATCCTGAATGTACCAGTTCCATCTTGTGATGTCCTGTTGCGAGGCACATGTGTCACTATGACTTGGTGGGACCAATGGAACCCAGATCATAATGAGTAGTTCTTGGTGCATGGCCACTTGGTGTCACATGATCAAATGTGCTGTCCCTGCCAAAGCCCTGACATGCCAAGGGTATTATAAAAACATATAAATCTCTGCTGAGCATGGCACAACCTTACTTCAGCCTTTCAGAAGCTGAATGTTTATTCTCCCTCTGGGGTTTTCTTTAAGCTGATTATTACATCATTTCCTACCATTGAATTTTCCAATAACAGCATAAGTTTGTAGGTTCAGGTGGAAAATCCTACATTTCTTTCTTTTTTCCTAGTAAGGCATAACAATGCATTTCTTAGTCTCAACATAGTTTAAAAACAACATATGCTGGCAAGGCTGCGGAGAACAGACAATGCTTTTGCGCTATTGGTGGGAACGCAAACTAGTTCATCCACTGTGGGAAACAGTCTGGAGATTTCTCAAAGAACTTAAAAATGGAATTACCATTTAAACCAGGAATCCCACTTCTGGATATATACCCAAAGAAAAATAATTCGTTTATCCAAAAGACACATGCACCCATATGTTCACTGCAGTGCTATTCAAAATAGCAAAGACATGGAATCAATCAACCTATGTGCCCATGAACAGCGGATGGGATAAATAAAACATGGTACATATAAACCCTGTAATACTACAAATACATGAAAAAAAAATGAAATCATGCCCTTTATAACAACATGGATGAACCTGGAGACCATCATCCTCAGAAAGCTAACCCAAGAACAGGAAGCCAAATACTGCATGTTCTCACTTATAAGTGAGACCTAAACATTAAATACATATCATTGTAAAGATAGGAACAACAGACACTGGGGACCACTGGATAGGGAAGGAACAAAGAGGAGTGTGGGCTGAAAAACTGCCTATTGGGTACTATGCTTAGTGCCTGAGAGATGGAATCACTGGGACCTCAAGTTTCAGTGTCACACAATTCAAATGTTCAAAGATGTATATGAAATACACAAGGTTCAAACATGTATATAAAATGTAGCACATGATCAGGGAAATACAAACTGACTATAGTTCAGCTTTATTTTCTCCCTTTGACATTAATAAAAGGGATATTATGTCAGATAAAGACACTTTTACATGATAATTTTAGGAACATTTAGAAATTCTGGTTAGGTGATATTGCATAAATAATTTGTTCAAATTTCACTTAGCATTCAAATAAACAGAAGCATTTCTTTAATCATTAAGGATAGTTATGCAAAGATGAAAGATAATAAAGAAATGTAGCAAAACTGCATGTGTATCCTTTAATCTATAATAAAAGTTGAAATTATTTAATAATAAAGAATAAAAATAACTGCAGATAACAAAGTTTCAAAAATGTATATAAAAAGTATTACATGATCAGGGAAATACAAGCTGACTATACTTCAACTTTATTTTCTACCTCTGACATTAGTAAAAGGGATAGTATGTGAGATAATGACACTTTCACATAAAAACTTCTTTAGGAATACTTGAAAATTCTGGTCAAGTGATATTGCATGAATAATTTATTCAAATTTCACCTTGCATTCAAATAAATAAAAGTATTTTTTAAATCACTAAGGATAGTTATGCAGAGATGAAAGATAATACAGAAATAAAGTCATATCTATTAGATAGTCTTAATATCAGATATTTCTAATGTATAATTGGTATACAGTAGATTACAATCACTTCAAAAATATGTTTGATTAGTTACTGAAGAAAAATAATCTCTGGTAAATTAATTTATATTTATATGTGTTTTATGTATTTATTACAAATCTATTTATCATTTTAAAATTATAATTTTTATAGAAAAATAGTTCATATGCATTACACAAATTAATAATAAAAGAAAATCCATGCATCCACTGCTCATCTTTGGAAATAAAATATAATCCATACTTTTCAAGCTGTCCCTTTATAACAGTATATCCTGGGGTCTCAAACTTAAAGGAAACCATAATATTGAGTTTTGTATTAAATATTAGACATTTTCAGATTTTAAGCCAAATATGTGTATGTACATAAATAATATTGATTTTGCTTGTTTTTGAGTTTCATATAAATAGAAATGTACCATACATATTCTTCAAGTTTGCCTTTCTGCCTAATATAATTTGTGAGATTCATGTATATTCATGCCTGTATCTTTATTATATTTGTGTTCTCTGCTTGATAACATATGTTCATACTGAGTTAATATTATTAAATTAGTAAACTCTTCCCCTTCGTTATTGATACCTGCATTGTTTTCAATGTCACATTATTCTAATAAATGCAACAATGACTAATTTTTAACATATACCTAAGTGCTCTTGACCAATTGTTTCTCTAAGAGTAAAATTACTGGACCTCAGAATATGTACATCTTTTTCTGTACCATTAGAATTTTAATTTGCTTATTTTCTCAGTTGAATGAACTAGTGCTTGAGTTTAAATTTGTGTTGACCATTTACCTTGGGCCTGAGGTTGAGATTTTTATACATACACATAATGTTTCATATATATATATAAAAACTAATTTTATATAAACTATATAAACTAGTTTATATAAATATAAACTAATGTGATATACATGTATTAGTTTATATTCATATAAGCTAATTGCCACTAAATATGTATATAGTGTATTTTATTTTTATTCATATATATTTAGAAATATGTAATTTTCTATTCAACAAAATGCATATTCATTGAATTGTCATTTTCGCTATTTTTGTTGTTGCTGCTGTTGATTACAGGAATTCTTGCTTCATTTAGTATGCTAACACATTTCAGTTAAGAGCATAAAATATATATTTCTATGTCTTTTTGATGGACAGATTTTCTTATTTTAGCAATATTTCCAAATTTATCATAAGCCTAAATTATACTCCCCCAAAAATCAAGTGAATACTTAAATATATTTAGTTGAAATTAAAAAAATTTCTTTTACTTTTTTCTTTTAACTTTTATTTTAGGTTTAGGGGTACATGTTAAGGTTTCTTATAAAGATAAACTTGTGTTACAGGAGTTTGTTGTACAGATTATTTCATCTCTCGGGTACTAAGCCTAGTACCCATCAGTTATTTTTCCTGATCCTCTCCCTTCTTGCACCCTTCACCCTCTGATAGGCCCCAGTGTCAGTTGTTCCCCTCTTTGTGTCCATGTGTTCTCATCCTTTAGCTCCCACTTATAAGTGAGAGCATACAGTATTTGGTTTTCTGTTCCTGCGCTAGTTTGCTAAGAGTAATGGCCCCTGGCTCCATCCATGTTCCTACATGATCTCATTCTTGTTTATGCTTCCATAGCATTCGATAGTGTATATGTACCACATTTTCGTTACCCAATCTGCCATTGATGGGCATTTAGGTTGATTCCACATCTTTGCTATTGTAAATAGTGCTGTAATGAACATATGCATGCATGTGTCTTTATAATAGAATGACTTATATTCCGTTGGCTATATACTGAGTAATGGGATTACTGGGTTAAATACTGGTTATGTTTTTTGCTCTCTGAGGAATCACCACATTGCTTTCCACAATAATTTAACTAATTTACACTCCCACCAGCAGTGTATAGGTGCTCCCTTTTCTATCCAATCTCACAAGCATCTGTTTTTTTTTTTTTTTGAATTTGTAGTAATAGCCAATCTGACTGGTGTGAGGTGGTATCTCACTGTGGTTTTGATTTGCATTTCTCTAATCATCAGTGATATTGAGGTTTTTTTTCATATGCCTTTTGGCCACATGTATGTCTTCTTTTCAAATGTGTCTGCTCATTTCCCCCCCTTTTTTAATGGAGTTGTTTTCTTATAAATTAGTTGAAGTTCTTTATAGATTCTGGATATTAGACCTTTGTCAGATGCATAGTTTGCAAATATTTTCTCCCATTCTCTAGGTTGTCTGGTTACTCTGTCGATTGTTTGTTTTGCTGTCAGAAGCTCTTTAATTAGATATCATGTGTCAATTTTTGGTTTTGTTGCAACTGGAATCTTTGTCATGATAACTTCGCCAGTTCCTGTGTCCAGAATGGCATTGCCTAGGTTGTCTTCCAGGTTTTTTTTTAGGAGTTTGGGGTTTTACATTTAAGTCTTTAATCCATCTTGAGTTGATGTTTATATATTGTGTAAAGAAGAAATCCAGTTGCAGTCTTCTACATATGGCTAACCAGTTAACATAGCACCGCTTATTGAATAGGGAGTCCTTTCCGCATTGCTTGTTTTTGTCAGCTTTGTCAAAGATCAGATAGTTGGAGGTTTGCAGCCTTATTTCTGAGCTCTCTATCCTGTTTCCTTGGACTATGTGTCAGTTTTTGCACCAGTACCATGCTGTTTTGGTTACTATAGCTTTGTAGTATAGTTTGAAGTAGGGTAATGTGATGCCTTCAGCTTCATTCTTTTCTCTTAGGATAACTTTGGCTTTTTTTGCTCTCTTTTGGTTCTGTATGAATTTTAAAATAGTTCTGTACTAGTTCTGTGAAGAATTCATTGGTAGTTTCACAGGAATAGCATTGAATCTGTAAATTGCTTTGGGCAGTATGGCCATTTTAATGATATTGATTCTTTCTATTCATGATCATGGAATGCTTTTCCATTTGTTTGGATAATCTCTGATTTTTTTGAGCAGTGTTTTGTAATTCTCATTGTAGAGATGTTTCTGTCTGGTAGGCTGTACTGATAGATATTTTATTGTTTTAGTGGCAAATGTGAATGAGATTGTGTTCCTGATTTGGCTCTCAGCTTGGATATTGCTCGTATATAGGAATGCAAGTGATTGTTTGTGCATTAGTTTTTTATCCTGAAACTTTACCAAAGTTATTTATCAGCTAACAGAGACTTTGGGCTGAGACTATGGGGTTTTCTAGATATAGAATCATGTCATCCGCAAAGAGGGTTAGTTTCACTTCATCTCTTACTGTTTGGATGCACTTTATTTCTTTCTCTTACCTGATTGCTCTGGCCAGGACTTCCAATACTGTGTTGAACAGGAGTGGTAAGAGAGGGTGTCCTTTTCTTGTGCTGGTTTTCAAGAGAGAATGCTACCAGCTTTTACTCATTCAGTATGGTGATTTTGTCCGTGGGTTTATCATAGATGACCTTTATTATTTTGAGGTATATTTCTTCAATATCTAGTTTATTGAGTTTTTAACATAAAGGGATTTTGAATTTTATAAAAGCCTTTTCTGCATTTATTGAGATAATCATGTGGTTTTTGTCTTCATTTCTGTTTGTATGATGAATCACATTTATTGATTTGCATATATTGAACCAACCTTGCATTCTAAGGATAAAAACTGCTTGACTGTGGTGGACTAGCTTTTTGATGTGCTGCTAGTGTTTTGTTGAGGGTTTTTGCACAAATGTTTATCAATGATATTGGCCTGATGTTTTCTTCATTTTGTGGTGTCTCTGCCAGGTTTTGGTATCAGGATGATGCTGGCTTTTTAGAATGAGTTAGGGAGGAGTCTTTCTGCTCAGTTTTTTGGAATCGTTTCGGTAGAAATGCTTCCTGTTTTTCCTTGTACATCTGGTAGAATGTGGCTGTGAATCCATTGGGTCCTGGGCTTTTATTCAGTTGGTAGGCTATTTATTACTGATTGAATTTTAGAGTCCATTATTGGTCTGTTCAGGGATTCAATTATTTCATGATTTAGTCTTGGGAGGGTGTATGTGCCCAGTACTTTATCCATTTCTTCTAAGTCTTCTAGTTGGTGTGCATAGAGGTGTTCTGGTTTGATGGTTATTTGTTCCTGTGGGGTTAGTGATAAACTCCTCTTTGTTGTTTCAAATTGTGTTCATTTGGATAGTCTCTCTTTTCTTCTCTGTCAGTCTAGCTAGTTGTCTATCTACCTTATTATTTTTTTTCACAAAACAAAACTTTGGATTCATTAATTTTTGAGTAATTTTTGTGTCCCAATCTATTTCATTTCAGCTTTGATTTTGGTTATTTCTTTTCTTCTGCTAGCTTTGAGTTTGGTTTCTTGCTTCTCTAGTTTGTTGTTGTTATTGTTGTGATGTTAGGTTGTTCATTTGAGATCTAACTTTTTGATGTGGACATCTAGTCCCATAAATTTCCCTCTTAACACTGTCTTAGATGGTCCAAGAGATGTTGGTATGTTATATCTTTGGTCCTATAAGTTTCAAAGAAGTTCTTGATTTCTGCCTTAGTTTCATTACTTACTCAAAAGCCATTCAGAAGCAGGTTGTTTAATTCCATGTAATTGTATGACTTTGAGTGATTCTTTTAGTCTTCAATTCTATTTTTATTGTGCTGTGGTCCAAAAGAGTGGTTGGTATATTTCTCTTTTTTTATAGTTATAAAGGGATCGGTTTAACATGAAGATATAATAATTGTAAATATACGTGTACACTGGAACACCCAGATCTATAAAGCAAATGTTAGATCTAAAGGCAAATATAGATCCCAATACAATAACAGCTGAGGACTTCAACACCCACTCTTAGCATTGGACAAATCATCTAGACAGAAAATCATCAAAGAAACTTTGAATTTAGACTGCATCACAGACCAAATGACATAACAGACATTTATAGAACATTTCATCCAACAGCTGCACAGTACACATTCTTTGCATCATCATATGGAATGTTCTCCAGGATGGACTATACATTGGGACACAAAATAAATCCCAAAAAGTTTATTAAACAAAGTTTTTAAATTATACTTTAAGTACTAGGGTACATGTGCACAACATGTAGGTTTGATACATAGGTATACATGTGCCAAGTTGGTTTGCTGCACCCGTCAACTCGTCATTTACATTAGGTATTTCTCCTAATGCTATCCCTCTCCCAGGCCTCCACCCCCCGAGAGGTCCCAGTGTGTGATATTCTCTGCCCTGTGTCCAAGTGTTCTCATTGTTCAATTCCCTCCTATGAGTGAGAACATGTGGTTTTCTGTCCTTGTGATAATTTGCTGAGAATGATGGTTTCCAACTTCATCCATGTCACCACAAAGGACATGAACTCATCCCTTTTTATGGCTGCATAGTATTCCATGGTGTATATGTGCCACATTTTCTTTATCCAGTCTATCATTGATGGACATTTGGGTTGTTCCAAGTCTTTGCTATTGTGAATAGTGCCGCAATAAACATACGTGTGCATGTGTGTTTAAAAGTAGCATGATTTATAATCCTTTGGGTATATATCCAGTAATAGGATAGCTGGGTCAAATGGTATTTCTAGTTCTAGATACTTGAAGAATTGCCACACTGTCTTCCACAATGGTTGAACTAATTTACACTCCCACCAACAGCATAAAAGTGTTCCTATTTCTCCACATCCTCTCCAGCATCTGTTGTTTCCTGACTTTTTAATGATCACCATTCTAACTGGCATGAGATGGTATCTCATTGTGCTTTTGATTTGCATTTCTCTGATGACCAGTGAAGATGAGCATTTTTTCATGTGTCTGTTGGCTGCATAAATGTCTTCTTTGAAAAGTGTTCATATCCTTTCCCCAGTTTTTGATGGAGTAGTTTGATTTTTTCTTGTAAATTTTTTTTAAGTTCTTTGTAGATTCTGGATATTAGTCCTTTGTCAGATGGGTAGATTGCAAAAATTTTCTCCCATCTGTAGATTGCCTGTTCACTCTGATGTCAGTTTCTTTTGCCATGCAGAAGCTCTTTAGTTGAATTAGATCCCATTTGTCAATTTTGGCTTTTGTTGCCATTGCTTTTGGTGTTTTAGTCATGAAGTCCTTGCCCATGCCTATGTCCTGAATGATATATTGCCTAGGTTTTCTTCTAGAGCTTTTATGGTTTTAGGTCTAACATTTAAGTCTTTAATCCATCTCAAATTAATTTTTGTATAAGGTGTAAGGAAGGGATCCAGTTTCAGCTTTCTACATATGGCTAGCCAGTTTTCCCAGCACCATTTATTAAATAGGGAATCCTTTCCCCATTGCTTGTTTTTCTCAGGTTTGTCAAAGATCAGATGGTTGTAGATGTGTGGTGTTATTTCTGAGGCCTCTGTTCTGTTCCATTGGTCTATACATCTGTTTTGGTACCAGTACAAAGACATGTAGCCTTGACTGGTGTACTTCATTTCTTTTTCATTTGCTGATCTTATGGTGTGGTCAAATAATTATCTGATGGTGTGGTTAATTTTAGAGTATGTGCTCTGTAGTGACAAGAATGTATATTCTGTTGTTTTTTGGTAAGGAGTTCTGTAAAAGTCTATTAGGTCCATTTGGTCCAGTGTTGACTTCAGGTCCTGAATATCTGTTAATTTTCTGCTTCAGTAATCTGTCTAATACCATCAGTGGGGTGTTGAATTCTCCCATTATTATTGTGTGAGAGTCTTAAAGTTTATTTAAGGGTCTCTAAGAATTTACTTTATGAATCTGAGTACTCCTGTGTTGGGTGCATATATATTTAAGCTAGGTTTTCTTGTTGAATTGAATCATTTGCCATTATATAATCCCCTCCTTTGTCTTTTTTATCTTCATTAGTTTAATGTCTGTTTTGTCTGAAATTAAGATTGCACCACCTACATTTTATCTATTTTCCATTTGCTGGGTAGATTTTTCTCCATCCCTTTATTTTGAGCTTAGGAGTGCCATAGCATGTGATATGAGTCTCTTGAAGACAGTATATAATTGAGTCTTGCTGAAATGAATACTTTGACTCTTTTATACCATCACTTTCAGAGATAAATATTATAAATCCCTTGGAGGTTGCATTTCTGTACTTTTATAATTAAAGCCTTTCTTATTTTAGAGATATTTCATCTTCTTACATATAGGTGATAATATTAATTATGTATCTCTAATCCCATGTATCCCAAGTTGTAACTGTAGTATTTATTTAATAAAGTTCATCCATTTTGATCTGTTATTTTTTCTTGTGTAACTAAAATGATTGTTTCTATTTATCCTGTGTGGTTAATTTTTAACAAATTATTATATTTATTAGTTTTGCTCATTGATTATTTATGGTTACTATTAATCTATATTTTAAGCTACCAGTAGCATCAATAATGTTGATTGGTTGTTTATGTTTTCTGCAGTGTCTATGTAAGAGGAATAGGTTGCTGAATGGAGCTATGGGTTGCATTTTTTCCTTAGTTAAGTAAGTAGGCATATGTGGATGAGCAAATAAATGTTCTGAGAAGAGCAGGCTGGCAATAAGGAAAGAGGCAAGAACTTTTTTCTGCTTGGTGAGCATCTGTGCAGATCCTTACTAGAACTGATTGGTGGCTGGATTGAATTAGAAAGTGAGCTTCTCGGTGATTGGGGTAATTTAAAGAAAACCCAAGTAGAAGTGCAAGTGATTAATACATGTTGTATTGGAGATACACAAGAGCTGTAGACAATTCAGAGGAGTTGCCACATTAGCTGATTCTAAAAAAATAATTTTAATATTTCAATCAGTGATGAAAGGATGTGGTAGGATTATACTATACGGCAACTGAGCATATAAAAGCAGTTTTGGAAGAAAACTGTGTAAGGGGCTTTTTAATGAACTGAGCACTTTTGAGAGTGTAGATTATAAAGCCAAACATTATAAATTGTGTCTCAGAACACAATAAGATGAAAAAGATCTAGAATCAGATAGAGTCAGGTTTAGCAGCATCAGCACTTAATAATATTCAAATATTTTTCAAAAGACAAAAAGTTCTTCAAACTTAACAGGTAAAATGGCTTTTGCCCACTGATATTATTTACTAACTTTTAAAAAATAAATTTGAAATAATAAGCATAGTTATTCTATAACCTTCCAGTATGTAATGATGTCATATTTGAAGTATCATTTTAATAAAAAAACCTCATAATCCAGAGTGATTTAATATGAATGTATTCTATAAATGAAATGTATCCATACATTTTTTGCTAAATAAATGATAATTATTAGAGATGTATGGGGATATATCAGGCAATATACAAAATAAATATTGTATATATAAATTATTATATGTAAGTTATATTTGAATAGAGAACAATTATTATTTTATAGCTAAGTTGTCTCACAAATAAACATGAAAAATGTTTAACTGGGGTTTATTTATTTACAGTTTTTATTATTATAAATTTCTGTGATGATTCAAGTTAATGCCCTTAGTTATCCAAAAGTAAATATAGGGTCTTTTCATGCAATAGCCAACACATTCAAGGATGACACAACTTATGTCATCTTAAAGTACTAAAACTGAGAAAAAGCTTTAAAACATAATGGACATAGTAACTCCAATATCACATTATTCCCTGTAATACAGATAAACCTGTAAGTTTATTCTTAAAAGTTTCTAAGTAGTGTGCTATGATTTTCTACTAAATGACATTACAAAATATTAGACAATTTTTCTCAGTATAACCTTTGGCTTAAAGCAGAAAAAAAAGCCTGCATTATTTAATGCAAGTGACTATATACTAGTTTGAAAATACTTTCAAACTGTCAAAAAAAGCCTTTATAGTCATACAACCAGATCTTTATTAATAATATCAACACAGTGGACTGAAGAGCAAACTATAACAGCTCAGTAACTTTACCCATCTTATGATGGGTATAAGACATTATCATAAATCTGCAGTTGCCAAATATATCCCATAGACTTTAAATTTATTGTCATATGAATATTCCTCACAATTCACTGCTCAAGTAACCTTTTATTGTGGTGACAATCCTCTCATCAATTATGACACCATAAGGTTTATGGAACAATCATCCTTATCCATGCTTACCATATTTTGTTTAAATATGAGTGATTTTTTTTGTTGTATCTTAATTTTACAGTTAGTTTGTAACTCTCTACAGATTTAGTTTTTCCCTGAAGATACAAACCAAACAAACGGCCAATGCTGAAGCATATCTATTATTTGCTTGGCTCTTAAAAAAAAAAAAGGTTTAAATTATCCTAATTTGCTGTTTTTCAAGCTGGTGTATGTATCTCTTTTTTACATACCCATGTATTCTTCTTCATACAAAATTAGGATATCTTAAATAATAGAACATGTATCATAACTAAACACAGCAGTTATAGTGCATTTACACAATTAAAATGCAACTCTGTAATAAGATTGATCACTTACAAATAATTTAATATTACAATCTTAAAACAATGATTAGTTTGATAACTATTACCCTTATGAAATAGCAAAACACTAAAACACATGATGCTTTTGCTTATACTTTTTTACAAGAAAATGAAAGCTTCTCAGATAAACCCTGTGGAGTTGGAAGTTATAACAGTTACTCAATAAACAATCTACCTCTACAGTACGATTCTTTTCACGGTCTTTTATTTTTAAAAATTAATGATATGTACTGATTTCTCATCTATATTTTTATAGTGAACCTACTTAATAATACTATTCTTCAGAGCTCGTTCCCTAAGTAGAGATAGTAAACAACAATGTGAAAAACAAAAGTTACTATTCAGAACAGTCGTTATTCACTTTAATTGAACCAGCAGCTTTCTTTATTTCTTTCTCCACTTACAGAAAGTATAGGCCTCTCAAACTAACAAATAAACTAGCTTTCTGCCTTTATTTATTTAGATTGAAGTTCTGGTGTGGCAAAAAGATCTGTTGGTTCTCATCCAGCTCTGAGCTTAGTCCTGCTCCATACCCAACATTTATATGTAGAAGTCTTAACTCCCAATACTTTATAATGTGACTGTATTTAAGGATAAGTCTTCCAAGAAGTCGTTAAGATTAAATGAGGTAATTAGGGTAGGTCCTAATCCAATATGACTGTAGTGCCCCTAAATTAAGAGATTAGGGGCACAAGCAGACACAAGCAGAGGAAAGACCAGGTAAGACACGAGAAGATAACCATCTACAACCCAAGAAGAGGACCTTAGAAATAATTGACCCTGCTCACATCTTGATCTCAGACTTTTACCTTCCAGAAATGTAAGAAAACAAATTTCTGTTGTTTTTAAACTACTCAGTCTGTTGTCTTTGTTATGTCAGTTCTAGCAAACGAATATCAGCAGAAATATTCTTCCATCACTTTTTAAATTGGTAAAATACTTGAAGTAGATTTTAAATGGAATCTAAATGAATGGATAAATGGAACTTCATTAGTTACAAAAGTACTAACTAATGGAAGTCCATTAGTCCAAAAGTAGTAGGTTTATTTATCCTCATAGTAATCTTCAGATAAATGTTAGCAAATGATGTTTAGATCTTTGCCTGCTTGGAGGATTCTTGTTATTCCTCTAGTCAAACAAATACAAGTGAAACATTTTTCTTTCATTAATCATCTCTAAAATGGCCTTAACTATTGAGGATTATTTTATCTATATCATGACTATTTCATCATCCATTTCTTTTTAAGTCAGATAAATATTACCATCTTCATTACATGGGTTCAAACACCATAAGCATGCAGATGTAGAAGTCCTGCAGATGTAGTTACAGTGAAAATGTCTCTTACTTTCATCTCCACACAGTTTTAATACCAGTTTCCTCCACTGGATTTCTGAGGGCAGAGATCAGAGTTGTTTAATCTTTAGATATCCAGTGTATAACATAGCACTCATGAACATGCTAGATGAATTTTCTTGTGTCTGCTCACTTGCTTCTGCCTCCTAATAATCTCTTGAGTATCTTTACTTGTTGAAATAATACACTTTTATTTTTATCTCCAGTTAAAATCATTTCATCATCACAGTGTTTCCCAACTGTCTCAATTATCACTAATAATTACATTGTTTGAATTTGTATATCATTGATGGACACTTACTTTGCACTTACCATTCACTTTATCTAAGTCTATGCCTCTAATCTTTCTCCACAAATATATTGTTAGCTCTTTGTTAGAATTCCCTATTATTATTGAAGACATTCTTGATATATTATCCAGTGGAAATTATTATTTCATTATTTTTTATCTTCATACTTCCTGTCTTAGACTGTTTTATGCTGCTATAACAAAATGCCACAGACTTGGTAATTTGTAATGAACAGAAACTAATTTGGCTCATGAGTCTGACGGAAGTCTGAGATTGAAGGGTCATGTCTAGTGAGGGTTTTCTTGCTGTATTATAGCATGGTGGAAGGGATTTCATGGGTGAGAGAGCGTGAGCTAGAGAAGGAACCAAACTCACCCTTTATAAGGATCCCACTCATAAAAATGATGCCACTCTGCAATAATTGCATTAATCCATTCATGTTGACAAAAGCCCTTATGGCCTAATCACTTTAAAAGCTTTCACCTTTCAAGGCTGTTGCATTGGGGATTAAGTTTCCAACACAAAACTTTGGAGGAGGCATTCAAACCACAGCACTGCCCATGCCATTTTATTACATTTAACTTTTTCCTTTAAAACATAACATTTATTGCAGTATAATTTATATAAAATAAACAGCATCCATTCGAAATGTACATTTATAATTTTTATTTTTTCTTGATTTACTCACTTTTAAAATACACTTTTTTTTTTTAGAACAATTTTAGGCTTATGGCAAAATCGGGCAGAAAGTACAGAGTTCCTATATCCCCACACATGCATAGCCTCCCTGACCATCAAAATCCTGCGCCAGTGTGGTGCAATTTGTTAAAGTTGATGAACCTACATTGACTCATCGTTGTCACCTAAAGCCCATAGTTTACATTAGGAATAACTCCTGGTATTGCACATTCTATGGCTTTGGACAAATGCACAACAGCATGTGTTCACCATTACAGTATCACACTGAATAGCTTCATTTCCCTAAAAATTCTCTGTGTGCCTCCTACTCATCCTTATCTCCTGCTTAACCAAAGGCAACCACTGATCATTTTACTGTCTCCATATTTTCAACCTTTTCCAGAATTTCAAAGAGTTGAAATCATATATTATGTAGTATTTTCACATTGGTTTCTGGGGTTGGTAATTTCTATTTTAGGTTATTAATTATTGATTCAATTTATTTACTAGATATAGACACGTTCAGGTTGTATATTCATTTTTATTTTATATATTTATGGTTGCATATTATGTTTTATGTTTTTCAATTTTTTATTTCCAGAATGAAGAACAAATTTTGTCACAGCAAAAGAAACTACCATCAGAGTGAAGAGGCAACCTACAGAATGGGAGAAAATTTTTGCAATCTACCCATCTGACAAAGGACTGATATCCAGAATCTACAAAGAACTTAAAAAAATTTATAAGAAAAAAAAAAACAACCCGATCAAAAAGTGGGCAAAAGATATGAACAGACACTTTTCAAAAGAAGACATTTATGCAGCCAACAGACACATGAAAAAATGCTCATCATCACTTGTCATCAGAGAAACGCAAATCAAAACCACAATGAGATACCATCTCATGCCAGTTAGAATGGCGATCATTAAAAAGTCAGGAAACAACAGATGCTGGAGAGGATGTGGAGAAATAGGAACGCTTTTACACTGTTGGTGGGAGTGTAAATTAGTTCAACCATTGTGGAAGACAGTGTGGTGATTCCTCAGGGATCTAGAACTAGAAATACCATTTGACCCAGCGATCCCATTACTGGATATATACCCAAAGGATTATAAATCATGCTACTTTTAAAGACATATGCACACGTATGTTTATTGCAGCACTATTCACAATAGCAGAGACTTGGAACAACCCAAATGTCCATCAATGATAGACTGGATTAAGAAAATGTGGCACATATACACCATGGAATACTATGCAGCCATAAAAAAGGATGAGTTCATGTCCTTTGTAGAGACATGGATGAAGTTGGAAACCATCATTCTGAGCAAACTATTGCAAGGACAGAAAACCAAACACCATATGTTCTCACTCATAGGTGGGAACTGAACAATGAAAACACTTGGACACAGGGCAGGGAACATCACACACGGGCCTGTCATGGGGTGGGGGAATGGGGGAGGGATAGCATTAGGAGATATATCTAATGTAAATGATGAGTTAATAGGTGCAGCAAACCAACAAGGCACATGTACACCTATGTAACAAACCTGCACGTTGTGCACATGTACCCTAGAACTTAAAGTATAATAAAAAAAAAGTAAAATAAATAAATGGGTGAATGAACCAATATGCTGGACTTAATATGTGAATACAAAAAATAATAATATAATTACAATTAACAAATTATAATTATAAATAAGCTAAAAAGAGTGATTATTAGCAAATAAAATATCTGCCTAAATAGTTTGATTTTTGCACTGCAATTATATGCATTAAACAAATGAAACATATTAATCTGTTCTTTTCTTCTTAAGCAAAATTTGTTTACTCAACACTTCAACAAACACTTATTGAGTCTGTATTACAGGATGAACCCAATACAGCATCTTAAATTACACAGAAAGGATTCTAAGTCTTTTCTAAATCTTCCTTGAACAAGGTTATTGATGGCAATAATAAAGGCAACAACAAATATAGCCCAATATTTTATGCTGATACAATGTCTCACTCAGCATAACACATGCAGACCAATGAAACTTGGATAAAACATTTCAAGGTGAGGAATACAAGGATAATATGAGTATCCAGATTTCTCAGGCTACAACACAGTAGAAAAAAAGATGAAGAAAATGTAATGAAACTGAATGTAGAACACCCTGAAGAAGGAGGTTCCTGTGTTGGCAACAAATTTCATTGCCCTTTAAACTCTCTCTCTACCTAGTATCCCCAATACCCCATTCATCATAACTCTATATTGGCTAAAATCTGAATCAGATGCCTTGGTAACAGTGCTTTTTTCTCAGGTGGGCATCTTTATTCAGGTTGATAACAAAAATGGATGTCTTTAAATATGTGTGTGTAGGGCACATGTGTGATTTATATCTTAACCAGACTACTGTAGTTTTATTTTGACAGTTCTGATTCCATTTCTTTCTCCTTCTTAACATTTTCTAGGCTACATTCTTAATTTTCTTTGTAAAATATTGATCGAATTATGTTGTTCTCTATTGTACTATTATTCAGTGGCCTTAATAGCTCTGGATTTGATAGCTAGGGGCTCATACACTGGACATGAAAGCTCTAGACTTTTGGAATCATTGAAAGTCAATGAAGAATAATAGTAGCTTAAATAGAGGATACTTTTCAAACATCACTTTAATTTCAGTATCTCAGGGTAACAATTATCAGGATGGTACAAGTCAGATGAAAATCTCAAGGAAATTACTTGTAGTATGTCAATGACTCTGTTGAGATAATATGTGATATCAGTTTGAAGAATCAATTGTAAAAGTAGACCTGAATATGACAGAGAAAAAGGAAATAGCAGAGTCTCAGAGAAAAGGGACTGAAGGCTAGTCAATAGATAATATTACATAGGGGTGGAAGTTAAACATCAAAATATGCTCTCAGGACATAATGACTTCTGTAGAAATCAATAGAGAAAGCTTAGTGTAAGAAATCAGGGTCAGGACTGCCCTAAACAATAATGCAGTGAGACATGTTCTAAACTTCAAGGTCATTATGACCTTTTTTTGGAAAACCAAACAGTGCTGGAAGGCTGAGAGCATATTGTGAGAAAGTAAATAGGCAGTGTAGTATTGAAGATGACATGGATTTTTTAAATTTAGATAATCTGTCATTCATTATCATCAGCTTTCACATCTGAAAGGGAATAGGGGAATTACTGCTACCCAAAAATTCCTTCTTGGGATTACGAAAAATGACTAACTGATTATAAATTTATCATAGTCCCTACAAATAGCAGGTGCTACACAATTACATGATTTATTCTCTTTCTTTCTCTCTCTTTCTCTCTCCTTTTAGAGCAGTAAATGAGCTATTCACAAAAGGCAAATGTCCAAATTGATATTGTTATAGATTACAAAACTGAGCTCATTTGATGAGCAAATAATTTTAACATCATAAATTTGTCATCTAAAATGCATGTTTGGCAGGTTGTTTCATTTTAGAGAATATACTTAGGAGTCAAATGATTGCTAGGATGTGAGTTACAGGTCCTGTTGTCAACTCTAAGCAACCCACCCCACAACATTCTTTCATAGCATTTGATGCCAAATGTTGATAATTGAGAGACACATTTTCACTGACCACTTAGACACATATATCATCGTCATTGGTACTACAACTCCAAGTTTTCATTTCAAGATATCCTCTGTCACGATGAGAGCAAAGTTGTCCATTACGGAAAAGATCTGTGGATTATTGGAAGCTGTTTGCCTTTGGCCTGGACTCTAGAAAGGTGCAGCCATCTGAAAAATAAGTACTTACTGGCCAACAGAAAAGTTCAGATATAAAGTATATTCACTGATTATATTCTACGTGAAATATCCTTGTTATGGAAAATAAAAGATGTGATAAAGGGGACAGAGCACCTCAGCTCTTTCCTGTACTCTGAAATGTCCCACATTTCCCTAGCTCTCAGCGCATTTACAGATGATAAAAATAAAACCTACTAATTTTGTTCTCCTTGCAGATACCACGTATCCGCAAATCCTGACATCATTTTGTTGACATTTCCTTAGTGAAAATGGCAATTTATTAAGTGGTGGCCTAGTTTAATTCACCTCTCATAGAAGTGAGTCAGTTGTTCCTTCATTCCCAGAAGGATCCGATTGATTTTAAAAAATTGTACTAAAGTTAACTTTCATTCTTTTTCAGTTGAGTTGTTTGCTGTATGAAGACTTTGAGTTATTTGTTCAAAATAAAAATCCAATTGTCACAACATGTTGGAAACATTGAGTCTGGGGGAAAGATAAAACATGATGTTTTTATCATTTCTCATTGATTTCTTCCCCATGGTTAGATGATCACTTCAATGTAAGTTTCCACATTATTTTTTTAAAGCTTTTTTGAAATAACATACTGAGATTCTATACAAAAATAACAAAAGTCTAAGTCGTGATTATGTTTAATCTTGCTGTTTCATAAGATGTATGAATTAATAGCATGAAAAATTCAGAATTAAGAGTAGTACAATCGTAGCATATACCATACTTTCAGGAAGCAAGGGCTGGATATCAGTCCAACATGCTGTGTAGGAAAACAATATTGTTTTGGAGAAGAGCCATCTTGTATGAAGGAAAGTAAAGATGAGAGAAATCTCAGAAATTAACTTCCAGAGTGACATTTGACAAAGTCAGTTCAATAAAATATGCCTTAGTTATTAAAAAAAACTCTGCTTTTTATATTCTAAAATTTTTATGTCTTATTTTTATGTTACTTATATAGGTAATCATCTCCAATAGCTTTTCTATTAACATAAAGAGAGCAATTCTGTATTTGATCATAATACAATGAGTTTATCTGAGAAACATAAAACACCTTACAGGTACTGAAAATTTCAATTGTTTTCTTTTCTCAAGCTATGTAGAGATTGTACTAATTAGGCATTATTACACCTTACAACTAATTTCAAATAATTGGGCATCCCCACCTTTATTTACATTTTATTGTAATTTTTCCTCCTTTCTATCTTCCCAAATTTTCAGGATATGTTTAAAGATATATAGAGTATAGGGTAATTCCCTATACTCTTTCATTTTTTATGAAAAATATCTTCAAAGCTTCTTATTATTCAGTTTCTCTTTTAATATGATTCAGAATCAACCACTAGATCAGTTATCTCCTTTTACTTAACAAAGCACTCAGAAGTTAGTAGTTTAAACCATTTTACTAATCATGATTCTGTGTATGAGGAACAGAGCAGGTCTCGTCAGAGTTGGTTTGGTTCTTCTTGTGGTGTTAGCCAGGGCAGCTTAATGGGGATATAAGATGGCTTTACCCATGTGTGTGGTTATTGTTATGGGGTGACTAAAAATTACAGACTTGCTGGCCCTCTAGCTCTTTGCAAACTTATATCCTTCAAGATATGTCCATGTGTCTTCTCTCTGTAGCAAGGAGAGTCAGACTTTTTTTTACATGGTGACTCACAATTTTAAGGGAATTACTCCATTCCATTACTTAAGACATAAGGCTAACAAAGCAAGTTTGGAGAGGGGTAAGAGACTCCATCTCTTGATGGGAGGATAGCAAGTGGATTCAGAGACGAAGGAATTACTGGTTACTGTCTTTGTAGCCAATCTACCACAACCACCATCTCCTATATTTTACTTCACAGAAGCTGTTCATTATTCCTGTTTCATTCACTCATGCCTCCACAGTAACTCTATGTGCTAAGTATCATATTTTCTCTCAAGGACCATTTCAGTAACTATCTCACACATGGAATTTTACATGATGACCCCATACATACCTTGCACCCTCACATTTTAAAAAGTAGATTTAAACGTTTTTCTAATTTTTTTTTACATTTTATGTAATTATTTCAGCAACTCTGATAGCAAAAGTAAAACACTAAACCAATGGTTTACTAAGCTGTAATCTCGTTCCAGTAGTACCATCATTTGACATGGTGTATTACCCTGTTTTTTGAAACCTTTTATTCACTTGGCTTCAGATTCAACACATTACCCTGACTTTCTTGATACCTCACTGGTTTCCTGCTTTTCATTGTCTTTGGGTTGATTTATTTTATTTTCTTCATCTTGAATTATTGAAGTATCTGAGGGTTCAATGTTATGGCCTCCTCTGTTTGCCTATACTTTCCTTTCTCTAATCTATACAAAGGGCTTCAATACTACCTGTGATGGTTAATATTAAGTGTCAACTTGATTGGATTGAAGGATGCAAAGTATTGTTTCTGGGTGTGTCTGTGAGGGTGTTGCCAGAAGAGACTAACATTTGAGTCAGTGGACTGTGAGAGGCAGACCCACCCTCAACGTGGGTGGGAACCATTCCATCATCTGCCAGCGTGGATAGAAAAAGCAGATGGAAGAAACCCACCCTCAACGTGGGTGGGAACCATTCCATCATCTGCCAGCGTGGATAGAAAAAGCAGATGGAAGAAAGTGGAAGAATCTGGCTTGCTGAGTCTTTGGCTTTCATCTTTCTCCTGTGCTGGATGCTTCCTGCCCTCAAACATCTCCAAGTCTCTCTTTTGGACTCTTGGACTTACACCAGTGGTTTGCCAGGGGCTTTCAGGCCTTCAGCCACAGACTGAGGCTGCACTGCCGGCTTCCCTATCTTTAACGTTTTGGGACTCAGACTGAGTCACTACTGGCTTCCTTGCTCCTCAGCTTGCAGATGGCCTATTGTGGGACTTGTGTGATCATGTGAGTCAATTCTCCCTAATCAATTCCCTTTAATTTATACATATATCCTATTAGTTCTGTCCCTCTGGAAAACCCTGACCAATACACCATCTATATTGAGGAATCCAAATTTATATCTCTTTAACTCAAAAAGTATGTATATCCAACTGATTGGCTACAAAGCATCTTTATTTGTATGTCTAATAAACATTCAATATTTTCAAATTTAGTTAGTTAGCTAGTTATTTAAAATTGACAGATAAAATTGTATGTACTTATCAGGTACAAAATCACATTTAAAAGTATGCAAACATTATGGGATGGTTAAATCTAGCTAATTACAACATGCATTACCTAACATAGTTTCCATAAAATTACTATGTCAGAGATATCTGCATGCCCATGTTTATTTCAGCAGTGCACAATAGCCAAGATATGGAATAAATCTAAGCATTCATCAAAGGATGAATAAATTTTTAAAATGTGATATATGTTCACAAAACAAACTAGCCATAAAAAGAAGGAAATCCTCATTGACCATTTCTGGTTTGGGTTTTAAAAGTTAATAAATAAATAAAGAATAAAGAATAAACTACTGTCAGCTGAGACAACATGGATGAACCTGGAGGACATTATGTTAAGTTAAATAAGCCAGGCACAAAAGACAAATAATCAGCATCTTTCATTTTAAGCCCCACATCAAACAGTGGCTCTGCTGGCTTTACCAAGTCAATAAAAGATGCCAATTGCTCAACCTAAACATTTTGTAATCATTCTTAAATTCATTCTTCCTACCACGTTCTACACCTCAAATATCATTCAGAAGTTTCCTTTAGCATTACTCATGAAAAGTATCCTGAATCTGATGATGTACCACCATATCATCACTAGGCCACCATCATCTCTGGACTGGATCACTGCCAGAGCCTCCAAACTCCCCTTCAAGTTTCCACTTTCATTCTACTAGAACCTATTTTTCACAATCATTGGAGTAATCCTTTAAAAATTGTGCTGCTATTATTTTCTTTTCAGCTCAAAAGTCTTACAAAGACTTTTATCACAGTGAGAATATTAGCCAAATTTCTTACCTTGATATATATTGTTCCCATGGGCCTCCAATTCTCACTCTTACTACTTTACTCCTTGTTTACTATGCCTAGCCACATGGCTGTCTTACTTTTTCTTGCTATATCCAGCATGTTCCTAGAATTATTTTTAAAATATTTGTTACAACTTGCTCAATCACTGCCCTCAGGTCTTGACACAATTCACATTAGAAAGGTTTTTGCTGAACACCCTCCCTAAAATAGCAAACTATTCTTGTCATTCTTTCTTACATTAAGTAGTTTTGTTTTCTCTGTAGCATTTATAACAATTTTTCTCATAGTTTATATGTGCAAAATTTTCAGGAAAATACACAGTCTTGAAAATTGTGGCAGACTTGTGTGAAAGATGAGTTTTATAGCAATGATAAACTTAGCTTCTAATTTTTCAACTTTAAACATTCATTTTAAAAATAAACCATTTTATTGAATGTATATGTAACAAAAATGTCTTATTAGCCCCAATCCTCTTCCCTACGCTATTTCATATTTATAAAATATAAAAATATATATTTTAGTTATAGTTCATATAGTTCATATATATTAACCCAAACTAATATATGTATACACATGTACGCATATGAGCTTAAACTGAAATAGGTGTCTGAACTAATACAACATCATTCATTTTATTGAGAAATGCCTCTAAACTTCTCTAAATATAAGTTCATTGAAATTTGAAATGCAGATTCAAAAATCAACTGTTCTGCATTATTTAGTTTGGTTTTTAAAAACAAGGTTGTTGTGAAGACTACAATAATGTTTTGGTTGCAATGTGAATGATGCTATTACTACTTATTGAGTACAAGTCTATTTTATTTATTGTGTTGAGTGTTCTCTCCACAGTTCTGAGACCCCATTCCATGTGTGTCACGATAGTAGATGTTTATGAGGATACTTGTATTAAAAAGGGTTACTCATTTCTTTCTTACTTTAGTGCACTTTTAAAAAATATTATTCTCTGTCTTCCTTTTTGGGGATAATAATTTCAGTTTCCAAAAAAGCAAATTAAAATCTCCTCTTAAAAGAATAACATAACTGTAATTTTCACACACCAATGTACATTAAATCAATTAGTATCTTGTATTACAATTTTACCACATAAAATCTTTTAAAACAGATTAATAGATTTATTGAATATCAAAAAACAAATTGGTAGAATAATGAGTTTAAATCCCCTACTCTTGTTTTTTCATATATTTCCTTTAGAGATACTGTTTCCTGTTAGGTTAAAATACTATCACAGCATACCCTAATCCTCACTTAGCATCTGACTCATTCATGTGAGTTATTACATAAAGTTGAAATACATTTTAATTGACATAGCAAGAATAAAGTATAAATGGAATGAAACCATTCTGAATGATCCAAAACTCTTCTGAGATTTGAATCTTTCAACTTGTTATAAAAAGGAAATAAATTGGTTAGCATTAAGCATCATTTTAAAAATATGTATTCCAAAGCCTTCTTTGGAGATTGAGTAATTATATGTCATTGAGTATAATGTGTATTTTTTAGAATTTATAAAACATTTAAGTGTCTTATTAGGAAGATATAAAATACACTGCATGTTAATGTGTAATATCTCAGATTGATGGAATTTAGTAAATTTATTTTTATAAAGAAGTTCAATTTAAATTTCATTTTTTCATTGTTATATTTTATGATCACTGCAACGAGTTACAATATATTTTTACAATAAAAAAATTTCAAACATTTTAAACCAAATAGTAAGAGTTTTTTCATAAAATCATCTGTCACAACAAAAAGTAGAACGTGACCCATGCCAACTTCATATTTTTCAGATAAACTTCAAATAATCAATTCCAAAGACTGGAAAGTTTTTCGTGTAATCAGTTTGCTTTTAAAGGAACTCATCTCTAAAGCTTTTCAATTTAATAAGAGTAAGTCTAGTTGTCTCTTGTCACATTTCATCAGTAATAACAGCATTCAGGTGTTTTGGGCAATGCAGCCAAAATTTCACTTTTACTTCTGACATTCCACCATACCAATTGAGTTAACCTCATATTTGAATCAAAGAAGTATTTGATATGCATGTGTAGTTAATTTACTTCAGTTCATTTAGTTTTGGGTTTGCCAATGACATTTTGTGATAAGTGTTTTAATTGTTCAAAGACAAAGACAAAAATAATGCGGCCAGAGAAAACTGAGAATTTAAATGTAATTAAATAGTCATGATGACACTTAAATCTAGCTCGACATCTTTCCACTAAAAAAATTGGGAGTGAGTGATTGATGTTATGTTTAAAATAAACTATCACAAATATAATTATTGTATATTTGGCACTTTTCAATTAACACAGAACTAATTTGACTAATTATCTTCTAGCTGTGTCCTCACATGGTATTAATAGAAAGGGTGAGGAGTCTCCCTAGAGCCTCTTTTATAAGGGCACTAATCCCATCCCTGAGGGTTCTGCTCTTGTGACCTAATCAACTCCCAAAGGCCCCACCTTCTAATATCATCACCTTGAGCGTTAAGATTTCAACATATGAATTTTGGGGCAACACAAACGTTCAGATCATGGCAATTATTAACCTTATGTTATGAACTCAGAAAATTTAGCAGGAAATAAAAGCCGATGAAAACACTTCAAAACCTAAAGAAACTTTTATATGTAAGATATTACTATATTGTACACATATATGACATTGGTTTTCTCAGGGTAAGAATGTATGGTAAATATTGTTTATAATCTCTTATAACAGTAATTGTAGCCTGTCAAATTGATAGTATAAGGTAGAACATTAAGATTTTCTAAAAAATTATACATGTACTTGGTATAACTTTAACTTAAAAACTAACATACATTTGCAAAGGATAAAGCTGATTTATGGCCAGACTCAAAAAAGCTCAGTCTCTGTCACTGAGGAAGCTAGGATGTCCAGCTTTGACTTTTGGTAAACTTAAGGTCAGTGGGACTCATGATGTGCTGTTTGAAATTTGAAATTCCTCTGGCAACCCTTAGGATCATGTTGTTTATTAACGGTTTTCATCTGGCATGACTGGTTAGATAGGCTGATGTGACTATATGATTAGAAGGACATAAAACCCCTTTGAGAAATCCCTGCTTTAGTTCTCCTGAAGCCAAGATCCCCAGCACAGACTTTGGCTGTTCAATCCAGAAACAAGGTGACGTCTTTATGCAACAAAGAGCCTTGGGGAACTTGCCCCTAGATAGAACAGATTTTGCATATCAAATGATACCATTCACCAAACTTGCACAAGGAAAATCACTAGAGAAGTTGGATTTATATATTTAGCTGCAAATAAATCTATACAACGGGTTCCATAAAAAACTAAAAGTAAATGGCACTTTGAGATTGATTAAAACCTGGTGGAAGAGATATCAAGGGATCCCTGATCTTGAGAATGCCCTTTTCTTCCCTAAGTAACAATATGTACTTACTGGTTCTGGTTTGATCGAAACAGGAAAGCCTTTTTTCTTATCAGGAAGCACACAGCTTTTCATAAAAATTCTTCCCAATCAGCAGGTTAAACCTTGAATGTAAAAGAGTTGTGAGCCTGCAACCACCAAACTTCTCCTGAACTTGCATAACCCTACCCTAGAACGACAGGTCAATTTGCATCCGGGTGACCATTATGGATTCCAGAGTCAGAGAAAGCTTTGCAAAGACAGACTCCATCTGCTCCACTCTTCTGTAAGTGTCTGTGTTCTTGCACTAATCAAAACATACACTGTGCGTGGGTGGGGTCTCTCTTCTCATCCATTTGTAGCACACATGAAAAGCTGCAGTAACATTTGTAATGTTATGCCATATAGCATATTTCTTAAAATTGGCTTATGATATAATAAAGAAACTGTGGAAGGAAATGAGCAGCGTGGAAGAAAGGGATGGGTGAAATTATTTTTCTCGTTACGTTTTATTTTGCTTCCTATAGTTTACATGGGTGCAACACTTTTCCTAGAAGAGAAGTGGGGATGAAATTAGGTCCCATAAAAACAAGCCAAAATTTTCCCAAAGGTAATTGACGTTTAACTATCAGCTTTCTAGGAGATACTGGAGAGTCTTTTTTGTCATTGTTTTGTTTGTTTTTAGACGGAGGCTCGCTCTGTCGCCAGGCTGGGGTGCAGTGGCGTGATCTCGGCTCACTGCAACCTCTGCCTCCCGGGTTCAAGTGATTCTCCTGCCTCAGCCTCCTGAGTAGCTGGGATTACAGGCCCCCGCCACCACGCCCGGCTAATGTTTGAAGTTTTAGTAGAGACGGGGTTTCACCAAGTTGGCCAGGATGGCCTCAGTCTCTTGTCCTCGTGATCCGCCCGCCTTGGCCTCCCAAATTGCTGGGATTACAGGCGTGAGCCACCACACCCGGCCTGGGGACCATCTCAAGGCTCATTCTTTATTTTTGATCTTTTGGAGACAAGGTCTCAGCTGTCACCCAGGCTGGAATGCAGTGGTGCAATTGTGGTTCACTGCAACCTAGACCTCCCCGGCTCAAGTGGCCCTCCCACCGCAGCCTCCCCAGTAGCTGGGACTAGAGGCCTGCACCATCACGGAATTTTTTTTTTTTTTTTTTTTTTTTTTTTGTAGAGATGGGGTTTCTCACGTTGCCCAGGCAAAGGCTCCTTTTTTATCCATCTTGGTATTCACCAGAGACCATATTTGTTCCATGGGCCATATTTGTTGTACTTGCCCCCATCCTACACTCATCAAAATAGGTAGTTGTCTATCTCCCACTCTAAACTTCTATTCACTGCTGAAACACAATTTAAAAACTGTAAGTTTTATAGTCTCTTCAGCTGTTTCACATATGTGTAGGAAAAGTTATTGCCATCAGGTTTCATGTATTATAATTTTAATATAAACAGTCTTAAGATGCAACTGTAGAGAAAGAATAGTGGAAATTATCCAATAAAGCAAGATTGCTATAAAATATACCAAGTACTTTTCAATTAATGTAGCCAAAGCTACATTACTGAGAAAAACTCTAGGAGAAAAAGTAGTTTAATATGATAGTTCCTAGTACCAAAAGCAAAATATTTTTAAAATAAAGAATAAGATTAGAAGCTTTTATTTAATATATCCATATTAATACATAAAATGGAAAAATGCTCTCTGTATCATATACAAAATATAGTAACCAGATTATTAAATCTAATTGAAAACATACTTTTGCTCCATCATGTCTGCCAGAAGCAATATTTCCATGCTGAATATTTTTGTGTTTAAAGAGTCTTTTGGCCTTAGGGAGCTCATTTGTTCTGATTTGTACTGTACTTGTTTGTATTTTTTTATCAAGTGCATTATACAGTTTCTTACACATTTATAAAGAACAATCAAGCAAGTAGTGCATTTAAATAAAAATGATTAGTATAAGTTATTTCTCATGTTCAAAATGTGTCAAGTACATTAACATATAAAATTAAAGACAAATAATTTCTTAAATTTGCATTTCAGTCCATATTTATTGTTGTTTCCTTTGGAAAAAAATCTGCTTTGAATGTAGGGTAAAAATTTAGGCTAGCTTTATTCACTTGATGCTAGTTACTGCTTACATTGGAAATAAAATCCTCCTTCACCGATTTGCTATCCAGAGAGTGGGATATAGGAAAGGCTACTTCTGGGACACTACTCTCAATTTAGTCAGTGGGACATTTAGGGTTTTATTCTATCTTAGTTCCACACACACATACAGATAATTAAAAGCCAGATTATTAATTGTTTTCCCTAGTCTTTTTTTTCTTTTCAACATTCTGAGTACATCTCTATTCAGGGTATTTTTCATTAAGATTATTTAACCATGCCTTTAAGTATAATCATGTGGCAGTCACAATGTCCAGTTCTCTGTTATATCCAAGTTCCACTGACATGTAGAGTTGTGGGAATGACTGGGCACTCAGGATTCATAAAAGTTCATTTTTAATTCAGCACTATAATTTTCTGTATTTAAGTTTCTACCTAATCTCTACAATTTAATTTTACTAGTCTCTTATATTCTAATGAATACTCTATTCCTAGGATTGTTTTCTCTTTTCTGGCAGGTTTTTTTTCTGTTTCTATTTTGTTTTTGTTTGTTTGTTCTTTCTTTTAGCCATTGAATCCGTACTCTTTTTTTCTTACCTATAAGATATTTTGCCCCAGTCCTACTCAATCTCATTTAAAAATATCTTTCTGAAATGAGCCATCTTACCTAAGGCATTTGTTGTTTTGTTAGTTGGATGATACATGCAGACATACCGCTCCAATCTGTTTCTAATTTTAAATGTCCCAAGAAAAAGGTTGTGAATACTAAATAATTGTCTTCTAATGGCAATGCCTGTTTTCTGGAATCATATTGACCTACTTACTTGCTTTAAATTGGGTTTATATACAGCTTCCTCAGATACAGCTTCTGCTTCAAGTATCTTTGACTTCATCTGTGAAGTAAATAAATAAAATAATGACCATTTTCTCAAGGACATATTTTGGTTTGTCAGTAAATAGTAGATTATCATAAGATCACTCTTTCCTGCAGCCATCACATGGCGCTGAACAGCTTGTTACGATAGATAAATGTGGTTTTCCCAGATTAGGCATGTCTCAAAATAGGGCTTTGGAGCCTACTCCACATGCTGTAAACAAAGTATTAGATAGTAAATTTAAATACAAGCAATCATTTCAAAAGCATTGTCTATAGTGTTTTAAATAATTTCAGATTTTTAGAAGAGTTGCATAGATAATACTGAGAATTATGCCCTTCAATTAGTTTCCCTTCATCTTGAAAATCTTACATAACCATGATATATTTATCAGAACAAAAAACTTAACTTTGATGCCATAACTATACTATAGATTTGATTTGATTGCACCAAATGTTCCAAATAATCCTGTTTCTGTTTTATAATACAATCCATGCTATCATGTTGCATTTAATCATACCATATAGATCTTCTGTGATCTGACATTTCTTAGTCTTTCATTGCTCACAATGACTTTGTCGTTTTTGAAGAGTACCGGTTAGGTCTTTTGTAGAATGTCCCTCATTTTGTTTGTCTGATGTTTCTTCATAATACGTAAATGTATTTTTAAAATATAAATTTGTAAATAGATTTTGCTTCCTTACTAATGTATCCATTTGGTTTATACTTTCATATAAATATTCTATATTTGGAGCCACCACAGATGTATATAGCTTGTTCACTGAACAATATTGGAGGGTTTCACATGCTGTATTTACTTGTATGGTCCACAGAATAAAAAAAAATAGTTGTTATTGTGGAAATATGATTTAATTTTGTTACTTATAAACAGAAAAATATCTCACTTGCAAATGCAAATGTTTTAACAAATTACTTTTCTATAGCAATAACATTTGTAATAATAACTTTTGTCAGAACACCTTAGAATATTACTACACCACGTAGCGACCCTCTTGTCCACATGTATCACAGATACCCAAATAAAAACGATAGAAAATTCCATCCCAAAATTCAACATTAATTTTTGCCAAGTTCCTTTACATTTCCAGGGCTTCACTGCAAAAATTTTAAGTACAGTTAGATTACCATTTTGAATCTTTTTCTCTAGCTAGTTCCAATCTCTTTCTTTACAAAACAGATAATGAGGAAATATTTTCCTCATTGTCTCGCTAACTGAAATTGAAAAATCTCAAATCTGTGATAAGGATATATAGAAAGAAATTCTCACATATAATAATTTCATGAAATAATTGCATAAAATAATTTCAGATTTGGGGAAGAATTAAAATAATTCATAGGTTCTCCGGAAACGTGTCAGATACAGAATTTTATGGTAAAATACATGAAAGGAAAAATGCTGTTTATGCTACTTTTCATCTTTTGGACATATGCACTAAAGTATTAAATAGACTGTGAAATAAGTATCAATAACATCTCTCCTATACTTTCTCTTTAATCAATAGAAATTTGCGTAAATAAATTTTAGATGTGTTAGTATTAAAATCATGTGAGCATATAGCGTAATAAAAGGTGTCTAACATCTTCAGTTTTAATATTTTAGCATTAGTGAAATTTAGTAAATCATAATTGACAAATTTACCTAAAAATGATAAAATTAAAGGCTACTTATGTTCAATGTTACATTTATGGGTGAGTGAAACATTATACACATATTTAAAAAGTTAAAAAATTTTAAATGCTTATGTATATTGGCTTTTCAAAGCAAAAAGATACAAATTCTTTCCATTTCCTTTCCTAAGAAATGGAGAATTAAATAAAAAAATTTATTTTTCCTAGCATTCTATAATACACATGAAACAGTGCTACAAAAGAAATTATCTAACATTGTCATCAGTAAAAGAAAACAATATGTTATCCTTTACTCATTACAAGATAATATGAATAATTCACTCAAGATATTATTGATACAATAATACCATTTAGTCTGTTTTCATTTAGTCTGTGATTTATATATGTTCTTCTCATTGTAAAATTTAAATCCTTAATTATTACATAATCACAAACATAACCTTGGAATTTATGATATGCTTTTTTAAAAATAGAATGGTCAAATCATTTTGACAATTTAAAAGTATTCTAAATCCAGAGACCTGATCAAAATCGAAAAGTTCCAAAAATAGACATATTGTGATAAGTGATTTTTACAAAAAGAAAAGATAGCTAGATCTTGCAAGAAATTAGTGTACTCCTGTGCTCAGGCAAGACTGTGAATTAGAACAATTCATTTTTAACTTCATCTTTTCTTTTTATTTGTGTATTTATTGCCACTCTGTCCTGAGTCTAGTGTCCATATGTTTCTATTTCAGAAACTATATCTGTTCAATTTCAATAATTATCTAAAGGTACTTTTTCTTGTCACACATTAAACCCTAAACACTCTGACCTACCCTGGTAGTTTTTCCCAGCTGCTCAAATATTCACTCAGACTGTATTCAGTGTATTTAACAATTACAAAAATCAGATTTTGATGCAAAAAATAATTCACAAATCCTCCTAATAAGGTATTTGTGTTCAAATATGTTAATATTTCTGAAAGATTCTTAAATTAAATGTCATACTGAAATGCCTGTAATCAGGGATATGGTCGTGGGATAATAAAATCCTGTGAAGTCTACCTTAACAGAAGAACCTTAAAAATATGTATCACGTAATCCCAGGACTTTGGGAGGCTGAGATGGATGGATCAACTGAGGTCAGGAGTTCAAATGCAGCCTAGCCAACATGGTGAAACCCTGTCTCTACTAAAAACACAAAAAGTTAGCTGGGCATGGTGGCCTATAAAATTCCAGCTACTCGGGAGCCTGAGGCAGGAGAATTGCTTGAACCCGGGAGGCAGAGGTTGCAGTGAGCCAAGATCGTGCCACCGCACTCCAACCAGGTAACAAGAGTGAAATGCCGTCTCAAAAAGAAAAAAAAATGTATCATATATATTTTTTGTTCAATTTACACATTAAATAAATTATTAAAAATGAACTTTATTCTCTATGCTAGTTTAGTGTCCAGGATTTTCCCACATTGACATTAACTCTATTGGATTTCCCTATTTATGTCATTTACTCACATAATTTCATTCACCTCAGTCAATATAGTAGTTTCTGTTCTATTAATCTTTAAAAATACCAGTGATATGGCTTGGCTCTGTGTCCCCAGCCAAATCTCATCTTGAATTGTACTCCCATAATTCCCACGTGTAGTGGGAGGGACCTGGTGGGAGATAACAGGAATCATGGGGCTGGTTTCCCCCATATTTTTCTCATGGTAGTGAATAAGTCTCGCGAGATCTGATAGTTTTATCAGTGGTTTCTGCTTTTGCATCTTCCTCATTTTCTCTTGCTGCCACCATGTAAGAGGTGCCCTTGACTCCTGCCATGATTCTAAGGGCTCCCCAGCCATGTGGAACTGTAAGTCCAATTAAACCTCTTTTTCTTCCTAGTCTTGAGTATGTCTTTATCAGCAGCATAAAAATGGAATAATATGGTAAATTGATACCAGGAGTGGGGCATTGCTGAAAAGATACAAAAAATGTGGAAGTGACTTCGGAACTGGGTAACAGGCAGAGGTTGGAACAGTTTGGAGGACTCAAAAGAAGACAAGAAAATGTAGGAAAGTTTGGAACCTCTCAAAGTCTTGTTGAATGGCTTTGACAAAAATGCTGACAGTGATATGAACAATAAGGTCTAGGCTGAGGTGGTCTCAGATGGAGATGAGGAACTTGTTGGGAACTGGAGCAAAAGTGACTCTTGTTATGTTTTAGCAAACAGACTGACAGCATTTTGCCCCTGCCCTAGAGATTTGTGGAACTTTGAACTTGAGAGAGATGATTTAGGGTATTTGACAGAAGAAATTTCTAAGCAGCAAAGCATTCAGAATGTGACTTGGGTGCTGTTAAAAGCATTCAGTTTCAAAAGGGAAACAGCATAAAAGTTCAGAAAATTTGCAGCCTAACAATGCAGTAGAAAAGAAAAATCCATTTTCTGAGAAGAAATTCAAGCCAGCTACAGAAATTTGTATAGGTGGCATGGAGTCTAATGTTAATCCCCAAGACCATGGGAAAAATGTCTACAGGGCATGTCAGAGACCTTCATGGCAGCCCCTCCCATCACAGGCCCAGGAGGAAAAAGTAGTTTCATGGGTCAGGCCAAGGATCCCCGTGCTGTATGCAGCCTAGGGACTTGGTGCCTTGTATCCCAGCTGCTCCAGCCACAGCTGAAAGGGGCCAATGTAGAACTCAAGCTGTGGCTTCAGAATGTGGAAGTCCCAAGCCATGGCAGCTTCACCATTGTGTTCAGCCTACAGGTGCACAGAAGTCAAGAATTGAAGTTTGGGAACCTCCACCTAGATTTCAGGAGATGTATGGAAATGCCTGGATGCCCAGGCAAAAATTTGCTGCAGGGGTGGGCGCCCTCATGGAGAACCTCTCCTAGGGCACTGCAGAAGGGAAATGTGGGGTTAGAGCACCCACACAGAGTCCCTACCGGGGCACTGCCTAGTGGAGCTGTGAGGAGATGCCACCATCCTCCAGACCCCGCAATGGTAGATCCACCTACAGCTTGCACCGTGCACCTGGAAAAGCCACAGACACTCAATGCCAGACGGTGAAAGCAACTGGGAGGAAGGCTGTACCCTGCAAAGCCACAGAGGCAGAGCTGCCCAAAACCAGGGGAACCCACATCTTGCATCAGCATGACCTGGGTGTGAGACATGGAGTCTAAGATGATCATTTTGGAGCTTAAAATTTGACCGCCCCACTGGATTTCAGACTCACGTGGGGCCTGTAACCTCTTTGTTTTGGCCAATGTCTCCCATTTGGAACAGCTGTATTTACCCAATACCTGTACCCCCATTGTATCTAGGAAGTAACTACCTTGCTTTTGATTTTACAGGCTCACAGGTGGAAGGGACTTGCCTTGTCTCTGATGAAACTTTGGCCTGTGGACTTTTGGGTTAATGCTGAAATGAGTTAAGACTTTGGGGGACAGTTGGGAAGGCATAATTGGTTTTGAAGTGTGAGGACATGAAACTTGGAGGGTCCAGGGGTGGAATGATATGGTTTGGCTCTGTGTCTCCACCCAAATTTCATCTTGAATTGTACTCCCATAATTCCCATGTGTTGTGGGATGGACCCAGTGGGAGATAATTTGAATCATGTGGGCAGCTTTCCCCATACTGTTCTTATGGTAGTGAATAAGTCTCTCGAGATCTGATGGTTGTATTAGGGGTTTCCGCTTTTGCATCTTTCTCATTTTCTCTTCCTGCCACTGTGTAAGAAGTGCCTTTCACCTCACGCCATGATTATGAGGCCGCCTCAGCCATGTGGAAATGTAAGTCCAATTAAACCTCTTTTTCTTCCCAGTCTCTAGTATGTCTTTATCAGCAGCATGAAAATGAACTAATACAATCAGTTAAAGAGCCAAATCCTGATATTTCGATACTTTATTTCAGAGTGTCTTCTGTTCATACTATGGCTTCAGCTGCTAATATATGAGTTCGTACAGTGTAATTTTTAAATTGAGGATGAAATTTATTTTACTAGGTTTTTCTCTTATAAGAAGAGAAAAGATGTACAAATATCTTTTTACATTTTAATTATTTAGCTAGAAGGAAAAGGAATTAATTATTTAGCTAGAAGGAAAAGTAAAATAATGAAAATAAACCTCTACTTTTTCACTTTTTCTAAAAGTGAAAAAATCTTAATTTAATCAATTAAAATAATATTTTTACAAATAAAATTATAAATAGGTCACTTAGGTGTGAAAATTAATAATAGCATAAAACTCCATGAAAGAGTCCAAAAGAAGAAAAATGTTGAAGTTGTGTTAGATTTTACTTAAAAGATGACATTTGGAAAATAATAGTGATTGTAGATATTATTTTACAAATTGCAAATCATAACAAAAATTTATGTGTGCCTATGTATATCATAATTTAGTTTTATTAAAGTTAAACAGAAATTGAATTAATTTGTATATTTCCAAGTGCATGAACCAGTTGATAGGTACATAATTATAGCTATGGACAATTACTAATTTTACAAAGGATATTGGTAATTTTGAAATTGAAAAATCTTTAAACACCTAGAGATAAAATAATCTGTATTGAAGCAGAGTGACTCTTCCCGAATGTTAAATTTAGTACTCTAACATTATTCTTGCACACACTTCAAAACCCTAAGAATATTCAAACAGGTCATACTTTCCATTTGACAAGTATCATATTATTCAAGTAAGCTAAATATTAACACTACAATTAAAATATACTAAAAAGGATACTATATCCAAGAAAAACATAGAAGAGTTTTTTTCCCCCTTTTCATATTTTTTCTTATTTAAAAAATATTGACTCCAATGGACTCCTTTGGTTAGGACAAAAATAGCCCTTAACTTATATAAAGATGTTTTTTCCTGAGACAGGGTCTGGCTCTGTCACCCAGGCTGAAGTGCATTGGTGCAATCATGGCTCACTACAGTCTTGAGCTCTTACACTCAAGGGATCCTCCTGCCTCAGACTCCTGAATATCAGGGACTACAGGCAGGCACCACCATGCTCACCTAATTTTTCTTTTTAATTTTTTCTAAAGACGAGTTATCACTATGTTGCTGAAGCTGGTGTTGAACTCCTGGACTCATGAAATTCTCATGCCCTGGCCTTCCAAAGTACTTGGATTATAGGTGTGAGCCAATGTGCCCTGCCAGATTTCCTGATACTATTAAATTATGCACATCATGATGAAATTTTAATAATAATCTACTAGAAGGTATTTATTCTGATGATTGCCCTTTTCTTTTTTTTTTTTTTGGGAGAGTCTCACTCTGTTGCCCAGGCTGAAGTGCAGTGGTGTGAACTAACTCACTGCAGCCTCAAACTCCTGGGCTCAAGCAATTCTGTTACCCTATCGCCCCAATTATCTGGGAGTAAATACATGCTCCACCATGCCTGGAAAATTTTTTAGAATTTTTGTAAAGATGAGGTCTCATTATGTTACACAGGCTGGTCTTGAACTGCACCTCAAGTGATGTTCCCACCATGGCCTCTTAAATTACTGAGATTATAGGTATGAGCCACCACACCTGGCAGATTGCCCTTCTTTATAGCCACAAATATGATTAGCAGAAAAATTCCATTACTTATGTCTTCATTTATAAAATGTGTTTTTTTAGAACTGTAATAAGTGTTCAAATTCAAAATGCAACTACTTTGAAGATGGCAGTAATGGAAAGAGGTTTTTTATATCATTGACTTTCTGTCTTCCTATGATCTTCTCTTTCCTTCCCTTTAGAATATTTTTCTTGAAACAGTTGTTTACACTTGCAGTTTCCAATTTTATACTCCTACTTGCTCTTGAACCCACTTTAGTCATTTAACATCCACTAAAACTATTTTTGTCCTTCACTCTGCCTAAAATATTTATTTACATACACATACCTTAAAACTGTTGGTAACAGATAATGTCAAGCACTCAATGATCTCCTTTCAATTCTCTGTCATGTACTGAATACAACTCCTGGACATCAATGGGGTCTTAGATCTTTTCTATCCTGTGACTGTACTCCACTTACCACACATTCCCATTTTCCTTCAATCCACCTTAAATAACACGATTAATTATTTTAGTTATTCCCTTCAATATATGTCTAACTTTCTATCTTTTCTCTAGCTTGCCCTTAGCTGTTTGAAAAAGAAACAAATCCTGTAATATGGTTTGGCTGTGTCCCCACCCAAATATCATCTTTAATTGTAGCACTCCTTATCCCCACATGTCATGGAAGGGACCTGGTGGGAGGTAATTCAATCATGGGGTGGGTTTTTTCCATGCTGTTCTTGTGATAGTGAGTTCTCACAAGATCTGATGGTTTTATAAGGGACTTTCCCCCACTTTGTCCTGCATTTCTCCGTGCTGCCACCATGTGAAGAAGGATATGTTTGCTTGCCCTTCTGCCATGATTGTAAGTTTCTTGAGGCCTACCCAGCCCTGATGAACTGTGAGTCAATTAAACATATTTTCTTTATAAATTACACAGACTCAGGTATGTCTTTATTAGCAGCATGAGAACAGACTAATGCAGTAAATTGCTACCTGTAGAGTGGGGTACTGCTCTCACGATACCCAAAAAATCTGGAAGCACCTTTGGAACTGGGTAACAGGCAGAGGTTGGAACAGTTTGGAGGGCTTAGAAAAAGATAGGGAAATGTGGGAAAGTTTGGAGCTTCCTAGAGACTTGGAGGACACAGAAAACAGGAAGATATGGGAAAGTTTGGAACTTCTTAGAGACTTGCTGAATGGCTTTGACCAAAATACTCATAGTGATATGAACAATGAAGTCCAGGCTAAGGTGCTCTCTGATGGAGATAAGGAACTTGTTGGGAACTGGAGCAAAGGTGACTCTTGTTATGCTTTAGCAGAGAGACTGGTGGCATTTTGCTCCTGTCCTAGAGATCTTTGGAACTTTGAACTTGAGAGAGATGATTTAGGGTATCTGGCAGAAGAAATTTCTGAGCAGCAAGGCATTCAAGAGAAAGCAGAGCATAAAAATTTGGAACATTCGTAGCCTGACGATGCAATAGAAAAGAAAAACTCATTCTTTGGAAAGAAATTCAAGCCTCCTCCAGAAATTTGCATAAGTCACAAGGAGTCAAATGTTAATCACCAAGACAATGGAAAAAATGTCTCCAAGGCACGTCAAAGACCTTCACAGCAGCACCTTCCATCACAGGCCCAGAGGCCTAGAAGGGGAAAATTGTTTGCTGGACCAGGTCTATATCCCCCCTGCTTTGTGCAGCCAAGGGACATGGTGACCTGCGTCACAGCTACTCCAGCCATGGCTTAAAGGGGTCAAAGTGCAGCTCAGGCTGTGGTTCAGAGGGTGCACATACCTACAAGGGAAAAAAATAAGAAAGGAATAACACAAGTAGGTAGAATCTAAAGAGGAAATTGAGCCAAATATTTGTGCCAGAAACCATTCTTGTCAAGCTCATCAATTCTCTGTCCTTGTTTGACTTAACCTACTATAATAAAGTTAATCATTACTTCTATGACCCAATTTCTCTTCCTAGATAGAAAATTCTTTGCTTCTAACACTCCTTCTTGGCTTCTAACACTGCTCCTTCTTCTCAGTCAACTACTTTGCTGATTCATAAGTATCTCTCCGAACTTTGAACTTTGGAGTGCCCCTAAGATGAGACCTTGTACTACATTTCCACCCTATTTCCAGTCATTACCAAGGTTCTCATGCAATTCCATGGCTTTGAATGTCATCTCTTCACTAATATATTTCAGTTGTATATATCTAACCCACCTTAGCTCTAACCTCCAGATTTATATATCCTATCTCTTAACTGAGTTGGGAGGCAAATGGAGCTTTTTTATTTACCTTTCCTTAAACATTTTTCTGTCAGAGCATACCCTCTATCAGTTGATCCCAAATTCTTCTTCTAAGTTTTCAGACCCAAACTTTTTTCTTTCTAATAGCATATCCATTTCATCAACAAATCCTGATATTTCTAATTTCAAAATAATCAAGTCTCTTAACCCAGTTTCTTTCCAACATCTCTAACTGCAAACTTCTTGTGATGAGTCGCTACCATCTTTCACAAGATTAAAGCAAGAGCCTATTTCTGGGTTCCATGCATCTTCCTTTACTCACTTTCTTTCAGTTCTCAACAAAAGGCTCACAGTGTTTCAGGTAGAGCTAAATCAGATTATATCATGCTCTGCTTGCTCAATACCTACAAATGGCTTCCCTTATAACTATTATTGATAACCAATGTGGTCTGATGTTATATATAGTTTGACTTCATTTTTGATATTTGACTGCTGACAAACTTCAATCCCCACTCCTCCTTCTTACCCACTTGTTCCACTTTTAGGCAAGTGGATAAGACACATGTTCTCTCTCTGGCACTGGCAAAATGTTAAAACCATGCAAACACCACTTTCAAGTGCACAGGAACACTTGCCCCAACCTCACCCCTTAATCACTATAAAACCCGAGGCAGTTGCATTTTCCTCCTACAAGCCATTTTCAGACCCCATTGGGAATATTCCCTGCTCTCCCCCAAAAACTATGCTATGTGAACAATGAGTTCATACCTGTTTTGTGTGTGTGTGTGTGTGTGTGTGTGTGTGTGTGTGTAATCATTAGTTTAATATCTGAACCAAAATTTGAGTATGACACCTATCCCTCCTAGATGGGGTAACTATAATGCTTATTCACACATTATTTCTCTGATCTCATTTCTTTTTGCTGTAGACTTCATTCATGCAACTCCAATTCATTGGAATTCTCACTCCCCATATGTTACACTAACTAAGGTTATTTGCACATGCTTTCAAGTCTGTCCAGAAATTTATTTCCCTGGATATCTGCATGGCTCATTCTCTTATATTTAAAATCACCTTCTGAGGCAAGGTTTCCTTACCAAAGCTTTATGTTCCACAGAACTTAATAACATCTAACATAACTAACACTCTGCTAGTTCAGTTTATGTATTGTTTATATGTTCTACGTGGGTAGACATTTATATCTATTTTGTGCACTGCTTTATTTACAACTCATAAAATAGTGCATTCTACATAAAATAGATGCTAATCAATACTGGCTGGATGAATAAAATTATACCTGTAGGAAGATATATTCATTCAAAATGAATACATATTATATAGACAATTTTCACAAAAAGACAAAAATACCACAACTTTATGGGAATATTTTAAATTTTCTTAATAATGGAATATACATGAAAAACAGGTTTTAAAAAACTTTTGTTCATCAAAGGAGAAAAGTTAATAACAAATAAAAACCTAAATTCCATTATAATTCAATGAAATAAATGTTCTTGTATATTATTGGTGGAACTGTATGGTAACATGATTCTTTTGAAAAAACAATTCAGATATATACAAATAAATTATAAAATTCTTCATGAACTTTGAAAAATAATTTTAATTTAAAATGTCTATTGTTGGAAATAAAACAAAATTATTGAAATAAAAACATGGGAAAATTCTATCATATTGTTATTTAAATAGCAAATATGTTAAAGACACAGCTCAAGAAACAGAAGATCACAATTTCCATAAGGTCACATAACTGGTCAATTTTGATGAAAAGATTCAAAGTTTTGTCTTAGTAGAAAAAAAAAACAGAAATGAATTATCTATAACCATGGATAGTGTTTAGTATAAAAATACTTTTTAAAATATAAAGTATTAAATAATATGTTTTATTTTAATTAAGTAAATGTTTAAAGCCATCTTACATTATATCCTTCTTGTTTTTTTTTGCCAAGGTAATTATGTTGAACAACAACAAAAAAGAGATATTAAAGTTTTTAAAAGTAATATATTGTCCTAAAAACAATAACATAACATATTGAGTGCTTACTCTGTTAGGCACAATGCTAAATATTTTTAATGAATTATTTAATTGTATTCTCATATTTCTGCTAAATTATAAAAGCTCCAACTTAGTCACTTTTATTATCTTACTCTTTATTGTTATCAATATTGTTATTGTAACCATTCATATCCATTACACTAACTTTATGCATATATTTAGGGAGCTCAGAAAAGACATTGCTAGTAAATAAAGGATTTAAAAATTAAGTGTCAGATAAATTCAAAATGTTTGGAATTGAAAATAATTTTTTGTAATAATGTTTATCAAAGTCATAATGTTATTGTAAGTGAATTGGTGTTTTTTAATCAATTTATTTCAGAACAACAATAAAATGTTCTAAAACCCAGAAAATAGAATATTATGTAAAATTAATTTTTAGAAAAATCACAGAACAAAACTATAATCCTTTCATGGGGGCTGACATATTAGAAAAATAAAACTTTGAAAATCTGCAACTTTTCAGTATTAAAAAATAAGCTCATCTGTAATATATATTTATAATGAATGTAAGGCATGGCTTTTTCTGGCACAAATATTTGGCTCAATTTCCTCTTTACAGTCTACCTACTTGTGTTATTCCTTTCTGATTATTTTCCCTTGTAAGTATATACATGCTTCTGAACCAGTGATAAGATGTTTTTCTATATTGAAACACATTATTTCCTGTTATTGTTATTTCTGTTGATATTCTCTCCTCTTGAAATCAATAGTATACTTATGATTTTGCCACAAAAATATGCGTATCTACATTTAGTCTTTCAGAAACACATTAGCAGAGAGATAGAAAATATTTATCTTTCAGTAAGTGTTGTTAAAATACTGTGTCATGTCAGCTGCTCCTCTATGTAGCTCTTACATTACACTAAGATTTATTGGATAATATAGAAAGTTTCTGATAAATCTCCAAAATATCAAGACTTGCTGGAAGTCCTTTGGATTACTGCCAAATTTCAAGTTGTATAGGGCATCTTTAACAATAATGGTACTCTGGTAGCCAACAGTTCATTTCATTACTTGGAGTTGCCATCTGTTCTAATTTCTCTAGGGCAGACGTTTGACAGTGAGAGTCATTAAAGGTATTTAAATATTAAGAGAAAATCTACTAAAAGACATACAATTATTTTCAAAATAGACTACTCGAGTATAATCTAAATATTGTGTAAATATGAATTTTTTGTCTGCAAAAGCCAATAAAGTATTTGTAAGCATGGTAGTAATCTTGGTTGTATTTTAAAAAAGATATCAAAAAAATACAATATTGCATTATCATTTGCTGAAGGGCTAAATTACATGTACTTGTATGCAATTCCTTTTAAATAATCAAATAAAGTACACAGGGAAATCATCATCATGCCATTTAAGTGTTAAAAATTGCAAAAAAAATACTTTCAATATTTGAATTCAATAGCTATGTGCCCAAATGTTAAATCCTGAGGATATAAACATTAAATTATATATCTCCTCCTAAAGGGATATATAACTTTACACACACACACACACACACAGACACACACACACACTGATAGTTTCAAATGGCAAGGAGAAAAAGTATGAGGCAGCTGAATTGAATAAAATCTATCCAAGAATTTCAAAAATTAAAAAAAATAATCTATGGATCTAAGAAGCTTTATAAATTACAAAAATGGTCAAAAACAAAAGGAAACAAGCACCTAAAATTATAATAAAATTGCTGAAAATGAAAGACAGACTATGTTTAAGAAAGCCAGAGGGAAATATGCCCTCACTTTAAAGAAGTAAAACAAGACTTAAAGCTGACTTTCAAGCATATGTAACTGAGGAAACCATGAGGCCCAAGATATTTAAAATGCAGAAGAAAAATAAGTATCGTAGGAAATTGTATATACAAAGGAAATATCTTTCACAGAAAAGTGGGAAAGAAGACAGTATTTAAAAAATACTAAAAAAAATCAATTGTAGAGAGTCACATCAAAAAATATAACAAAAGGATTGTTTTTCAGAGTCAATGAAAATGATACCAGATGGATGGAGAATAATTCTGTAGTTAATGCAGAGCACAGAAAGCTGTGTGTATGTGAAATTAGATCTAAAACAATATTGATTATTGAAAATAATTATTGTGATATTTGAAATATATGAAAACATTTTCAAGGCATGAAAAAATGGCATGCAAGATTTAAAATACATAAAACTAAATTTTATGATAACTACAAAGGCAGAAGATAATAAAAATATGTACAAGTTTCTTGTACAGTTTAGAGACAAAAGTTATAGGCAGATGTTAATTCAACTATTGATACTTTAATACATAATATTAAAGATCAGCATCATAATTAATGTGGCAAATAATAAACACATGTATTAAAATAAATTTTAAAGGGAAAATACTAAATATTACCAAATATCATTTAATTATAAAAATATAATGAAAAAATAAGAAACTAGGAACAGATAATATAAAGGAAAAACAAATCTGAAAGGTTCAATTTGAAGAAAAATATACCCATAATTACATTAAAAATAAAGTGGATTAAATATTCTAGCAATAAACGTATATTGATACAAAAATTTAACAGAACAACACTGAACTACTTGTAAGATACATCAAATTTAAGAATACATAAGTGTTGATTACTAAAAGATTAAAAATTATATCAGATGAATTAGAATTTCAAGATAGAAATGTACTAAAACAAAGAAGGATATGTCATTTCATAATGTTAATATGTCAATCCAACAGTAAAATATAATGTAGTTTCATAATACATAAAGTAAAATATGACATGACTAAAAATGAAATAAACAAATATATATAATAATGGAAGATTTTGATACAACTCTTACAGTAACTGAACACACCTTAAAATTTAGTAAATTATAGATTTGAATATGTATATAAATAAATACACACATATACACATTACCTCATCAACCATAAAAATATACATTCTTTTTAGGTACACATGTGACACTTATCAGAGGATGTCATATGATGGGCTATGAAGCAAGTCTCAAAAATGTTCAGAGACTAGATATAGTATTGATTATGCTTTCCATACACAGTGGAAATCAATAACAGAAAGATAATTTGAAATCATGAATGTTTTGAAATGAAGCAATATACTTTAAAATTTTAAATAATTTAGGAGTTATTTTAAGAGAAATAAAAATATAAATTATTAATCAGACTGTACATTAGAAAATATTTCAAATTGACTAATAACAAAAATGTCATATCAAAATGCTTATGCTATTAACCTAGGAAGTCCACTCCTATGAGACAGTCAGATAAATGGCATATAAAAGTAGCACGTAACATTATTCATAATCCTGATCTGGAAGTAACCAAAGTGGCGATCAACAGTAATAGAATTGTAGGATAGATAAGTTGTAGGATTATTGGTAAAAAGGAACACTACAAAAGAGTAAAAAATAATGAATTGTCTACTACACACAATACATGAATGAATCTCATCAGAAAAAGAAAATGCTTAATGAAAGAATGAATAATGTATGATTTCATTTCTATAAATTTCAAGAGCAAGGAAATCTAATCTAAGATCAAAGTGCTCAAAGTCATAAAAACAGCTACCTACAAGGAAGGTAATAAACAGGAGAGGGTATGAAGAAGGATTCTGAGGTACTGAATATATTATAGACCTTCATCTGGATTTTGCTTACATAGATGTTGATATGGTTTGGCTGGGCCCCACTCAAATCTCATCTTGAATCATAGTTCCTATAATTCCCATGTGTTGTGGGAGGGACCTGGTAGGAAGTAATTAAATTATGGGGCGGGACCAGTTACCTCCATGCTGTTCTTGTGATAGTGAGTGAGTTCTCATGAGATCTGATAGTTTTATAAAGGGCTTTTTCCCCACTTTGCTCTGCACTTTCTTTTGCTGCTGCCATGTGAAGAAGGACATGCTTGCTTACCCTTCCGCCATGATTGCAGGTTTCCTGAGGCCTCCCCAGGCCATGCTAAACTGTCAGTTAATTAAATCTTTCCTTTATAAATTATGCAGTCTCAGGTATGTCTTTATTAGCAGCATGAGAAGAGACTAATACAGATGTGTTTGTAAAATGTCATCAGGCTTTATACTACAATTGGTGCACTTTACACTTCAAAAAATTATATTTCAATTAAAATGTATTTAATAAAAATAAGTAAATAGCTATAGTGATTTACATTTCCACCTGAAAAAGCTGAGGTTTCTTGTTCCTAACCTTTATTCTTGATGAACTCTTCTTTAGGTAGTGACCTCTAGATTGGCAGTTATTTTCTCTAAGCACTTTAATAAAATAATTCTATTTTCTTCTGTCTTTCATCACTTCTGTTGACACATCAGCTGTCAGCCCAACTGCTACTCCTCTGATTTTTCATCAAGCTCATTTAAAATTTATCTGAATACCACTGAAAAAGTAGTAGGACAACTAAAACTCTTGTCTGAAAGATCATTACATTTTGTCATCCTGAGAGATGTGTTAAATTCAGACAATTTATTATATCCTAGGGGAATTATGTCATAAGCTGTGGTCAAATGTTACCAACCCCAATGTTTAATAAGTACAATAATACTTAACTCTTACACAAAATACATAACATTCAAAACATCAGGCAAACATTAAATAATTACACTTTACAGGTTTTTATTGCCATAGGTAAGTAAACATTCATGATGAAATTTGTTTAATAACAAACACATCATTAATACAGATAAGTGGATTCAGAAAGACAAAAGCTATTCATTCACAAAAACCACTTGGAGTATGTAGGTAAATAAGTATGTCTTTGCTTGGAAATCATCCTTTTTAAAATACAAATGTAAGAAAGAAATGTAAAAGCTCTGACTACTTTTATTTGCACACATTTAGAGCAGGTTTCCTCAAATTGATATCTGAGTGGGCTATCTATATTAGAATTACTAAACTTGCTTGAAAAAGATATACATTACTTGGCAAAATTAACACTATGCTTACAAAATCAGAATCTCTAGAAGTAGTATAAAGGAATTTGAATTTATAATTTTCCTTCAATTTTTATGCAAAGTAAAATTTTAAATTACTGTTTTTGCATTTATATTTAAATTATATTTATTAAAATTTATTTTAAAATATTCAAGAGGAACAACATTAAATGTATATATACTATGGCATAACACATAGATCGAACTATATAATCACAAATGAATACTTTCCCGTAAGCAGTTGAGAAATATATTGAATAGGATAGCATCTGTTTCCACCAAATATATGTGATACTGTTCAAACTCTCCTTCCTTGTCTATCTTTATAGATAATAAGAGAATATTTTTGAAAGACTTCTTGTTTTGATCTCCTACTTTTCTTTTACCTAAGAATCTTGACATTTATAAATAAGTTGTTTGAAAACCTCAACCAATTTTTTTTGGCTGAACTTATCTATAAAGACTTTATAAAGCTTCCAAACACTTTAAATAAGTGGATTTATTTTGAAATAGTCTTCTGTGAGCACCTGCAAAATCATAGCCTTAATTGGGATACAGCTGTTGCTGATTGCTGTGAAGTGAGTGTCTGTGTTGACTGATTGGACATTTTTATTTGATAGTATATTGAGCTTTCTTTCTTTTTTTAAGTTGTAGCTTTCTTAGGAAATGGTATAAATGATTAAAGACCTAAAGTGGAGTGTCACTTTGCCAACTATCAACAGTAGAAAATGAACTTCTTTCAGTGAATAAACATTACCAGACACCTGTGTATGTAAGCCATGACTTCTTCCTCTTTAGAACAAGAATATTGATCTCACGAACCAATTTGCTCAATGGTTCACCAGTCACAGAAGTAAATGTTTTAAACTGATGAGGCATACAAAGTAGTAAAAATGTCAAGGCAGTAGGAACAATTAGGTTTGCACTAAACAGTACCAGAAGAAATAAAAATGGTTCTAATGAGTGTTAAATAAATGGGTATTCTGATTCTTTTCCTAGTAAGCTCAGTGAGGTATTTGTAGTTCTCAGTGATTTCAGTTTATTTATTGACATTTACGACTAACAAATTTTTAAGGTCTTATGTGGTATCTGTATTTCTACCCATGTGGAAACATTAATAATGTAGTTATGATTCACATTTTACCATTGTTTCTTAAACAAATTTTTATGGCTCTAATGATCTACTGCTCAATCAAGAGACAATAATTCAAGTTATTTTTTCTTAGCACACTTAAATATGTAAAAAAGTCTATGCTGCAGACACCCTGAGCCCTACAGAAAAAGATAAAAAGAAACAAAAACAAAACAGAAACCCAGAGCAAAAATATCTGCATTTTATCATATATTTTTAAATCTTTTCATCATAAAATTCATCAAATGCTCCTAGATATTCAATAGTTTGTAATTTCCTCTTATAGTATATGAAATAGAAATTGATATTATCCTCCAAAACAATATTATATTAAACTGAATAGGGTAGGGATAATAACATAGTATTGTTTTGGAGTCTATACTTCAAATGATACAGTCTAAAAAAATTAAACTCATTTTTTAGAAGCTTGGAGTGAATTAAAAACTTGCTGCACTTAAACTAAATTATTACAACCTCTACTTTGTAATAAAAAACACACATTTAATTGTAATTCAGTCTATTTATATCAACTTCTATGACCTGAAATATTTCACTCTATTTAGATCTTATTATTTATCATATTCATTTTTCTTTAAAAATTAACTGAGACAAATTTCTGTAGAGCAGACGTAAATCAAATTTCCCAGTGGTAAGACTAAGGAGATGTATGAAGAGTTGTGGAAACATGTTTTCATGGATTATATTATGAAGCTTATCCAGCTCTCATTATGACTAACAAAAAAAGCAATGTAATCTTCAAGGAGGGCATAAATGACATAGCCAGACATACACACACACACACAAGCATAGTTTACTAATTCCTTTGTGAAATGCAAATGCATCCCTGTCTTAGAGATTTTTAAGCCTCTATCCTTAATATAACTATACATGTTATTGTGATTCTAACTTAAATTATGTTCTGTCTCTTGCCATATAATCTAATGATTAAATTCTAAATGATAAATGTAAGCTTAACCAAAAGTACACTTAGGAGTGGCTCTAATACCAGAATAGTATGGGAAACTCTATTTTGCTTCCTGCCTCCTATTCTACTTTCATTCTTATGATCCTATGCTTTGGTGCTTCATATTTAGGTTACTAATCCTGATATTACAGTTTAGTTTTATAATGCATTAGCAGAAGGCATCAGTGAATGTGGGAGACTAGAAACTGAAGCAATAAGTTTCAGAGATAACAGTGGATTGAATCAGAATGGTGGTAGTGGAGAGAAAGAGAAGTGAATTAACTTGAAAAAAATATGTATAAAATATGTATAGGTTAATCTCACAAGCATTCATGATAAATAGACATTTGGATATATGATTCTGTGCTTAAAGTGCAGAATCAGAAGAGGTCCCAAAATAGAGCACTCCAAGATTTAGACATTGCAGAGAGAGAACGAGGCTAATATGGAGGATCAAGAGGGAGAAAAAAAAAACAAAAAAAAAACCACAGGACATTGTTGCATCATAAAAATCAACAGAAGAGATTTTTTAAAGAACCAGGAGTTGTTGAAGACTAAACACAATTTTAGGAGGGTAAGTAAAATTTGTTAACAGGACAATAAAAATATTTCTTATGCAATGTGATGACAATATTATAAACACAATACTATTATAAATTGGGAACTACCTGTATTTGTAGTCAGGAAAATTACAAAAATATTTATTTATCCAGTTCACTCACCACTTCTAGTCAACTAAATGGAATTGCTAGCCAGAGCAACCAGGCAAGAGAAAGAAAGAAAAGGCACTCAAATAGGAAAAGAAGACAAACTATCTCTCTTGCCTAATGGCCTAATTCTATACGTAGAATCCCCTGAGGACTCCACCTAAAAGATCCTGGAACTGATAAATGACTTCAGTAAAATTTTAGAATGCAAAATCAATGAACAAAATCAGTAATTTTTCTATACACCAATAACACTTTAGCTTAGAGCCAAATCAATAATACAATCCCATTTTCAATAGACACAATAAAAATGAAATACCTAGGAATATATCTAACCAAGTAGGTTAAAGATTTCTGCAAGGAGAACTACAAAGCATTGCTGAAGGAAATCAGATATGACACAAATATATGAGAAAATATTCCATGCCCATTGATGCCATAGAATGATAGAGGCAGGAGGGAGAGAAATTCTAGGCAGACAGGGGAGAGTCCCTGGCAAAACTCCATCTTCAAGCCGAAAAGCCTGAAACCCATGGCCCAAAATGAGAACTTCCATCCCTACGTGCCTGCTCTCTCCCAGTTGTTTTTTTCTGAATAATGTTATTTTACCAATCAAATGTTGCCTTTTCCAAAACTACCTGTGGCTCGCCCCACCCCCATCCTGTGCCTATGAAGACCCTGGACTCAGCCGGCAAAGAGAAGAAGTGGCTGTACATTGGAGAGAGGCAACTTGACATCGGAAGAGGGAGGCAAAGAGGTGACTTAACTTCATGGGAGAGTGACCTGCCCTTCCTGCTCCTTTTCCAGCTCCCCTCTCTACTGAGAGCTGCTTTCAACATTCAATAAAATTCTTCACATTCACCATCCTTTAGTTTGTCCATGTGACCTCATTCCTCTTGGGCACTGGACAAGAATTCAGGATGCACCAAGTGCAGGTACCCAAAAAGGATGTCACACTGACCCTTTGCCCTCACTGGCAGAGGGCAGTCACGCTACGCAATGAAGCAAAGGGCCACTGAGCTGATAATGCACTACTGTCTGTAGATAGCAGATCTAAGAGAGCATTGCGACATGCCCTCTGGGGCCTTAGGGTCATAGAAACCCCCACCTGGACACTGCAGTGGGAACAGCATGGAGTTTGCTCCTAATGGTGCTAAGGGTGACGTCAGTTCCTGCACTCGCTCACCTGCATACTCCTGTCCATGAGAGATGGAGAGCATGGGACCCGAGGGAGCAGAGTTTGCTCCTGCTGATGCCAAAGTGGCCGGCCAGTTCCCACGCTCTTTCGCTCCAGTCCTCATGCTTGTTCACTTGCATGCTCCCTCCCTGAGGGGTTAAGTGGGGTGGGATGAGTAAACTGGGCATCCCTGTCATGAGTCCCATGAGGGGTTCAAGGAAATATCCTGCATCAATTGGAAGAATCAATATTGCTAAAATGGCCATACTGCACAAAGCAATTTATAGAATCAATACTACCTTTATCAAAATGCCAATGTCATTTTTTACTGAATTAGAAAAATCGCTCTTAAAATTCATTTGGAAACAAAGGAGAGCTTGAATAGTCAAAGCAATTTTATGCAAAAAGAACAAAGCCAGAGGCATCATACTACCTATACTTCAAACTATACTATAAGTCCTCAGTAACTGAAACAGGATGTTACTAGTACAAAAAACAGACACATAGACCAATAGAACAGAATAGAGCACCCAGAAAAAAACACACACCTACAACCATCTGATCTTTGACATATACTGACAAAAATAAGCAAAGGTAAAGGACTCTCTATTCAGTAAATGGTGCTGGGATCACTGGCTAGCCACATGCCGAAGAATGAAACTGGACCCCTGCCTCTTACAATATACAAAAATTTACTCAAGGTGAATTAAAGTTTTAAATGTAAAACCTCAAACTATAAATATCCAAGAAGCACCTAGGAAATAGCTGTTTCAACCTTGGCTTTGGCAAAAAATTTTTGGTAAGTCCCCTAAAGCATTTGCAATGAAAAATGAAAAATAGCTTGTTCACCTATTTCTCCCATTCTGTAGGCTGTCTGTTTACTCTGTTGGTAATTTCTTTTGGTGTGAAGAAGCTAATTAAACTAAAGAGCTTCTTCACACCAAAAGAAATTACCAACAGAGTAAACAGACAGCCTACAGAATAGGAGAAAATATTTACAAGCTATGCATCTGACAAAGGTCTAATGTCCAAAATCTGTAAGGAACATAAACAAATGAACAAGCAAAAATCAATCCAATTCAAAAAATGGGCAAAGGACATGAACAGACACATCTCAAAAGAAGGCATACAAGTGGCCAACAAACATAAGAAAATGCTCATCATCATTAATCATCAGAGAATTGCAAATCAAAAGCACAGTGATATATGATCTCATACCAGTCAGAATGGCTATTAATAAAAAGCCAAACAAACAATAAATTCTGGTGAATCTGTGGAGAAAAGGCAATACTTCTACACTGTTGCATTTTCACCAATTCCCACCTACCCATTGCATACTATGCCACCTGGGTGATGGGACCATCTGTATCCCAAACTTCAGTATCATGCAGTATACCCATGTAACAACCTGCACATATACTCATTGAATCTAAAATTTTAAAAATTCAAAAAAGAAATACTAGCAATTTTACACAAATTATCTCAGAAAATAGGGGCAGATAGAATACTTATAATTCATTTTATGAGGGTAATATTACATTGATATCAAATCTAAACAAAGATAAAAATATATACCTCATGAGCATGGATGTGAATTATTCACAAAATACTGGTGTCTAGAGTCCAGTATTATAAAAAAACGGTAATATGTTTTATACAAGTAAGACACCACAGGAATACAACAATAGCTTATCATTTGAAAATCACTAACATTTTGAATATTATCTAAATGGTCATTAAAAAATAGTGTCATTTTGAGGTACAGAAAGGAAGTTGACAAAATTTAGACACTATTCACTTAAAAAAACTTTTATCAAACTAGAAATAAAGTGGAGCTTTCCCAACTTGATAAAGGGCATACATGGAAAACCCACAGCTAACATACTCTAAGGAAAAGACTCAGTACTGTTTAAGATAGAGTACAAGGTGGAAACATTTGAATTGTAGATGGTGAATGTATTCAGTTTATCTTATGTGAATTTGGACTTAATAAAGTTGTTATTAAAATAACGAATTATTTTCCTACTAATAAAACCTTAAACACATGCTCCCTAAAGTTTATTTTATTGTATATGTCATGTTAAACTAAACTTTATATTTTTATATTTTTACTTTTAATACTAAAGTTGACACCCATTTCTCCCTGATTTTCACATTTTAAAGAAGTTTATAAAGAAAAAAATATTGAAAGTAAAAGTTTCTCTCTTTTCCTCATAGATATAGGTAGTAAATATTAATAGAGATATCATTTTCTTTACCATAAAAACATGCAGATCCATCACATATGCATACACCACGTGTTCGCTTTAATTACTAGCCTCAACACTCTTACATTCACTTCCATCATGCTTATAGTCACACTTTAAGATAATGTTTTAAAGTACTATATGATTGTTAATAGGTTACTCTTTAATTTATTGTATGCTAGATTATTCCATTGTTAACTTGGTTATTCTTGGAATTGTTTCTAGTTAGAGCTGACCAAAGAAGGAACCTACATAAGATTTGGAAATAAAACAGTGGTCATTACTTTCAGAATCTCGGAGGTTAGAAAAGGGGTCAAGTAGATGCAGAGTTATTGGGTAAATTGAAGACTGACTTTAGTCTCCACTTTGTTTCTAATTTTCTCAACTGTTGCACTACTGACAGTGACTCAAAATCTTATAGCAGATTCTTGGCTCTGGATCCCAAAAATGTTCTACTGGATCTCAGTCACTTAACAATTCAAGCATCAGTCAAGGTTCAATCTTGAGGCAGACATGAAAAATGGGAATCTAAAATTGGTTCTCAGATCTGATTAGATTTTATCAAAATAATCAGATTGCCATCAGAATATGAAATTATTGATCTTGTAAAACCACGTACATGCTTATTTAGACATTTACTCCTCTTCACCAGGAGTTCCCAACCCTTGCTTAGAATTTGTCTATGAATATCAATAACATATATTATTGTTTAAAGTACCCTATAAATGACAGGTTACCTGGGGTAAGGAGAACACTGATAATATATAGCATAAAATGACAAAAGAGTGACTTAAATTAATAATGATAATAAAAAGCCTAGGCCAGGCGTGGTGGCTCATGCCTGTAATCCCAGCACTTTGGGAGGCCAAGGCGGGTGAATCATGAGGTCAGGAGTTCAAGACCAACCTGACCAAAATGGTGAAACCCCGTCTCTACTAAAAATACAAAAATAACAGGGCACGGTGGCGCGTGCCTATAGTCCCCAGCTACTCAAGAGGCTGAGACAGGAGAATCACTTGAAGCAAGGGAGGCAAAAGTTGCAGTGAACTGAGATCTCACCACAGCACTCCAGCCTGGGCGACAGAACGAGAATCCGTCTCAAAAAAAAAAACCCTAGAGAAACCAAGGATATACACAATAAAGTAGCTGCTTTTATAGAAGAGTTTCACTGTAATAAGGAATATAATAGAGTGGATTGGTTGTTTCAACTTTCACTGCAGAACTTGGAAGTCAGGTTAAATTCTCAACATTTCAGTTGAATTTAATCACTTGTCACCCTTTAATCCTGATCTGATGCAAGTGAAATCAAAGGATTTATATGGTTTGTCTGTGTCCTCACCCAGATCTCATCTTGAACTGTAGTTCCCATAATTCCCATGTGTTGTAAGAGGGACCAAGTGGAGATAATTGAATCATGGGGGCAGTTTCTGCCATGCTGTTCTGATGATAGTGAGTTTTATGAGAGCTGATGGTTTTATAAGTTGTTTCCCCCTTTGCTCAGTACTCACTTCTCTTCCTGCTGCCATGTGAAAAAGAATGTTTTCTTCCCCTTCCACCATGATTGTAAATTTCCTGAGGCCTACGCAGCCATGCTGAACTGTGAGTCAATTAAACCTCTTTCCTTTAAAAATTACTCAGTCTCGGGTATGTCTTTATTAGCAGTGTGAGAACAGACTAACACAGGGATGAAATTAACTATTTTGATATTCTGTCAATGGGCATAAGGTTATTTGATTTAAAAAGGTGAAATAATTTTTGTAATTAAAATTTCCAACTTTTCAAAATTAGATTAAAAAATAGATTGTAGTTTTGTTAAGTCTCTGGGTGTAATAAAATAGGTTTTTCATGGTACTACTTTAAAGGATTTGTGTATCCATTTGATGTATTAGTTTTTCTAAAAGTTATTTCCCAATAGCTTAAAAAATTGCTAAGGACAACTAATATATTAGGATTTAATTCAGGAGGATAAAATGCTTCCCATTTTAATTCTAAAGTTTCTAATATGGTACCTCAGGAAAATGTATCAGTAAATGGAAAAAGATAATATTAGTGACAGACTGATGGAATTTCATTGTATTCAGTGATGTATAAATCATCATTTCTTAGCTCTTCACCTAATATTTCTATTTTAGCATTGTGATAAAATCTGTATTACATCGAGAAAAATAATTTTGTTTTAAAAGTTTTTTATGCATGTGTGTTATGAGTCTAAATTTTTTTTCATCTTGTAAAGTTTTCTTCTTTACCCTTAAAAAACTTCTGGATATTTGATATGCTTAAGGTCATCCTAAGAGAAAGCAAGCTAATGGTTATTTAAAAATTGCTCTATGCTAGTTTACTAATTCACACTCTGGAAAACCATGGGTAAATTAGTGTCATTTTATATTTTGAGTCAGCATAAATCTTTACTGTATCAAACTAGATTCAGGATACTCAACACATATATATGTCTATTCAAATTTTTAAAACTTCACAGGAATCTAATGAGGCAGATGCTGCCACTATCCCCCTATGTTATTTTATGTGTACTAATATACAGGCATATCATTCTATATTATTTACAGGTAATACTTACCATATCACAAAATCTTGTCAGGCTTGTTTTAGATTCTTCAAATGTAAGCTAATTGGGACTCATAGATTTTAATTAATATTATACATCCAGTTACAGGCAGATTTAGACTTTAAAGATGGGTTTAAACTAAGTTGTATTCATTTTCTACTATGCCACAATGTTCTCCTTGCTCTTTAATTATTGAATAAGATTCTAATCTAACATTTGCTTCTGAGCATGAGAATACAAATTCATCCAAAGTGATTATTTTTAGCATAAGAAAAAAATAAAGGAAAACTTTCATTTGAGACTCATCTGCTTTCACCAGGAAAAACATTTGTTCCCTTAATAATAGTCCTCTTAAGTAATTACTTCCATTACCTGAAGGAAGTTACCCTATAAATTGCGAGGTTATAGTAAAGAATAATAGAAATTTGATTCTCTTCAGAGGAAGGTGCAGAATCCTATAGAAAAGTTAAACACATGACACTGGCTAGATAAAAGGATAAATTAAATATCTAATGAATCAGAAGCAAGTATAAATGGAAAGATAGGAAAACTGTGGAAAGTGTCAGACAAGTCCTATGTTTTTCTAAAGGTGATAAGGTGTTTTTCCTCATAAGTCAGTATTAACATCAATTTCTGTAATACTGTACAATCCCCAAATCACATTGACACCAATTAGTTTCTTTCATGTATGTTTTATTTACATTTTTTATTTTTTGTAGAGAAGGGGTCTTCCTATGTTGCTAAAACTGGTCTCAAATTTCTGGGCTTCAGTGACCCTCCCACCATGGCCTTCCAAAGCACTGGGATTACAGGCATAATTACAGGCATAAGCACAGCCTGTAATTATTAGACCCTGAGGAAAATAAAAATTTGTTCTTCTTCTGTTGTGGACTGCATTGTGTCCTCCCAAAATTCATATATTAACTTCCTATCTCCCAACATGATAGTGCTTGGAGATAGGGCCTTGAGGGAAGTAACTGAAATTAAACAGGGCCATAAATGAGGTCCTAGTCCTATAAGACTGATGTCCTTTGAAGAATATGAAGAGAGACCAGAGCTCTCCTTCTTACTATGCATTCACAAAATAAAGGTCAAATGAAGCCACATTGAGAAGGCAGCTTTCTGCAAGCAAGGAAGAGAGCCAGTACTAGAAACTGAATGTATGGGCACATTAATCAAGGATCTGGCCTTCAAAACTATTAGAAAATAAATAACATTTGTTTAAGCCACTCGGTCTAGTATTTTGTTATGGCAGTCTGATCAGATTAATAGACCTTCTTAGAGAAGAGAAGATAAAGTTTCAGCAGTATAAAATAATGTGTTCAATTTTATAGTGTACATATTAATGCCTAGCCCACAGTATTTTCCACTAAGTTGAATGACAAACAATTACATGTAAGAGTAGTTTTACTTCTAGCTAGAAAGCAAAATATAAAACATTATGCAATTCATAACAATACAATAATTAGATAAAATTAAAAATGTACTCCTACTTCAAGATATTGAAGAGTGTTGAATGCAAAGAAACCTTATTTGAACTAAATTCTACAGAGAAAAATAGCCCTATACTATATATATATATACACACACACACATACTATAGCCCTCCTATAAAGGAGAGCAAAGAGCAAAAGTTTCTTTTTTATCAGGTGACAAGTGCCTGGTCTGGATACAAGTGGGCAAGTGGGCAAAGAAGCAGTGTCTATCAAAGATGGAGAGACTTTGCAAGGATGAGAAGAAAGTAGGTGAGCCACTAATGATACTGTAAGCCCACATGGTGGATTGAAATCTGAAAGACCAATAAATGCAAAAGAATGTGAAACGTTTCCACCCCACTAACTCTGGGAAATTTCAAGAAAAATTGCCTGAAGAGGCACAACTGGCAAACATAGAGAGTTCCCACAATTTCATGTGATTTACCAGTACTTTTATTAGGCAACCCTTCTATAGTTGAAAAGAAACACAAAACATAAGTAATATAAATTGTGAACCAAAACAATACCAGCTTAAGTCAAGAGAATATTAATAAGCTTTGTTATTAAGAGGTTTAATGAAAAGTTGGACATTTTCTCAGGTGGCACATATTTTAAATTTAACTATATTAACTTTAACAAACAGATTAAATACATTTAAAGCAAAGGAGAAGTCAATCTAATTAAAACAGGGTTAGCACAAGTTGAGTTCCACTAGTAGGAAAATACAACTCTAAAATGTTGCTGCCTTACAGAAGCAAGCTTTTTAGCTTTTCACTCTATAGAAAAAAATGAAATAAAACAAAAAAATTTACTTCATGCATTATTGTTATTTTACAGACAACACCTCATATATTACAAAAAGATTATGAAAGATGAGAAGTACTATAAAAAAGTGAATGAGAATAAGTAGTCAATAAAAGCAGACATGCAGGTGACATAGATATTGAGAATAGCATTCAATGCCATTTAAAGAGTTAGTTATTTGTTTTTGTTTTATTTTTTAATTCCGTAGGTTTTTGTGGAAAAGGTAGTGTTTGCTTACATGAGTAAGTTCTTTAGTGGTGATTTGTGAGATTATGGTGCATTTATCACCCAAGCAATATATGCTATATCCAATTTGTGGTCTTTTATCCCTCACCCCACTTCCACCCTTTCCCCCAAGTCCCCAAGGTCCATTGTACCATTCTTATGCCTTTATATCCTCATAGCTTAGCTCCCACTCATGAGTGAAAACATATAATGTTTGGTTTTTCATTCTGGACTTAACCCCATTTACAATAGCTGAAAAAAAAATACTTAGGAATATACCTAACCAAGGAGGTGAAAGACCTCTACAAGGAAAACTACAAAACTGCTGAAAGAAATTAGAGATGCCAAAAAAATGGAAACACATCCCATACTCATCAATGGGTAGAATCAATATTGTGAAAATCTACCAATTCAATGCAAACTACCACCATCATTCTTCACAGAACTAGAAAAGACAATCCTAAAATTAATACGGATTTTCTTTATCTTTTCATATTATCCATAAAAGAGCCCACACAGTCAAAGCAAGATTAAGCAAAAAGAACAAATCTGGAGGCATCAGATTACATGACCTCAAACTATAATATAAGGCCATAGTCACCAAAACAGCATGATCCTGGTATAAAAATAGGCACATAGACCATAGAACAGAATAGAGAACCCAGAAATAAAGCCAAATACTTACAGCCAACTGATCTTTGACAAAGAGAAAAAAAACATAAAATGGAGAAAGGACACCCTATTTAACAAATAGTACTGGGGTAATTAACAAGCCACATGTAAAAGAATGAAACTGGACCCTCATCTCTCACTTAATAAAATATCAACTCAAGAAGGATCAAGGATTTAATCTAAAACTTGAAACTATAAAAATTCTAGATAATGGCACTGAAAAACCCTTCTAGACATTGGCTTAGGCAAATACTTCATGACAAAGAACCCAAAAGCAAATGCAACAAAAACAATAATAAGTAGGTAGAGTTTAATTAAACTAAAAAGTTTCTGCCCAGCAAAACAAAACAAAACAAAAATCAGCAGAGTAAACAGACAACCCACAGAGTGGGAGAAAATCTTCACAATCTATACATCCGGCAAAGGACTATTGTCCAGAATCTACTGGGAACTCAAACAAATTAACAAGAAAAAAAAAGATCCCATCAAAAAATGGGCTAAGGACATGAATAGACAATTCTCAAAAGAAGATAGACAAATGGTCAACAAACATATGAAAAAAATGCTCGAGACTACCAATGATTGGAGAAATGCAAATCAAAACCACTATGCAATACCACCTTACTCCTGCAAGAATGACCATTAATCAAAAAATAATAGATGTGGCAGGGATGTGCTGGAAAGAGAACACTTTTACACTGCTGGTGGGAAGGTAATAAACTATTACAACAGCTATGGAAAACAGTGTGAAGTTTCCTTAAATAACTAAAAGTAGAACTACCATTTGATCCAGCAATCTCACAACTGGGTATCTACCCAGAGGAAGATAAGTCATTACACAAAAAAGGTGCTTGCACAGGCATTTTTATAGCATCACAATTTGCAATTTCAAAAATATCAACCCAAATGCTCATAAATCAATGAGTGGAAAAAGAAATTGTGGTGTGCATATATATACATATATATATATATATATGTATATATATGCAATCTATGCATGTAACAAAATTGCACTCGTACCCTATATATACAAGTGATATATATATAAATATTTATATATTTATAATATATAATTATATAACATTTTATTATATATAATTATATAATGCATTATATATTATATAATAATATAGGCTATATAATGTTATATATTAATATAATATATATATATTTACGTTGTCAATCCATTAACTTTAGTGGACACATCGAAACCACAGCAATCCCCCAACTTCACAAGGTGAAAGGAATGAAGGGAATGAGATCTGAAAAGTAGAATAGGAAAATCGGAAAAAATGCCATTGACACTGGGGATATTGAAGCCAGTTCTGCTGAGTTTTCTTGGCCAGTAGAAGCAGACTGTTCACCAATGTTTGGAGACGTTTATTCTGTTTTTACTATAGAACCTATAATGGCCTTCCCTGTGGTAATTGCTTTGCAAGATATTGCTGACTGTCCATAGGATTTACTCTCACCACCTCTCTTTGTTTCTAGATCTATAACTATATTCAAGTCTGAGAATGCCTCAAATGGTGAGATACAAAGGATAACCCATGACGAGTTATACTACATGTCAAAAGAACTGCATTATTTTTTACCAAGTTATACAGAAAGAACTCTGAGGAATGTGTACAGGAATGAATATTAAAGCTTTGAAATATTGATAGAAAAATAAATCAAGATGGCTCAGGTTGAATTTATTGATATAGGTCGACTAATCAGAAATTCTAGATTCATTGTTTTAGCTAAAGGGATTTGAAAGAGCTTTAACGGTTTGGTAATTTGATTGACTGAAACATGAATCTAAAGGTGACCTATATTCAATGAATTAAAAACCCAACATTGCCTCAGTATACTGTTTCAGGGAAGTATTCAAAAGATTAGGGAGACTGGCATGTTAGAGTGGACTTATCATGTAAGACCTGCTCACCCATCCAGGAAAGTCCAGAGGAAATACCTCCTTTCACCATGACTTCAGGAAACAAATTTGTGATAGAGCCTCAGTGTTATGGGCTGGATTATGCTCCCCCTCCAAAATTTATATGTTGAAATCTTAACGCCCAATATGACGGTATTTGGAAATGGGGCCTTTGGAAGATAATGATGTTTAGACAAGGTCATGATCGTGGGGCTGTCATAGTGGAATGAGTGCCCTTATAAGAAGAGGCACCAATGAGCTGGCTCACTCTCTCTCTCTTTCTCCAAGCAGGCACAAAGAAGTTATTTGAACACACAGTGAGATTGTGGCCAGCCCATTTACTAACCAGGAGGAGAATACTCACTATAACATGACCATGCTGCCATGCTGGCATCATAATCATAGACTTCTAGCCTGCAGAACTGTGAGAGAATACATTTCTGTTGTTTTAGCCACCTGGGCTATGGTATATTATAATGACCACCTGAGCTGACAAGCATCCTTAAAGAGCTTTGTGGTTACTCTTTTTTTTAGGTGCCAAATTACAATGGGAACTCTAGCCACCACACTGGACTCTATAAATGCAATGGAGATCATTGAACCTGGAATGGCAGGAAGAAAATATTGTCAATTGATCACCAAAGACAAAGTGGCATCAATGTGGACAGTAGTGTCAAAGCAGTAATGGACAGCAGAGTCAAAGCAGTGATTAAAATAGTCTGACTCAGAGAAAACCATGGAATTGACAAGTTAAGTATGGTGTCCCTTGAAAGGAAATAGATAACCAGTCTACTAAACTATTTTTTGATCTTTTTAAGCAGAAAATTTCCAGGTTGAATGAACAGAAGTCTAACTTGAATCACCAAAACAATGTCATGAACTCCGAATAAGTTTTCAGACATGAGGCACTTTACAGACTCAGAATTTCTTGAATTAAAGGAAATCCAGATAATTTTGAGGAAATCATGCTATGCATTCCAAAATTTATACTGCTCATTTTTCTCCCATCCTTCTCCAAACATATCTATTGCCATTTACCAGAGTGACTTCATTTGAGAAAGCAAACTAATATGACTTTTCAGAGATTATTCAAATTTCAGGGGAAAAAAATTTAGGTCCAAGAGGCTACTGTGTTACATTATGTAGATCAAGTTATCAATGGAGTTTTAGCTCAGGTACATCTCACAGTGGGTCTCTAAACCCACCCTGTAGTTATTTCCTAAGTTCTGGAATGTTTAGCTGGAGTAGAAATACTCAGCAACTAAAAGAATAGGTACATTGTTCCCCTGACCTGTGGAGTTAGGGCTGTTTTGTTGTACTATATATATGTGGTTAACTAAAAGAAGTAATAATGGATTCCAGAGGGATTGCAAGGATTTGAAAGATTCCGATGTTGTGAGTCCCACCAAATCTGTATTCAGCTCTCCTATTTGACAAATGCAACAAACAAATGGATCATGGAGAATGAGAGTGGATAATCATAAATTTTATCAGGTGGGTGATTTCATTTGCAGATGCTGTGCTCGATGTTACTTCATTGCTCTTGCAAATTAATACATCCCTTCATATGTGGCATGCATCTATTAATCTGGTAAATGATTTTTTTTCTTGATACCTGTTAGTAGAAATCACCAGAAGCAGTACTCTTTAAGCTGAATAGGTCATCAGTACACATTGCCCATGGTCCCTACTCCTACTACCCTACTTCTTTCTCCAAGCAACAACTATAACCTCATGGATGGCTCCCTATAACCAGTAAACTGTGGGAGAAAAATCTTAGACCTGGTTTCTAAATGGCTCTGCATGATCTACTGGCGTCAGCCAAAAGCGGACAGTGGTAACACTATGACACCTCTCTAGGATATTTGTGATGGGAAGTCCTCCAAGTTGTCAGAACTTTGAGTTTTGTACCTGATTGTTCATTTTGCTTGGAAGGAGGAATAACCAGAGGTATGAGCATATTTCAATTTATGAGCTGCAGCCAATTATTTGAATGGATTCTCAAGAAATTGGAAGAAACATAATTGGTAAACCAATGACAAAGAATTCTGAGGAAGAGGTACACAGTTAAACCTCTTTGAATTGGAAATGGACATGAAAATATTTATGTCTTGTACAAATCCTCACCAAAGGAGTATTTTAATAATGAAGTAGGTAGGATGACACATTCTGTGGACACCAGTCAGTCTCTTTCATGTATCATGTACAATGGGCTTGTGAAGATAGTGGCCATGGTAGTGAGGATAGAGATGAAGCATGGGCTCAGCAATATGGACTTTTACTCACCAAAATGAACATGGTTATAGCCACTGCTGAGTGCTCAAAAATGGAAACCAACACTGGATTCTCAATACGGCACCATTCCCAGAGTAATCAACCTGATGGCAGGTTGATAACATTGGACCACTTCCATTGTAGAAGGGGTTGTGCTTTGCTCTTACTAGAATTATTGCTCTAGATATGAATTTGCTTTCCCTGAACACAATGCTTTGTCAAACTACAATCTGTGGACTTACAGAAAGCCTTATCCACAGTCACTGTATTCTACAACCTACTGTTTCTGATCAAGGAACTCATTACATAGAAAGGAAATACGGCAATGGACTGATGCTCATGAAATTCACTGATCTCATCAGATTCTCCATTACATTTAAGCAGGTGGCTTGATAGGATGATAAAATGGTATTTTATTTTATTTTATGTTATTTTATTTTATTTTATTTTTGAGACAGAGTCTTGCTCTGTTGCCCAGGCTGAAGTGCAGTGGCGCCATCTTGGCTCACTGCAACCTTCATCTCCTGGGTTCAAGTGATTCTCCTGCCTCAGCCTCCTGAGTAACTGGGATTACAGGCACCCACCACCATGCCCGGCTAATTTTTGTATTTTTAGTAGAAACGTGGTTTCATAATGTTGGCCAGGCTGATCTTGAACTCCCGACCTCAGATAATCAGCCCGCCTCGGCCTCCCAAAGTGCTGTGAGTACAGGCATGAGCCACCGTGCCTGGCTTTAAAATGGCCTTTTGAAAACTCATTTATAAACCCAGTTATATCTCAGTACGTAGCAGGGCTAGCACAGTAGCCTCTAGGAGGCTATATGTGCTCTAAATCAATGTCTAATATGTGGTGCCGTTCCTCTCATAGTTAAGATTCACTAGTCAAGGTATCAAGAGGCAAAATAGTACCACTAACTATTACCTCTAGTAATCTATGAGCACAGTCTTGGTTTCCTTTCCCCGATAACCTTAGGTTGTGCTGGTGTAAATGTCTTAATTCCAAAAGGAGAAAAGTTTCCATCTGGAGACACAACATTGTTTCTATTAAGCTGGAAGTCATGACTGCCCCCTGTCACTTGGGACTTCTCATGCCTCTAAATAAAAAGGCAAAAGGGGGAGTTAATTTACTGAATGTGGTGTTTAATTCCGTTTACCAAGAAGAAATTAGACTGCTACTACACACTGAAAATACATAAGTATATGTCTGAAACACAGAAGATCCCTAAGGTGTTTCTTAGTACTACTATATCCTGTGATTAATGTCAATGGAAAATTATAACTCAGTTCAGGCAAGACTGCTAATGTGCTAATGATGGAGACCTTTTAGAAATGAAGGTTTATGTCACCCCACCGGCAAAAAACCACACCAGCTAAAGCACTTCCCAAGGGTAAAGGGAATACGGAATGCATAATGGAAAAAAATAGTTATGCATATCAAATATAGAAACCCGACAAGTTGCAGAAATAAGGACTTAACTGTGTGTATGTGTGTGTAATATTTTTGTTTCTTTCTTTTCTTACCTGTTTATTATCTAACACAGATATATTAATAATAGTATATATTATGTTATTTAAGTTGCAGAATATTAAAGTGAATATCACGTAAGGAATTTTAATATTTAGGGAAAAGTTGAGCATGGTTTGGTTATGTGTGGGACAGTGGGGTCATGTTCAGTGGAAGTATGACTTTGCTATCATCTTTCTTTGGAGGTTAGGTATGCATGGGTGCCAATTTGGCAAGGAAAAACTATGGTGATCTGTTTTATGTGTCAGCTCAGCTAGATTACAGTATCCAGTTATTCCATCAAGAATGATTCTAGATGTTTCTGTGAAAGCATTTTATTCATAAGAGTAACATCCGCTATCAGTTGACTTTATGTAATGAAGATTAATTTGGTTGGATTAGATGCAATCAGTTGAAAAGCCTTATGAGCAAAACTGAAGTTTCCCAGAAAAAAAGAAATTTCATGTGTTTATTACAGTGTCAACTCCTACCTGAGAGGTTTCAGCCTAAGAATTTCAGATTTGCCTATTCATGCCCTCTAAACAAAGAGGTAAATCTCTTGCAAAAATCTCTCTCTCACTCTCTCTCTCCATATAAATACAATTTCACTAAAATATGTTCACCCCAATTAAGCAGATATTTTCATTTAGTCCTCATTGCCCTGTATCCTTGTATTTCTGAGTAAATACAGCATAAATTATACTGAGTAAATATTACAGAATTCCTTTAAATCTGTAATATCCCAGGTTTCCATGTACCAGGATTATTATTATGCAGCTGATCATCTGTCTTTACTCACATATTACAATGCTAGTAAAAGTAGAGGTAAGCTGAAACTTTCTCTGTTTCCAATGTCTAAGATTTACTTAGTTTTGGCATTTGACATATTTATGGATGCTTGACATGGGTATACTTTGATATAAGCAATATAAGTGAGAAAAAAATTGGGAATAACTACATATTGTATTTTTATTTAGTCTGTGAGGAACATGTCTTATGCTGAGTTTATCTGTATTAATTTGAGATAATGCATTATAGTTTTCTGTATATAATGTATTGAATACAATTTAATATAAACTACCAAATATACACAAGGAAGAATTAGGATTGTAGGATAAATGTCAGGAAAAACTGTCTCTAAATCATCCTTGAGGCCCTCTACGCTTTCTGTGACAATGCTTCCATAGCAATCACATTGTATGTGGGTTTTTATGATCATTGGAGAGATATTAACAAAGAAGAATGCTGTTTAATACCTTGTAACTTCCATAAATCTTTGTAAAAGTTTATTGATTTGAGTTGTGCTAGAGACACAGTATTTCCTAGTCTTATAATGCCAGTAGACACAAAAGATAGAACAAATAATCCATCAAACTTTTTTTTTAACTATCCAGTAAAGGGGGGTGGATGGGAGGTAAGGTGAAGTAATAGCAGTAACGCTCCGTATATGTTTATTTCTACTATTGTCTGCAGTGGTGAAGCAATACTGTAGCAGATATGAAAAAGCATTGACTTTTCATGTAAGAAGATCTGAATGGTCAGTCATTTGAATTTTCCAAATTACTTTGACATCCTGAGCAATATCTTGTTCTCTCATGAAGAAATGGAAGGATACTACCTTTCAGAAAATGTTTATGTAAAGCAATATCAGAGTTTTGGTACATAATAAATAATAGGTTTTTTTTAAGAAAATGAGGATTTCCTTTTTTAAATAAAGCATTTCTTCAGATAGCTTATCAGTGGAAATTAAGTTGAAGAAAACATTAAAGAGTAGTTAAAACCAAAAGGGAATGTTTGGCATAATTTGAACAATTTCACTGGTCAACTTAGAAATGCTCAGTCTAACATTAAGCAGAGTCTTATTTAATAAGGGAAAAGATTTCCAAAGTCCTCAAAGGACTGTGGTAACGAAGTGGTCATTATGTTTATGTTTATGTTTATGTTTATGTTTATGTATGACCATCTACAGAGTAATAGTCAAATTCTGCATTTACTAGAGTATATTTTGGAGAATGTTTCAATGATAAAATATGTTTTAGCAAATCAGAAAGCTATGTCTCATTTGGCAATTTTTAGTTTATTGTAAGCTGTGAGAACTTGAAGGAAGACATACTAGCAGGTTCTGTAAATAAATCACAATAGCTCTTTAAAACATTCAAGGCCGATAGCCAAGAAAATTGAAGAACTGTCCCAACATAGTAGTAGGAAAAAAGTTGGAGGCAAGGAGAAAGGCACTCCATAGACAGTGGACCTCTAAAATTATTTAAATGAGGAACGTAATACCTGTCTTTTAACATAACTATAAGAAATTAAAATTATCCCCACTATATAAGACATTAAGGACAGTAATGGTCATGTAATAGATCCTCAAAAAGCAATAACTATAAAAAATTATGATTATTAAGTAAACAAAATATTGCAGGTAATTGCAGGAATAGGCTATGTTCTAGTACTAAACTGAGTTTGGATATTGCATAAGCCACTTACTCAGATGAGCCCTAAGATTTAAGTTTTATATGTGACAAAAGTGTTCTCTTGAGCTTTAAAACTCTTCTTATAGTCTAAAGTTCACAACAGTTTAATAATACTGATTAATTCATTCCTAACTAGGCATTGTTTTAAAGGTCTAGAATCTAGTTATTGGGAAAGGTGTAATTAGCAACACGGACAAAACTCTTTTCTCAAGGAAATTAAATTTTAGTAGAGGGAGATAGAAAATTAGTTAATTAATCAATTGAGCAATAAAATATAGTATCTCTGATGAAGATAAATGATGTCAGGTAAAAGGGAACAGAAAAATAGTTAGAAAGGGACAGCTCTTATAAATACAAATAAGGAGATCAGGATGTTCTCACTGAGAGGTGGCAATTGAGCAAAGACCTGGAAAGATTATCTTTAGCTGCATTAGCAATTTATTGAATAGTTTCTATATACTATGTATTGTGGTATGTATGCAAGTTACAGGTATATCTTTAGTTAATGTTTACAGAAATTTCACTTTTACAAATTAGAAAACTGAGTCTTTATAGAATTAATTAATTGCCCACAGTCACAGAACTTGTAGTCTTTTGTGGAGTGAACAGTTTGAACCTAGGATTATTGAACCAGAGTCTATGCACCTAATAACAACAGTGCACTTATTATGTAAGTGGATAAGACTTAAACATTATGAACTTCCTCAACATTTCCATCCATGGAGCCTTTTTTTATAAACACTGAAAAATTAAAAAGCAATCTAAGTATTTTCAGTGGATGTAACATTCTCTATTTCAGAAACACACAGCCTTTACTCAGGTCTGCCTTGCATTTTCTTTTGCTTTATACTTCTTGTGAGTTACTGTACTACCTCGTAAAAACAAAAACGCAAACAACTTATGAAACTCAAAATTTGTCCTCTTTCTGCTTCCCATTATAATGTTCTTTGCTTTTTTTACCTGTGACAATTAGGAGCAAAAGCAAAGGCTGTAAAATGAGACAACTTATCCTTACCTTAAAATTGTTTCACACATTCTGAACAGCTCAATTTGAAAGTTGAGAAAGTACCCAGTCTTGGGTATTTCTTCATAGCAGCCTGAGAAAGAAATAATACAGGGGGTAAATAACAATACAACACATATGACTTCAACTAAAATTTCTTAATCAATAATTAAATCCTCCTAGTATAGAAATAATAATAATAAAAAAAGCATGGGGGGAAAGTTCTGAACAGCATGGGGGAAACCACCCCCATGATCCAATTACCACCACCTGGTGACACTCTGGACAGGTGGGGATTACGGAGATTACAATTCAAAATGAAATTTTGGGTGAGGACACAGCCAAACCATATCACCTCCAGGTCTATTTCAAAAGCAGTCATTTTAAAATGCAAATTTTTTCAATACGTTGGAAACATGAGTATCTGTTCATGGATGAACAAAATGTGTTCTAGTCTGAGGCAGGTTAACAAATTATAATGTAATGTAAGCAGGTAATTACATTTAATAATAATGACGATTGAAAACCAGGACATAGCTCTACATGATGGAAATTTAAAGACTTTTTATAAGTAAATTCTATTTGGACATGTATATTAAGGATATGAGATATTTGTGATATTGTCACTAAAATTATTTCCCTGTAAATCTTGTAGTGATTTCTATCATTGGATAGTAAATTATACTGAAGTTTGGTTTTACTAATTTCTGTTTGTAAAATAATGCTATTTCTAAATAAGGAAAAGAAAGTCTCTGTAACTATAAAATACAATAGTTTTCAGCTTAGCATTGATAAGAGCTTTAAAACACATTGCATTTATACCATAAATAAAATATGGCAAATCTTATAATAATCATTTTAGAATATATAGTAATGAAGATGTATAATTGAGACTATGATATGGTACATGTTTCTTTGATGTTATTGATTTAAAAAACTGAAATAACATTTTAGTACATTATTAGTAAGCAATTAATTAAGTAGACATTATTGGTAAGCAATTAATTCAGATTTGTTAAAAGATGAATGACATGTGGGTAAAATCAATGTTTTCATCCAGAAATGTTTTGCCCTTGTCAGATACAGTGGGTTGAATGGTGGCCTCAAAAATGATAAGTACATGACAAATTCATGAAGGCTGTGAGTGCTACCTTATTTTGGAAAAAGGTATTTGTAGATGAAAAATAAATTAAGGATGTTGAGATGAAATAATTCTAGATTATCTATATTGGCCCAGATTCACTTTTGAAGGAAACACAGAGAAGAGACATCGAAGAGAAAGGCAACCTGAAGATTAAGACAGAGATTCTAACAATGTGACAAGAAACCAAGGAAGCCAAGGAATGCCAACAGCCATCAGAAGCTATAGGAGTCAGGGAAGAATCCTTCCCTAAATTGTCCTTCAAAAAAGTGAGAAAATAAATTTTTGTTTTAAACCACCAAGTTTGTGGTAATTTATCACAGACACTGCAAAAAATGAGTACAAGTTCTTAAAAATGAGGGAGACATCTTGCATCCTTTGGATGTAAGGAGGCCACTCTCTTCAGCTTTCCAGTGCTGGCAAAATGAACTAATGATGAGACTATATGTGGAACTAAAAATATGGACTACTTATCATCAATAAACTATTTAGCTACTGCTGCTGTAAGTGCCCAACCTGCTGGTGGAAGAGTGCATGCTGAGCCTTTCATGTGGCTACTTGTTTGAGGAGGCTAGTCAGCCATTTAGTGGCATGGAGATTATACTGCAGCCCTTTGAGGGACAATGATTAATCATTAACAGATATCTCCTCTGGATATGGGTTTACCTTCCTTACACAGAGGCCTCCTGTAACATCACCTCTTTACTTACAACATGATTCCTCTATCACTGTGCAATTCCATGCAATATTAACTCACACCAAAGAACAGTTGGGACAATAGGTTATTGACATGATATCATGTCATATTACCATGAACCTTGAATTCAAATGCACTTGATTATGATGGAATGGCCTAATAAAGGCCCAGATAAGATGCCAATTCAGGCACAACAACCTGAATTGTTGGGCTTTCACATTACAAGATGTTGGATATTTGCTGAACACTTGCAAATGGTTCTACATATGGTGCTAGAATATGTAGGTACGGGAATCAGGACGGAAAGATAGTACTGACTGCCCATCATTATTCCCACTGACACATTTCTTGGATTTGAAATTCTTAAGCCCACAACCTTACATTCTAGCAGCTTGTGTTTATGATTTCTACAAAGTAAAACATTCTTTCCAACACTTAATAAATATTTGACTAAACTTGAAGATGAGGCTGTGTACTAGATCCATTGAGCTTTTTATCTCACCTAACAAAGGTATTAGTAGACCAACAGACAGGAAGGACTCTTCTTGAACCTAGGGATTAATGGGTAGGACTCTTGGTATTTCTATGCACCATGATAACGGTAAACAGGCAATTGCAAATTGTCATGTTCTACTACTACACAAGCAGTCAAGAATAGTCAAACTGCTGACCAAAGATGAGTAAAACTAGAAAGAACAATGGAAGAGAAAGGTGACAAATGTTAGGTATAATCTTGGGACCAGCTGCCACGGCATAAACTATAACTACCGAATCTGTTTCTAGTTTTTGTTTTGTTTGTTTTGTTTTTCAATAAGTTGAGGCCAACTAGCATTTTTAAAATAATTACTTGTACTTTTACCTTTCTCTTGTACAGGAAGTAGGCATCTTGTTTCCATTAATATACAGGCACTCTGTTGTAATATGGGAACTAGATATAATTGAAAATGAGTTTGTGTGATAAAGGAAGTGAACTCTATCAGAAATTTCTTTCTTCATGTCATCTTCCCTTCACTTTTCACAAGGGCCTTGACAGTATTTTCCAGCTTTGGTAACCTCCCGTTCCTGTTACCAGTTCTACATGGATTCTAAGTAACTTCACCTAGGCACAACCAGATAGTATCTTACCTTTAGCCTACAGTCCCAGAACTTCTATGTTGACCTCAACTAACACAATGATACTCATCACATTTAAATGCAGCCAGATGGGTTTTCATAGAGGGGTGAAATTTTGACCAAGAAAACAGAAGATAGTAGATAAGTGTTTTCCCTTCTCCACCATGAAATACAATTGTTGTAGACTGCTTGGAAGAAAATATCACAATATCAATCTCAAGTTGCTCTTGATATCAGACAGTGACTCACTCAACAATACAGCTTTGGATTTCTTTTCACCCATTTCCATGTTCATCATACAAATATAACATTAAATATTATAAGCAAAAAAACATTTAAAATAACAAAGACAAAACACTTTGCAATCAGGTTTATAAATATTTAAATCTATAATAAAGAAAATGTTAAAACATTCATAAAACACAAAAATCAAAAGTCATTCTTTGTTCTTGGATGGAATGCATTAACACTGTAAAGATGTCAATTTTTCCTAAGTGAATTGAATATATTTCACAATAACAGTAACAAGTTTTATTCTTGAGGGAAACAAATATATTTCTATATTTCTATCAAAACATGAACATTGCAGGAATTGGTGGAAAAAACGAAATAATAGGAGTTATTTCTGTCTGATATCAAAACGTACTTCAAATTCTCTATAATTAAAACACTGTTTATGGTGCATGCATACATAAACTAAAGAAACTGAATCAAAAGTGCAGAAACAGATATCAATGTATGAGGATGTTTGGGTTTGGTAAAATTGGCATATCAAGTCATTGTGCAAATAATAGACATATTATTAAATGGTGTTGGAGGATCTAGGTAAATTTTGGAGAATTTGTTCCACACATGCAGCTATATAACCAAACTCAAAATGCAGATGTAATCTAAATATAAAGGAAGGAAGCAAATAAAGGAGGAAGAAGGACTGATTGATTCAAGAACTAGAAGGAAATACTGAAGAATTTATTTATAACTATGAAGAAAAGTCTTCTGAGGTAAAAATACAATAAAAAATTCAATTACATTAAACTTATGATGAAGAAGAAGAGGAAGATTATAACATTGGCAAAATTCAATAAAATGGATAAATATTTGCAACATATAAAACAGGGTTTATTACTACAAAATAAATGTATCTAAGCTATATACATATTATATTTATATTTTTAGCTATAAACATGTACACACGTATACATACAAGAAAGAAAAAAGGAAGGATGCATATTGATATTACATATGTGTGAATAAGAGAGAAAAGAATAATAATATGCACATATACATGGAAGCTTATTTTAAATAAATCAGAATGATAATTAAAAAGTAATTATATTGCTTCCCAACAACAGTTAAATGATTCATAAATGGAATAAAGACAGAAATGTGACTTCTTTAAATATAGCCTTTATATAATTTTGACTAGGAAAATATGTTGATATTTTGTATGATCAAAAATTTGAAAGAACAAACACAAACATGGATTTAATTGAATATTAAGTTGTCAACATAATATCTCTCAAAAAATATTAAAATAAAATTATTAAAATATTTTATCAAAGCAATTTGTATATAGTAAACTATACAAATCTTAATTGTACAACTTTATGAATTTTTAAACATCAACCAATTTAAATATTATAAAAACTACTATAGTCATTCTCAGTGGGAACATTGATGAATTTTTAAACTGTTCTTTATAGATGTGTTATTAAAAAGGCATTTGTGTAGTAATTAAAAGTCCTCTTGTGTGCTTTGTAGCAAAGGACAAATGAGTAACTCTATTGTGTTATGGACATAGAGTTTTCGTTGTAGGAGAAGGATGATGCAGATGTGAAATGTAAGTAAAAGTAAGGAAAATAATATGGTGCTGGACTTAATATGCCATGTGAGTATGAACTTACAATGTTTTGTCAAAAAATATTTTTTCTGGTTCCATCCTCTAAATTGTGCTATGTAGTGACATCTCATTTTGAATTAGCACATCTAGGATCCAGAATTCATGTGTAAATGTTATTCCCCACGTAAACAAACCAGGATTTTATAGAGAAATGACTCATTCCAGGTCTCAGAGAAGGGAAGCACAAGGGAGACTGAACAACATGTTTTGACAGAAAGTAATAAAGTGCTCAAAGGATAGGAGCATGCTAAGAGGAAAAGGTAAGCAGATAAATAGGCTTCCTATTGCTCAAATTTGCAACAACCATTAAGAAGATATTCTTTACCAAATGTTCTCAAATAAATCATGTTAGCAACAAATTAAGACACCAATGAATAAAATAGCAATCCAAGAGACAACAGCAATATGAACGAGGAAGAAAGAAAAGTCATTTCCTAAAATAGACTGCAAACTAAAAAATGTAGAAGAAATGCTACAATTAAATATTCACCAATTGTCAATTAAAACAGAAATAATTAATTCAGCCAAAACTCATTCTAGCAAAAATGATCAACTGATGCTAGTATGAGTGAATGGAAATTACTGAGAAAAGTGTATCTTAATATTTATAGTATTTATTATTTAAAAGGTCAATTTAGTAACTTTAGATTAGAGAAAGTCTTTTAATCACGTGACCTGATCTAAGTAGTTTTGTACTTGTGGAAAGAGTCAATACTAATTTCATAACAGAGATGGTTGTTCTGCAGGATAGTTTCCTTAATCTTATGATATACATGCTGAAACATTAGAAATAGTGAAGCATTATGTCTGCGCCTTTTTCTCAAAAAGTTCAAAAAAGGTAAAAGAAGAGGACAAAAAAAATAAAGAGAGAAAGAGAGAGATAAAGAGCAAATATTCTACAACGTTAAAAAGTAGAGAATCTGCTTGAAGGATATAGTGGAAATCACTGTGCTCCAGACTTACATGTAACAATGAAGTAAGTACATAGGATATGGCAAAAATCTTCATCTTTGTACCACGTTTAATTCCCAACATTACAAAAATGAAGCTACTGTTAGTGGCTTCCATGTCAAACTCAATAATGTACTTTTCCAAATGTCTGCGTAGAATTACAATACAGCTTTGCTGTATGCCTTGTGCCATATAAGGCACATATTGAGAATTTCTAAGATTATAAAAATAACTGATATTTTTATAAGGTTGAATTTGTTAATAAACAATACATTTTTGAGAGTGTCTAATTCTGTTCTGAATCATCATGTATAGATTGTTATTATCATTATAAGAGTAAAGATAATATGTTCAGAACTCAGCTGATATTCTTGATAATAAAAATGATGTTGATGCTGTATTTATAGCTAAGTTCCCTATTTAAGAACATTTTTTGGGCCGGGCGTGGTGGCTCATGCCTGTAATCCTAGCACTTTGGGAGGCTGAGATGGGCGGATCACAAGGTCAGGAGATGGAGACCATCCTGGCTAACACGATGAAACCCGTCTGTACTAAAAATACAAAAAATTAGCTGGGCGTGGTAGCGGGCACCTGTAATCCCAGCTATTCAGGAGGCTGAGGCAGGAGAATGGCGTGAACCCGGGAGGCGGAGCTTGCAGTGAGCCAAGATCATGCCACTGCACTCCAGCATGGGGGACACAGCGAGATTCCATCTCAAAAAAATAAAATAAAATAAATAAAATGAAATAAAATAAAAACATTTTTGTCCAAAAACTTTAAGTCAATAAATTCACAAAGAGAAATAGAACAAAGTTTTTACTATTCTTGGAGGACATTTTAGGTATTTTCAGTATCTGATGACTTAATGCTATTGATATGACAACCTATAAGTATCATAAAAATGTGGATTTAAAATAAAACAATTGTTTACTGAGAGGTTATATTTAATTTGTGGTTTCAAAGGAATTTTTTTTACCACCTTTGTATGTGTATATACTACCTACTGAAAATTATAACATGAAAACTTATATTTTAAAATATCACATAAAAAGCAAGTACCTAAGGAGATGGTCTTCACCCAAATGTAAAGCCAGCATAATCTTCATTTTGCTTTTATTCTTCTCAACTCAAGGATGCTGATGGAAATATCCTGTCAGAGTAAGTAAGCTTTCCTGCAGGCATCATTAAACACATACAATGAGGCAGTCATTGGTAGGGATCCTGAAGAACCTCTTACTTCTCTGTGATGCTATTTCTCATTTATAGAAAGCATCACTATTATAAAGAGACAGGACTATAATAGCATCACCTAGCTGAAAGAGAGATCCAAGATGGATCACTTTACTTCAATTCCTCTTTTACAAAATATTCTCATAACATCTATAGTGCCACACTTGATATTTTTTAAACTAGGCTGTGACTGCTCCATTGAGTAAATTAGACTAAAAGTATTAAAACATCCATCATTTAAAACATAATCCTAACATAGTTAAAACAATATTCAAGACATATTTTGATGTCAAAGTGATTTTGTCCTTCAGTGATTCCATTCTGTGAGTGTAAATTACAGTACACGTTAAAATAAAAATATATTTTCTTCTAAAATGAATACCAAAAATATCTGTTATCATTGCTCCTCTTAACTAGCTCCTTATTTCATGTATACTTATGCTATTGAATATAATCCTGCTATGGTTATATAACAGGAACTACATGAGTATTACCAATTTAACAGATTAAATTTTCAATTAACACCTCCTGGTAAAGATGGATAAAGGTTTTGTGAAGACTACTGCTTATCAAGTTTGGGGCAAATTGTTTAAGTAAAAGAATGCACAATTACAATATAACACATGTTTAGTACATATTAAACTTTTTAATTTAGAGACCATTCTATGGCAGAAAGAACAATATGTAAAAGACCTGAGAGAATGAAATTTATGTGGGCAAAAGATTAGCCTGGTACTTAAGAAAGGAGGAAGCAGGGCTTGGAAAGATCATTTAGGGCCAGCACTGTATGGTGCAATTTACATTAACATTTCAACAAGATTTGCATTCCAGCTATAACAAATATTAATGGCTTGACCTAATGCAAATTGCTTAACATTCCTGAGACTCAAACTTCTCATTTTTAAAAGAGAAAATTAGAACTAATTCATTGGATTGTGATAGAGATAATAAACATACTGAATGTTAAAACACTTTTTATATTCTGAAAATAATACTTTGTAGATTAGAGGCTTAGGATGTAGAAAGTCAAAGAGAATGAACTCCCACAATGAGAAAAAAGCTATCTAATCTCCAAAATGATAAGTTTTTTTTGAGCTCATGAGAGAGTTGAGGTTTCAAGGCAACTAGTTGAACCAAATTCTAAAGGTGTAAAAACGCCTTTCTTAAGAGACACTCTTTCACCTTTAGAAAAGCATCAGAGAAAGAGGTGATTGCAAGAAAAATGGGTATGAAAAAGCAAGTAAAATTGTAATAAACTTTTAAACAACTAATTTGATCTTGAGTAACAGTTTGGAATCACTGGGAGTCTCAGATATAACTGACGTCCTCATTTATGAATTATTTGTAAGTCTTTACCTGGTACTCAAAGAAAGGACGGGCAGAAGACATAAATGTGCAGCCCCCTTGCTAAAGCGCAGCCCCCTTGCTGGGGTATAGACACAAAACCCTAACTAATTCCAGAACCTTTTCAATCCTATCAAAAGAAGTAAAAGCCTTCTTTCCTCTGAGGCTAGGGCATAAAATCCAATGTAACTACAAAAATAACTAAATGTCTTTCACTTTCAGATAACGTAAGTGACTACATTTATTAATGAAAATGCTGATCCTGTTGTACTAACTTAGTAGGTTACCAATCTATGTTATTGTCAGGCCTCTGAGCCCAAGCTAAGCCATCATATCCCCTGTGACCAGCAAGTATACATCCAGATGGCCTGAAGTAACTGAAGAATCATGAAAGAAGTGAAAATGGCCTGTTCCTGCCTTAACTGATGACATTACCTTGTGAAATTCCTTCTCCTGGTTCATCCTGGCTCAAAAGCTCCCCCACTGAGCACCTTGTGACCCCTGCCCCTGCCCACCAAAGAACAACCCCCTTTGACTAATTTTCCTTTACCTACCCAAATCCTATAAAACGGCCCCACTCCTGTCTCCCTTCCCTGACTCTCTTTTTGTACTCAGCCCACCTGCACCCAGGTGTAATAAATAGCCTCGTTGCTCACACAAAGCCTGTTTGTTGGTCTCTTCACAAGGACGCGAGTGAAAGTTATCTCTTAATTGTTCCTTTTTGCTATAGAATTCACTCTAAATCTGTCTCTGATTTCCCTTATTCTCTTTGGAATTAACCAGAACATATCCAAATCCTGTAATGAACACCTCTCTACTCTTTCTTTCTGAGATGCCAACAGTCATTCAGCTCCACCTCACTGCAACAAATTAAAAATTAAATAAACATAACTTCGTTTACTGAAGCCGTGTTTCTATAGCTTTGGACAGTGGGATGTGGCAGTGTGAATATTAATACAATTTTGTAGGAAATAGAATGTGGCCCTTGGAAGAGCCTTAAATACTCCCACACTGCTCATGCTTTTATGGTAGGCAGAGTGTGCTTCCCCACACTTCAATTTTAGACATGGCTCTGTGACTTGCTTTGGTTGCTATAATATTAATAGATGCAATGTAGGCAGAAACTTGGAAGGTGATTTGGTCTTTCTTTTTGAGCTCCTAGCGTTTCCATGAGAAAAACATATACTGGGTCATTGCTATCATTTGGGCTAAACCACAGAGGCAATAGACCAATGACACACATGGAACAGATTTAGAAGTTGGAGCCAAGCCTAACCGAACTGCATCCTGAAACAAAGTCACACAAGCTGAACTTCAGACCCACAGCCAAAAAATGAGCCTCTCCAACTGACTTGCAAACCTGTAATAGGAAAAATAAAACAATGTAAGAATATGTCACTGAATTGGAGGTAGTTGATACACAGCATTATATGAATATAGCTGATTGATATAGAAATTGGTACCAGAAATGGGATATTGTCAAAGAAAGAAAGAAATCTGAAATATGTAGCATTTGTTGTGGAAACAGGCAGTGGGCAGTAAGAAAACTGTTAGAAAAGTTGGGAAAATTATAACACATATTATGTTGTGATGAAAAAAAATTGGGTAAAATGTCATCTGCAATGACTAAAAGGACAAAAAAGTATCTAAGAAACATTCAGTATGTCAAAGCAAAAATTGCACCAAAGTTAAACAGGCAAGAAGGATCTTCTTCGACATCATTATAATGGGAGAGACAGATTGAACTCAACTCTACTAAATCAAAAAGAGGGAGGGTTTTTATCCTCTAGGGTGAGCTCCTGGAAAAGTACTGGAGGATGTTCAGAAGTTGCAGGGAGGTTGACGAATGAATGTGTACAGAAAATAGACTTGTTTCTGAGTATGCAATGTTTTTCTCTTTGATTATGCTATCTGTGTTTGCTGATTGTGCCTATCAAAGTTAGGCTCCTTCCCTCCCACAGAGATTGGGAGATAGGGGATGCTATCTACTTTGATGTTTTCACTTCAAAGAGATGGTTTTCAGGTCATTGAGAAAGACATTTTTTAGGTTGCAAAATTCGCAACAGGCTGGGAGAGTTACATACATTTCAAAGAGAAAAAGGAAGAATTTACAATAACAAATCTTGTAAAGTAAATCCTAAAAAAAGAGAAAATACCAAGTAAATCCTAGGGAAAGAAATCAGTGGTTGATAGTAAGGAAGACAACTGTCTAAAGGTTAGTCAGGTTGAGAGACTGTTAATGCCATCTTGATCAGGCACTAGGTAACAAAATTCCTGGCAAAATGTTGAAAGTGAAATTAAGTAGCTAGAAGCTGCATTTGATAAGGTACTACCTTCCAACACCTCTTTCAGCTCAACTATCCTCCTGTCATCAATCAGTTGATAGATGCATATAAGAAAACTCAGATCATTTACAGGAAATGTAGAAGCTATATTTTTTGGCCTCTCTCCAGGTAATATATGAAAATATCCAGACACTAAATGTGATGGATACTACTTAATGACAAAACCATGGGCTTGAGCTTATTCTATCTAGATTTGAATTATTTGCTCTGAAACTTTTGTGCTGAGCAAATCTTGGCAATCTTTGGCAGATGACTTAACCTTCTCACTTGTAAGCAGGGACCTGCTTAAAGAAGCAGTTGGGTCTCCAGCCACCTCCTACAGGCAAGTTCTGGCTGGCAACAGGTCAGTATACCCCTGGAATGGATCTTCCAGGGGAAGGAGCAGGCTGACATTTTTGCTGTTTTTCAGATTTCACTGGTGACAGCTCCAGGTATGGGGGAAAGAGAAAGAGGCAACTATGGTCTGGAGAAGACCTCTAGCAAATGACAGCAGCCCAGGAAATGTGGGCTGAGTTCTTAAAGAAAAACAAACAAACAGAAATCAATGAAAATCCCATTCAAAGGTCAGCAACCTCAAAGACTGAAGGTAGATAAGCCCACAAGGATGAGAAAGAATCAACATAAAAACGCTGAAAACTCAAAAAGCCAGAGAGGGTCTTCTCCTCCAAATGACCACAATACCTCTTCAGCAAGGGCACAGAACTGGGCTAAGACTGAGGTGGTTGAATTGACAGAAGTAGGCTTCAGACAGTGGGTAATAAGGGATTTGCTGAGCTAAAGGAGCATGTTGTAACTCAATGGAAAGATCCTAAGAATCATGATAAAACAATACAGGAACTGATAGCCAGAATAGCCAATTTAGAGAGGAAACATAACTGACCTGATGGAGCTGGAAAATACAGTATGAGAACTTCACAATGCAGTCATAGGTATCAATAGCAGAAAGACCAAGTGGAGGAAAGAATCTCACAGCTTGAAGACTCTTTTTGAAATAAAACAGTACAGGAGCTGATAGCCAGAATACCCAGTTTAAAGAGGAAACATAACTGACCTGATGGAGCTGAAAAACACAATAGGAGAATTTCACAATGCAATCACAGGTATCAATAATAGTATGATCAAGTGGAGGAGAGAATCTCACAGCTTGAAGACTCTTTTTGAAATAAAACAGGCAGACAAGAATAGAGAATAAAGAATGAAGAGAAATGAAGAAAACCTTTGAGAAATACAGAATTTATAAAGAAACCAAACCTACCACTGATTAAGGTAACTGACAGAGACAGGGAGAATGGAAACAAGTTGGAAAACATACTTCAGGATATCATCCAGGAGAAATTCCCCAACTCCAAAAGACAGGCCAACTTCCAAATTCAGGGGATGCAGAGAATCCCAGTAAGATATTCCATGAAAAGATCAACCCCAAGACAAATAATCCTCAGATTCTCCAAGACTGAAATGAAATGAAACATGTTAAGCGCAGCCTTGGAGAAAGGCCAGGTCACCTACAAAGGGAAGCCCATCAGACTAACAGCACACCTCTCAGTGGAAACCTTACAAACCAGAAGGGACTGGGGACCAATATTCAACATTCTTAAAGGAAATAATTTCCAATGCAGAATTTCATAGCTGGCTAAACAAGGCTTCATAAGTGAAGGAGAAATAAGATTCTTTTAAGAGAAGCAAATGCTGAGGGTATTCATCACCACCAGGCCTGCCTTCCAAGAGCTCCTGAAGAAAGCACTAAATATGGAAAGGAAAAACCTTTACCAGCCACTACAAAACACTCACTGAAGTACACAGACTGGTGACACCATGAAGCAACCACATAAACAAGTCTGCAAAATAACCAGCTAGCATCGAGATGACAGAATCAAATTTGTACGTAACAATATTAACCTGAAATGCAAATGAGCTAAATGCCCATTAAAAAGACACACAATGGCAAGCTAGATAAAGAGCCAAGACCTACTGGTATGCTGTCTTCAAGAGACCAATCTCACATGCAAAGACACACAAAGGCTCAAAATAAACGCATGGAGGAAAATCTACCAAGCAAATGGAAAACAGAAAAAAGGAGGGATCACAATCCCAGTTTCTAACAAAACAAACATTAAGCTAACAAAGGTTTTTTAAAAAGACAGAATGTCCCCCAAGACTGAACCAGGAAGAAATTGAATCCCTAAATAGACCAACAACAAGTTTGGAAATTGAGGCGGTAATAAATAGCCTACCAATCAAAAAAGCCCAAGACCAGTTGGATTCACAGCCAAATTTTACCAGAGGTAGAAAGAAGAGCTGGTATCATTTCCACTGAAACTATTTCAAACATTTGAAAAGGAGAGACTTCTCCCTAACTCATTCTATGAGACCAGCATTATCCTGATACCAAAACCTGGCAGAGACACAACAAAAAAGAAAGCTTCAGGCCAATAACCTTGATGAACAATGATGCAAAAATCCTCAATACAATACTGGCAAACTGAATCCAGCAGCACATACAAAATTTTATTCAACACAATCAAGTTGGCTTCATCCCTGGGATGCAAGGTTGGTTCAACATATGCGAATCAATAAATATGGTTCATCACATAAACATAACTAAAGACAAAAACCACAGGATTATCTCAATAGATGCAGAAAAGGCTTTTGATAAAATTCAACATCCATTCATGTTAAAAACTTTCAATAAACTAAGTATTGAAGGAACATACTTTGAAATAATAAGAGTCACATATGACAGAACCACAGCCAATATAATACTGAATGCACAAAAGCTATAAGCACTCCCCTTGAAAACCAGCACAAGGCAAGAATGCACTCTCTTACCACTCTTATTCAACATAATATTGAAAGTTCTGGTCAGGGCAATCAAGTAAGAGAAAGAAACAATGGGTATTTAAAGAGGAAGAGAGAAAGTCAAATTATCTTTGTTTGCAGATGACATTATCCTATATCTAGAAAACCCCATTGTCTCAGCCCAAAAGCTTCTTAAGCTGATAAGCAACTTCAGCAAAGTCTCAGGATACAAAATCAGTGTGCAAAAATCACTGGAATTTCTATTCACCAACCACAGGCAAGCAGAGAACCAAACCATTAATGAACTCCCATTCTGAATTGCTACAAAAAGAATAAAATACCTAGGAATACACCAAACAAGCGAAGTGAACAATCTGTTCAAGGAGAACTACAAACCACTGCTCAAGGAAATCAGAGAGTAAACAAATGAAAAAAGAAAAATAAAATTCCATGCTCATGAATAGAAAGAATCAATATCATGAAAATGGCCATACTGCCCAAAGTAATTTATAAATTCAGTGTCATTCCTATTAAACTACCATTGACATTCTTCACATAATTAGAATAAACTATTTTAAAATTTATATGGAAACAAAAAAGAGCCTGAATGGCCAAGACAATCTTAATCAAAAAGAGCAAAGCTGTAACATCACACTACCTGACTTCGAATTGTACTACAAGGCTACAGTAACCAAAACAGCATGGCACTGGTACAAGAACAGACACACAGACCAATGGAACAGAATAGAAAACTCAGAATAATACCACACACCTAGAACCATTTGATCTTCAACAAACCCAACAAAAATAAGCAATGGGGAAAGGATTCTCTATTTAATAAATGGTGCTGGGATAACTGGCTAGCCATATGCAGCAAATTGAAACTGGACCCCTTTCTTACACCTCATACAAAAATTAACTCAAGATAGATTAAATAATTAAAATGTAAAACCCAAAACTATAAAAACCCTGGAAGAAAATCTAGGCAATACCATTCAGGACATAGGCAAAGGCAAAGACTTCATGATGAAAGTGCCAAAAGCAATCGCAACAGAAGCGAAAATTGATCAATGTGATCTAATTAAGCTAAACAGCTTCTGCACCGCAGAGGAAGCTATCATCAGAGTGAAGAGACAACCTACAGAATAGGATTGCAATCTATCCATTGCAAGTTTTGCAATCTATCCATCTGACAAATGTCTAATATCCAGATTCTATAAGAAACTTAAATTTATAAGAACAAAACAAATAACCCCATTAAAAAGTAGGAAAAGGATATTAACAGAAACTTATCAAAAGAAGACATACATGTGGCCAAAAAACATATTAAAAAAACTCAACATCACTGATCATTAGAGAAATTTAAATCAAAACCACAAGGAGGTACCATCTCATACCAATCAGAATAACTATTATTAAAAAGTCAAAAAACCACAGATCTTGGCGAGGTTGCAGAGAAAAAGGAATACTTTTACACTGTTGGTGGAAGTGTAAACTAGTTCAACCATTGTGGAAGACAGGGTGGTGATTCCTCAAAGACCTAGAGGCAGAAATACTATTTGACTCAGCAATTCCATTATTGCATATATACCCATAAAAATATAAATCATTCTAAAGATATATGCACATGTATGTTCATTGCAACACTATGCACAATAGCAAAGACATGGAGTCACCGTAAATGCCCTTCAATGATAGACTGGATAAAGAAAACATGGTACATATACACCATGAAATACTATGCAGTCATAAAAAGAAACGAAATAATGTCCTTTGCAGAGACATGGTTGGAGTTGTAAGCCATTATCCTCAGCAAACTAACACAGGAACAGAAACCAAATACCACATATTCTCACTTATAAGTGGGAGCTGAATGGCGAGAATACATGAACACATGGGGGAACACAGCACACACTGGGGCCTGTCAGGCAGGGGTTGGGTGAGGGAAAGCATCAAGAAGAATAGCTCATAGATGCTGGGCTTAATACTTAGGTGATGGGATGATCTGTGCAGCAAACCAGCATGGCACTCATTTACCTATGTAACAGACCTGCACATCCTACACATGTACCCCTGAACTTAAAATAAAAATTGAAGAAAAAAACTTAATTTTTTTTTTTATAAATCTCCTTGTCTTGTCCAGGCTTACTTCTCTGGCTTCATCCTCTGCCACTATCATCATTGATTTGGAGTCTCTACATTTCAACTATACAATCCTTCTTTGGGGGATTTGTAGAAGCTGTGCTCTCTCCTTGAGCTCTCCCCACATTGACTTTCTTCCTGTAGTCAGTGCCCACACATCCTTCCAAACTCACTTCAAAAACCATGTCCTTAGAAATAAACACTGAACCCCCTGATTGGTTTGAGCCCTCTCTTATACATTTTTATACGACTGAAAACCTTTATCTGTAGCAATTATTTTAGTTTAAATTTTGCTATCACTTGTGTGGTCTTTTTCATTATTTATCGTGTTCTATTCTGTAAGGTCCACAAGGGTTGATTTTGCAAACATTGTATTCTTAGGACACATTTTGTTGACAGGAATGTGGTAGGCATTAGATCATATGTTAACTCAACCTATTTGACAGAAGTTGCAAAACGTCACTGCTTGGCCATACCCTAACAACTGCGTATCCTCTATCTCAAAAAAAAAAAAAAAAAAAAAACTCAATGAATGACATCCTTCCACAGCTCCTTATTGTTTACTGATTCTGTTTAAAATAGATAAAAGAGCTAGATTTAGCTCGTTCTCCACTTATCATCTACATTTATACATGCACCACAGCAGCCGTAACTTCTAACTGGGCCTCAGACTCCTTATATTACTCTCTGTTGGGCTCCTGCCTATCAAAGCAGAACTGGCACACAGGAGATCTCACTATCACTAAGCTGTAACATCAGTAGTGTACACATACTTTTCAGACACATATTTCTTGCTTAGAAATTAATTACTACTGTTTTGTTTTTTAAAAATCAGAGTACAATTTGATTAGTTTAATATTAGTAAAAATAAAGGATATCTCTCTTAGATGAAGTTGAGTTGACAGATGCATGATTATCACATGTATTTGAAAGTAAAATATTTACATTATCTGAGCATTAAACAAGTCATCATGGCCTTCTCTTTTTAAGGAAATGGAAAAATGTAACAGTGATTAGTGGCATTAATTCTGGATTAATTAATGCCATTATAATGGCATTAATTCTGGATTAATTAATGCCATTATAATGGCATTAATCCTGAATTAGGGGGTGGATCAGTAGATCTGGTGGACTCATCCCCAACCAAGGAGTTGTATTGAATTTCTCTCCCTGTGTCGAATCTCTTATGATGGAGAAATTTACAATATGTCAATGCTAAAATTATAGTAATGTCTAAAATGGTTTATAACATCCAGAATAGAAATAATATACCCCAATTAGGTCCCCTAATTTTCCCCAATATTTTTACCTAATGTATGCTTTCAACAAACATATTGAGCTCCTTAACTTCCATGAAACTGAGAAAAACTTCTTTATCACACAGATAGCACTAGATAACATATTACAGAAATGTTCACTACACAAAACGTCTAAGGATATTACATTAAATTAATTAAGTGTAATTAATCAAACATTAAATAAACAGTTTACCAAACATCTTTTGTCTCAGGAAAAGGGGTCTTATCACATTTACCATATATTTACATAAGTAGAAATAGATATGAAAAGCCATTGATGATTTAATATTGTATTACAATGAGTCTGGAGAAACAGCAATATTGCAGTTACAAAGATAATATTTCATCAATATTGTTTTTCAAGTTTCCAAGTATCCTTGCATACCTCTGAAATGACAAGGTACATGTCTTCTGTCTGTTCTATCTACTCTGATTGCATCATTAGGATAACTAGCTCCATGGGCCAACTATAAGGAAAGAACAGTAAACAACACATTTTCTAGTGCTATGCTGTAGAAATATGATCAGCTCTCGGTGTTCCCTTAAGAGTGCTACTCTGTTTTATTTTTTTTAATCAATCAATCATTGTCCTAAGAACACATCTTATTCTACAGTTATTAACATAGTGTATTTTTGATTTCTGATGTGGGCTCATAATTTTTTTTGAAGTTGCCCTGAGGCATATTTTTCCACCAACTTGGTGATATCCATTTAATGCTCCATACACAATCGCCTCATCCTGCCCCCATGTTTCCATGGCTTGAGCATAGATGTCTCAGTAATACCTTGAATATACAACTGTGTTTCCCAGGAAATGGTTATTGTACTTTCTCTTTTCCTAAAGGCATCCTCATAATTGTCTGTTCTAAAGATGCATCTGGGATACACGGCCCCATTATCACCTTTATTTTAATTAAGTATCTTCATTTCCTTGGGTTACTTCATGGACTCCATCTGCTTTTACACTGGGCAATTTGACAAAGCAGAGTAAGCTTTGGCATACCAGGCAAGCTGTAGCAAAACATTACTCCTCACAGCTGTGGAACTACCTCAATGCAGTGCCACATTGAAGCACAGTCCCATGGTACATATGCCCCACTATTTTACAGTCTCTAGCCTGTGAGAATCAGAGGTAAAACTCCTACAGATTTTCTGAAAAATGGCTAATGTATGAAACATAACCCATATACTATGCAGCAAATGAAAATTCCAAACCAGTGGCATTCATTCTGATCATTAAGGAGCAATGAAAATTTATTTTTCAAGTAAATTATCAAATTATACATTAAATTATTATTAAAAGATCATAAATTAATTCAATCCAATGGCATTTGGAGGAGAAAACAATGTTGATAATTTTCCTACCAGTAACCATGACTTGCCTCTAATTCTACATTAGAATTATGTAACTTTAAATTATTTTTAAAAATCAGGTAATTTAAATCATTTGGTTAATTAAAATTAACCTGCCTTACAAAATTTTACAAAGTTTTTTCTTGTCAGTGAGAACAATGTCAATTCAGGTTTTCAATAAATATTATGCCATTTTTCTAAAATGACAATTAATAGAAAAAATATATAAGTTAACAAGAAAACACTTTATTTTGAGCAAGTGTTTTTAAGTTATCAAAAGTAAATGCCTATGTTTCAAACACTATATTGATTATAAAAACAACAAACTAATAACATTTAAACATTAAAAAGATTAGATAGGAGAAATAAATATGCCCATAACCCCTCAAATAGCAGATAATAAATATTTATTTTGTTTCTATCATTTTTTCTGCATGTTATTTTCCTTTTTTTTATGTAAGTTAACTTTGTTTTAAATCCTATTTTTCCCACCACTAGACTCTGAGCTCCTTATAATGACAGTAAATGTTCCTCTGAAACACGGTTATTAATATCTGCATGTTATTTTAGACATACAAATATACCATAATTTTTGTTTGTTTGTTTGTTTGTTTGTTTGGAGATGGAATCTCGCTCTTGTTGCCCAGGCTGGAGTGCAGCGGCGCAATCTCCGCTTACTGCAACCTCTGTCTCCTGGGTTCCAGCAATTCTCCTGCCTCAGCCTCCCAAATAGCTGGGATTAGAGGCACCTGCCAACACGTTTGGCTCATTTTTTTTTTTGTATTTTTAGTAGAGACGGGGTTTCACCATGTGGGCCAGGCTGGTTTCAAACTCCTAACCTCAAGTGATCTGCCCGCCTTGGCCTCCCAAAGTGCCAGGATTACAGGTGAGCCACTGCGCCTGGCCTACCATAATTTTTTAACCCAATACATATTTTTAAAAAATAATCTTAAAATGTCTTCTTCCCCAATAATACATGATCTTTTTTCCAGTACTCTGGTGATTTCTTATTTGCTGCAATATTTCTTCCATGGTGTTTGCATGTGACTAAATAAGCTTACTTACATAAGGAAAGTATATGTTTCTTGATATTAATGAGGTAAAGAAAGATGGCTAGTTAAGGTAACCATCTTAAGGACTTTATTTTTAACTTATGTTGAACCTCATTTTTTGAAAAGCTAAAGCTTATTTTGCTCTTTAAAATAGTGTTTTATCTGTTCAATAGATAAGCATAGTCACAATAAGTGCAACGTGATTCTATAGAAAGGTTATTTCAGAAATACTAAAGAAAGCCATCTAGCCCATTATTCCTTCAGATGGGGACCAGGATGAATTATTAACAACCACAGGTGTCAAGGGAAGAGATGAATCTGTTTTTAAAAGTTGATGCACAGAGATAAAAATATTCTTAAGTCAAGGGACTCAAGGGACATTTGAAAAGTATGTTCAGACATCTGAGAGCTCAATACAGCAATTCAGCTTTAGCAAATATTCACATCAGGCCTGTGCTGTATGATTTAGTAAAGGAGTTAAAATCAGGAAGACTGATTTCACAAAATGTTATAATTTCCCATCTTGAAATTGTCCAAACAATTCAGCAAAAGAGAATTTGAATCCATAAGAGGTTCTGTTTAATATATTGATCATTTCTGCATAAATAGACCAAGTGACTCAGGATAGTAAAATCAGAGAGCTTTCTTAATATTTGTAAATATAATTTAATTATTTCTTACTAATTTCCTTGCCACAAATACCGGTGGTTAAATTTAGATGTCATCACTAAATACTAACTTAACTTAGTTTCCTAATGTGTATTACTTCAGGTCAGGATGCATTAAAAGCTCCCTAAATTTGTAAAGGCTCAAATCCAAAAGATTTGTTTTTATGTTTACAGAACAGAAGAATGTTTGGTGGCAGTAACGTAAGCGATCTTCAAAACATGCCTTAGAAGTTAGTTCTGGGGGGTTTTATACTGTTCAGCTAGAAGAGGAAAAATGAATGAAGGAGCATGGGGGCTGTTTCGAGAGTTCTGCCTGGAAATATGAAACATCCTGTCTCTTCTATTTCATTAATTAGAACTCAATTTCAGGACAACATCAGTTACAAGAGTCGTGAGAAAATGTGGTCTAGTTGGTTCACAGAAGAAAAGGAAAGAGATATTTTAAAATAATTAGCAGCCTTTGTAACAATATTCAAAACGAACAGGCCTATATGAAAAAATGCTAGCTCATGCCCTGTGTCAGCTTTCTAAACAAGAGTTCTTCATGACTAAATTCTTATGAATTTCAGTCAATACTAATGTTTTCAAAAGCCCAAAAGTCAAAACTTCATGTACATTCAACTTACCTGAAGTTTAAGAAAACAGTGTAAATCTTACATGTGAGATCCTCTTTTTTGGAGCTAGATTCTCCATTTATCACACACACACAAGTTAATTCAGATACAAATGACCCAGGGACCAAGTTAAAATGGAATTAGAGCTCAGAGACTTTGAGTGCTTGCATCCTTCCTTATGGTATTTTGTAACTGTCAAATTTAGTGAAATGCTTTCCCCATAGTAAATTCTTGAATAATAATTGCTAAAATAATAAATAAATGTTTGGTTTAATTTAAATATAAATTATTAAAAATGTAATACATGGACTTTTTAAAAAGGCATCTCTGCTACTTATGAAGTTTTTCATGTGATCAAGTTACATAATGCTCTGGGCTTCATTATCTAGGCCTGTCAAATGAGAATTATATTAACTTTTATGGTGTTAAAAGTATTAGAAAAATATGTATATGCAATGTTTTCAATGATATTTGAGAACATTTTAAGTATACGAAACACAGTGATTGGGCTAAATATTTGGAAGTGGGGAGAGGAGAAGAGATTTTTTTCTCACTCAAAAGATAGATTAACAAGAAAAAACATAAACGTTTATGTAACATAAGTTTTATGTAACATGGGACACTTAATAAATGAAAACCCAAAGAAATGTGGAAATCTGTGTATTTGTGTGCTAAGTCTGATGAAGTGAATAGTTGTGGAGAAATATTATTCAAGGACGAAAGAAAGTGGCTTAATAGTAATAAACTGGTGGAAACTTAACAGGGCCTTCTCATCTAGATTCTTCTTCGTATTCCTGTGTCTTCAAAAATAAGAACATTCCTCTTGTTCTTGCATGGGATGGGCACCTCTGAAATGAAGGTCTTATGACCAACTTTAGAAGTAGGTCAGCTAGGTTTTATGGCCTGCTTTAAAGGAGAAGGGATGAAGAGAAGGTAAGACAGCTCTTCCTGCATCTGCTGTTTTCTCAAACATCAGGACACCGTAATTGTGGGGTATCATGTTCTTATTTCCATCAGCAGATGTGGTCTGATGTTAATTTTGCAAGCTTACACAATCAACTTTATCTAAGATTCTATTTTTTTTAACTACATAATGAAATAGCAAATATAGATAAAGTGGAAAATCTCTTCAATTCTGAATTCTAGGATTGTATGACCTTTCTAAAAAATCATGTTAAATGAAATAGAATTATATGTCAGGCAATGAAATCTGTTTTTCTTATGAAGTAACAACATTTTAAAATTTAACAGAAAATGAAGTAGTATTAAAATTTAAAATGTCTAATTAAATTTAATTGAAGCTATATAATTCAAGGTAAAACAAAGCTATTCTTTTTAAATTTTATTTTATCTTTATAATATAGTATTTTGAAGTCACCACAATATCTTTGATGAGTACCTGGTGTCCTATGGATATTTTCCCCTCCAAATATCAGGTTGAATTGTAATTTCCAGTGTTGGAAGTAGGGCCTGGTAGAAGGTGATTGGATTATGGAGGCAAAGCTCCCATGAATGGTTTAGCACCAACCTCTTGATAAGTGAGTTCTTGTACAGTTAGTTCACATGAGATCTGGTTGTTTGAAAGAGTCTAGGACCTCCCCCTTCTCTCTCTGTCTTTCTCTTTGTCTTGCCATGTAATGTGCCTGCTCCCACTTTGCCTTCTGCCATGATTGTAAGTTTCCTGAGGGCTACCAGAAGCAGATGCCAGGACCACATTTCCTGTATAGCCTACAGAAATGTCAGCCAATTAAACCTCTTTTCTTTATAAATTACCCAGCCTCAAGTATTTCTCTATAATGAGGCAAAAACAGAAAAACACATTACCATGAGTTACAAATAAAAAATATTTCTACCAACAATTTCCAGATTTATAAAATAATTTCAAAGTTAAAATTATGCTTAATATACTTTGCTGGAATTATTAAAATAATGATGTACAAGTCATGTTTAATACAGTCACTGACCCCAAAAGCTACCTGGTATTTGAATTGCCCTTTCAAAGGCCAGTACCCAGTATTCTCAGTCTTTTGATTTTATCATCTGCAGAAAATATTGCTGGAGGGAGTACATACATAGTTTACTTTGGAGTTGTGAAAATGTAATCATGTGTTCCTTCTCTACTTCCTTATAATCAGAACGACTCAGTCTATATCATTGCTGTTTGATTTTATTTACTATCCAAGTGGTTTACAAACCCACATCATATACACTATCCCTACTATTCATGTAGTTAAAATTTATTTTATTAGACATAGAGGGCACTCAGAATTGCTTCTTTGTTCTGTAACACAATTGATATTTCACTAAGCTTTCTATAATATAGTGCCACTCACTGTATAACTACTATATGTAATATTGTAAATCACCATATATATATATCCATAAATATGAAAACTATATATCTAACTTTAAAAAGCCACAATGTGACATCACATTGGTTACATTTTAAGTATTTAATACAATTTATTTTCATACATTGACTTTTACAACAGGAATCCTCTTATTATAGTTTGTAACCAGATCATTTATTAAGATATGTGTAAAATGTATGCTTCAAGTAGACCTAGATCTATAGAAGATAAGTTGAATATAAATCATAAAATACAGGCCAACCCTTTATGAAAAACATATCTCATGTGGAATAAAGAAATAAATTCATATAAAACATATGAAAGATAATTCAGGGCATTATTTAATAAATCAGTGAAGTAGGTAGCATTACCTAAAATCAGGACAATATTTAAACATACATAGTGTATGAACTAAGTAAGATATGGGCAGGAATTTACGTTTGCTTTTTGTTATCTTTCAAGTTCTTAATATGTCTAATTTGCAATGCTATAGTATTATTCAGTGACATTCATCGTACCTGCATTATTTAAAAATGTTATTTTTTTTTCCTAAAAAGAGTAATTTTCTAACTGCTCAAAGACAGGTGCAAACATTCTTTTCCTGCTACTTTCCCTTAACATTTCTTTCTTATTTTACTTCTGTCATCATCAGTAGAGAGTGCAATTTCAGTGTTGACATTTTAGTACAGTGACAGGTGCAGAAAAGTCATACAATAAATATTTTTTGAAAAACCTAATTTCCACTCAAAGCGTTTTATTGTGTTTAGTGTAATTTGAAATAACTAGCTTTATATTTGATTTTTCATTACTCTTCATTATTTTTCATTCATTTCTACTTTCAAAATGTAAAATAACCAAGAATTTTTTGGTAAAATTTTTGTGTATTTTTACTTCTTTGCATTTCCTTTGCCAGTCCTGATTTAAGCTCATTTTTCCTTGTATCTTCATTACTGTATGCTTCCTGAACAAGGTAATTTCCAAATATTGACAACTCTTCTCTACCTAATATCCCAAACATATGAAATTTGCCATGCAACTCTCAATCAGACAACCAACAAATATTTTGGATAATTACATTATAGAATTAAGCCCCTGTCTTTATACTGGGACTCAAGATGCTTACAGATTTTGACATAAATTTAAAATTCTTTTTGGAGATCCATTTATTTTCTTCCTAATGTGACTGTGCTCCATGAAGCATGCCCATGTGGCAAGGCCTCCTTATCAACCACTTAACCTTCACTCTCATTATGATTATTGCATACTTTTGCCTTCTGTTGGTTAAGCACTGTCAGCTGACCCCTACTGTTTTGGGGTTTTATCATATCTTCTGCTATCTTCAAGTCAAGTTCTGTGGTAACTTTCCAATGGAATCAGCCCTTTCCTACAAAGGAGAACATCTCTGATCTTTTTAGTGTTATGGGTGCATCTCTCCATGAAAACCGTACGCTTTTAGGAATAATTTGTCCTCTGAGCATTCTGATGGAACATAATATTTTACCGCATCTTTCAGCTGTAGATAGTGTATTCATTCCAGCACGTCCAATTCCTTGAGCCTTTTATTTCCTCCCTTCACCATTTCATATTACAACTTTGGTATTTCAACTTTAATCAAAACTAGTTGTTACATTTTTCATTCTTTTAGGAGCCATCCTAGCAGTGAATTCATACCATTTCCTTGGATCCTTCCTAGGGAATTAAATTCTGTAATCTTGGGAGAGTGTTTGAAATCAATCAACTCCCCCCTTTTCAATTTTATATGCTGGTGTCACTGAACAAGCACGCTTAGAATCTACTCATACACATATTCCCCCTACCTAGGTTTTCTAGCTCCTTTGAAATAGAGCCTTTTCCTCTCTCATCAGACTTTTTGCATCCTATTTATGTCATACTGTGAATTAACCCTTATTATAGGCGTAATGGACAGGGGGGAAGGTGGCCCAAGGAGGCCACTCAACTTTTGTGAAAAACCCTTTGCATTTTGTTTCCTCAACAAATGGATAATTCTAGTTCTTGAAGGGAAAGGTAGATTATTTCTGCAGGCTCAGAAGTTGTAGTTTCAGTGCCTGAGGAATCAAAATCTTTGGAAACATTTACCCATATAACTTCATCTCATGTGTCACAGTTACTAGTGTTCCCTACCAGTGCCCTTTGGTAAAGTTCAACCACTTAGCCATTATTGTGTCTTCACCATGGGCCTCAGATTTTTTGCCTTTCTGAAGAAGGCAGTAAGGTCTTTATTTGCCTTACAAAGAAACCCTCTGGCATTCACTGTTGGTTTTTAATTACTTTTAAATTTTCCTCAGTTTTTCATTATTTTTTGTTGAGTATTAGCGCAGTTTAGCAAAAAGCATCCAATTCCATTGTCTTTGCATTTGCAGTTATCTTTTTTTCCCAAAAAGTTTGAAGTGCCAGATATACCACACTTCTTAATTCTGTTTTTCCATCAACTTCTACTGTCCCAATTCATCAGCAATGAATGTTTTTACAACTGGACTTCTACCTTGTGCCAGAGGCTCTTGGTAATAAGGTTTTCAATGCCAGTTGTGTCAGGTGTGATCCAGCTCCAAAACCTCGTCTCATAACCGGTTCGTGGGACCACTCCCAAATTCACATACGGCTGCTGTGTTTTCTGGAAGCGAATGCAGAAATGGAGCTTCTGGTGCAGGATTGATTTGGAATAAATATCTGCAAAAGAAGGCGGAGGAAATAGGTTAGAGCAGAGGGACAAGTTAAAACATAATGCAGTCCAAGCAAACCACAGTCAATCTGTCAGGAGTTGCTCACCTGCATTGTCTTATATTGAACTGAAAGCACTGGACATTTATACCCTTGTCTTCCTCAGTCATCAGAAGTAGGCTGCTCCTGAGAAGAGCATGTCCTCTAGGCAGGTAGCTCTCTGCAGCTGAGGCATACACTAAGGGAGCTGAGAGCTGAAGGCTGTCTGCCGACCTCATTTCTTCACAGCCGGCCAGCAAATCTTCTCTTGAATAGGCAGCTACGTTGTGTGCTTTGATGTCAAGCACAAAGTTAACTCAAAGCCGTGAAAACAGCCAACAATTAACATATGGGAAGAGGAGGATAATTAGGTAAGTTGAATGTCTAAGAGGGTGCAAGTTTTGAGGAACAAGAGATAAATTGGGTTTAAGAATAAGGGATTAGTACAAAGACTCCTATTAAAAGTAGTTTTAAATTTTGAGAAATACATGTGAATGATAGTTCATGAAAAGGCATTGAAAAATAGGAACCAACAAAAAAAAATTAGTATATTTGAATCTAAACTCATAATTCCTCACAACACAAGCCCACATTTCCCCACTTCCACAAAAAAGAAACCTACTTTTTCTCACCCTTCAGTAAATTGGATCATTGTCCATCAATTTCTTCATGCTAAGTAACCCTGGGTCATCCTTAAATCTTTCATATTTCAAAATGAATCAACGAAAATTTTCTGTCTCAGGTATATTTAAATGTCACTGAATCTGTCCATCTTCCTTCTTTACCAATGTCACTAGTTTAAACCCTCACTGTTTCTCACCTAACTTTGTTCCCTTCCTCTCTAATTAAATCCTCATAAGCTGTTCTTTACTATGTAGTATAACAGTTTTCAACATTCTCGGGCTTATTGTATTAACTCGTAAAGCCAAAGAGCTTCTGTGGTGTAATGGTTAACATTGAGTGTTAACTTTATTGAATTGAAGGATGCAGAGTATTGTTCTCGGGTGTGTCTGTGAGGGTGTTGCCAAAGGAGATTAACGTTTGAGTCAGTGGACTGGGAGTGGCAGACCCACCCCTAATCTGGGTGGGCACCATCTAATCAGCTGCCAGCTTGGCTAGAACAAAGCAGGCTGAAGAAAGTGGAATGAGCAGACTTGCTGAGTCCTCCAGCCTTCATCTTTCTCCCATGCGGGATGCTTCCTGCCTTCCATCATCAAACTCCAAGTTCTTCAGTTTTTGGACTCTTGGACTTATATCAATGATTTGCCAAGGGCTCTCAGGCCTTTGGCCACGGACTGAGGACTGCACTGTTGGCTTTTATATTTTTGAGGTTTTGGGACTTGGACTGGCTTCCTTACTCCTCAGCTTGCAGATGGCCTATTGTGGGACTTCACCTTGATAGCAGTCTATCAATATTGTTTAATCTTTTGAAGAACCAGTAAGTAGGGTTTTTAGATTAAAACTTCATTTTTAACACATTGTAGTTCTATTTTGGCTGTGTTTGTATCTTCTCTCTTTCTTTTCCTTTATTAATCTAGCTAGCATTCTATCAATATTGTTTAATCTTCTGAAGAACCAGTGAGTAGGTTTTTTAGATTAAAACTTCATTTTTTAACATAATGTAGTTCTATTTTGGAAAATTCATTGATTTTTTAACATTACAATTCTACAATTAAAATGTGTAGAACAGTACATATTTGCCAAAGTCATTTTGCTATTTTAAATAGTGTTTTATAATTTTAATTTGCTTTTAAATAACCCTGTAATTTAGGGTAGCTGTAATAATAAATAATAAATTTAAAGGTAATAATAAATATCAATGATAAATGAACAGAAATACTTTCTATGAGCATAAAATATTAGACTAGTATAGCCACGAATTCAAGAAAATCCAGTTAAATTTAATTAACATTATAATTATTTCCAAATAGTGTAGCATAAAATCAGATAGAAGAATGACTATATTGCATTAAAGTCATTTTAAAGCAATACTGTATAATACTTTCTAATCGAAACATTCTTACGATAAATCTAAGGAAAACCATTTTTATTGGAAATATCTTTTACCAACCAGCTTTTGAAATATTTCTTCATCTCTTACCAATCCACTAGTGTAATTTGTGATTAAAAATTATAATAGTAAGATGTCATTCTAAGAATTAGTTTAAAAAATAGAATCCTCATATAAATTTAGTTGCTTAAAAATAAATCAAGAAATTGTGGAAAAGGATATCACTAAACATTTTGGAAAATTTTGAAATATTATACTCACGTAATCATCAGTATAATGGCAACAAGATAAAAATAGACATGACTTTAATTTGCAAAGCAGAAACTTCATCAAATTCTACCTTGCTTAGAGAAAAATCATTTAAGAAAATCACATCAACATAATGGCAAAATGAAAGTAGTTGTAAATATCCATTTAAAAACTCTCCACAGATTGAAGTTCTTCCATCCATGTGGCAGATACATAAAAAACATGAATCATATATCAACACTTATTCTGGCTTTTGACACACGGACATTTTTTATTATTATGTGGTTTAACTATAAGTCTAACTCTTAGAAAGATATATATTGATTTGCCAATCCTGAAAATCAGTTTTCTCAACAGCATTTTGACTTTTATGAAAGAATACACTGATATGTTTTGTATGGATCAAGTTTGCAGGACTTCATATACCCATTGTTTGATCTGAAATAATATATTTTCTGAAACTGCAGGTGATAGGGTTTGGCTCTGTGTCTGCACCCAAATCTCATTTCAAATTGTAAACTCCACGTATCAAGGGTGGGAGATGGGAAGCGATTGGGTCATGGGTGAAGTTTTCCCCATGGTGATCTCATAATAGTGAGTGAGTTCTCACGAGATCTGATAGTTTTATGAGGGGCTCTTTCCCTTTCACTTTCCCTTCTCTCTCCTGCTGCTATGTGAAGATGGTTTTTGCTTCCCTTTCTTCTTCTGCCATGATTGTAAATTTCCTGAGGTCTCCCAAGCCATGCAAAACAGTGAGTCAATTAAATCTCTTTTTAAAATAAATTACCAAGTCTCAGGTATAGACTTTATAGCAGTATGAAAAATGTCTAATAAAGTAGGCCTGATGGGCAATTATCTGACTGTGTTAATTTTATCATGGAGAATGATGTACTATAGGAGCTTTTAAAGGGAATGAACTGAGTTAAAATAACATACTGTATTACTTCTCTCAAGTTAGTTTATGTTACAATTGAACAAAGAGAAATTGCAAAATGCTAAAGGCAATTTAAGTCCAGTATCCAGAATTTTGCATATAAAAATTAATAGAAGGCTGATAATGAAACTGGCAGAAATAAACTTGTTTTGATTATCTAAGTTGTACCTGGGTGGTTATATCTATTATTTCAAGAATCCTCTAGAACTTTTGGTATTATTTGTTAATTCCATTGTACGGAAAAGAAAACTCAGAAAGATTATACTAATTTTGCCAAATCACCAAAAAGTGAACAGTAGATATATAAAGGAACCCATTATATGTCTGGTTCTAAAATTCATTCCATTTTCACCGCACCAATTATTTTGTAATTAATTACTATGATTAATATGTTAATGCCAACTATTCCTAAACCTGGGAACTTCATAGGTAATACTTCTACAAAGTAAAATTAGTGTTTTAATCTCACTGTAATAAAGATTCAAGGTTTACTCACTTGATTTAGAATGAAGGTTTCAAAGTCTTGACATTTATTATAATTATTTACTCTTGTAAGCAGCTCTTTCTGACATGTCTTCTGGCCACTAAAATTAAGTGTTCCTTAAATACTTGGTACTCTAGAAATGTCAATTCAACTATAGTTTTGAACAAGTAACAGGAAATTGAGTAGAGGAATAATAAAGGGGAGTATTGGGGGGATGTAATTAATGTTAATTTGATGACAAATTTTATGTAATATAGGTTGAATAGATGAAAACTAATGAGGCAGTGGGAAAAAATGAGTGGAATAAACAGTTACTTTAATATCTAAGAATACAGATTTTTGTTTTTAACATTCAGATCAGATAATCAGTAGTCATTTGACATGTCATTATTAGACAAGAAAGACTGACAACTGATGACACTGTTCCAATGTTTTGCATTATACTATAGATTTTCTCTATCAGCAAAGTCTCATCTGAGACAAGGCAAGTCCATTCTGCCTATGGACCTGTAAAATCAAAACCAATTTTGTTATGTCTTAGATAAATGGGCATATAGGCATTGGGGAAATACACCCATTTCAAATGGGAGAAATTGGGGTACATGCCCCATGCAAGTCTGAAGTCCAGTAGGGCAGCCATTAAACCTTAAAGTTCCAAAATAATCTCCTTTGTCTCCGTGTCTCACATCCTGGTCACACTGATGCAAGAGGTAGTCTCCCATGCTCTTGGACAACTTTGTCCCTGTGGCTTTGCAGGTTAAAGACCCCTACTGGCTGCTTTCACAGGCCAACATTGAGTGTCTGTGGCTTTTCCAGGTGCACAGTGCATGCTGTCAGTGGATCTACCATTCTGGGGTCTGGAGGACGGTGGTCCTCTTCACAGCTCCACTAGTCAGTGCCCCAGTAGGGACTCTGTATGGAGGCTACGACACCACATTTTCCTTCTGCACTGCCCTAGCAGAGGTTCTTCGTGAGGGCCCCACCCTGCCACAAACTTCTGCCTGGACACCCAGGTGTTTCTATACATCCTTTGAAATCTAGGTAGAGGTTCCCAAACCTCAATTCTTGATTTCTATACACCCACAGGCTCAACACCACGTGGAAGTTGCCAAGGCTTGTGGCTTGTGCTCTCTGAAGCCATGGCCTGAGCCGTACCTTGGCCCCTTTTAGCCAAGGCTAGAGCAGCTGGAATGCAGGGCACCGAGTCCCTAAGCTGTACGGAGAACGGTGGGGTCTGTGCCTGGCCCACAAAACCATTTTTTCCTCCTAGGCCTCTGGGCCTATGATGGGAGGGGCTACTGTGATTGTCTCTGACATACCCTGGAGACATTTTCCCCACTGTCTTGGTGATTAACATTTGACTCCTTATTACTTGTGCAAATTTCTGGAGCTGGCTTGAATTTCTCCCCAGAAGATGGGTTTTTCTATTCTATTGCATCATCAGGCTGCAAATTTTCCAAACTTTTATGCTCTGCTTCCTCTTGAATGCTTTACTGCTTAGAAATTTCTTCTGCCAGATGCACTAAATCATCTCTCTCAAGTTCAAAGTTTCACAGATCTGTAGGGCAGGGGCTAAATGCTGCTAGTCTCTTTACTTAACAAGAGTGACATTTACTCCAGTTCCCAATAAGTTCCTTATCTCCATCTGAGATCACTTCAGCCTGGTCTTTGTTGTCCATTTTACTATCAGCATGTTGATCCAAGCCATTCAACAAGTCTCTAGGAAGTTCCAAACTTGATTACATTGTCCTGTCTTCTGAGCCATCCAAGTCTCTAGGAAGTTCCAAACTTTCGCACATTTTCCTGTCTTCCTCTGACCACTCCAATCTGTTTCAATCTCTGTCTGTTACCCAATTCCAAAGTTGCTTTCACATTTTTGGGTTTATTTACAGTAGTGCCCCACTACCAGTACCAATTTACTGTATTAGTCTGTTTTAACACTGCTAATAAAGACATACCCTAGACTGGGTAATTTATTTAAAAAGAGAGATTTAATTTACTCACAGTTCAGCAGGGCTGTGGAGGCCTCAGGAAACTTACTATTATGGTGGAAGGGGAAGCAAACATGTCCTTCATCACCTGGCAATAGCAAGGAGAAGTGCAGAGCAAAGTGGTGGGGGAATCCCCTTATAAAACCATAAGATCTCATAAGAGCTCGCTTACTGTTTCAAGAACTGCATAGAAGTAACCACCCCCATGATGCAATTACCTCCCACTGGTTCTCTTTCACAACACATGGGTATTATGGGAACTACAATTGAATATGAGATTTGGATGGAGATATGGCCAAACCATATCAACGCTTTCTCAAAAAATGTAGCAATCCTTCTCATTATGAGCCTTATAATTTGAGACAGTGACTCACTCTGTCATCCAAGCTGGAGTACAGTCATGCAATCATGGGTCATTGGGGTCTTAAATCCTGAGTTCAAGTGATCCTCCTGCCTCAGCCTCCTGAGTAGCTAAGGTTGTGAGCATGTGCCATCACAGCCAGCTAATTTTCACATTTTTGTAGAGAAGGGGTCTCACTATGTTATCAAGACAGGTCTTAAACTCCTGGCCTCAAGCAATCTTCCAGCGTTGTCCTCCAAAAGTGCTGGGATTGCAATCATAAACCACCACAACCAGCCCTTTATACTTAAAAACATTTATAGTGGTACTTGATGTCTTTAAAAATCTGAGACTGAAACATTTTGTGTCTTATATAGTCTTAAGGTAAGGACAGTCATAGTTTATCAATGTATATTGCAAATGCTTTCGAGACTTTTGTAAGTTTAGAGGCCTATGAGATTCCTTTTAATGTGCCCCTTGAGTTTCATCGCCTGGAAGACAGAGCTACAGCCCAATGGCTACTTCCAGCCTCCACCTGTACTAAAATAGTCAAGAGGCTCTATTGGGTCAGAGTACAAGTTATTCCATGACATTGGGTCCTAACATTATCCAGCATTATTTATCAAGTCTATCTGGCTCACTTCATTAATCTTCATCTTTCCATGCTGACTTATATCCCTTGACTTCCTCTTGAATAAGAATTTCTTCAAATCCGCTTATTCTGGAAAACAAATTATTTTCCACTAAGTATCACTCCTTAATAAAAGTAAGTTCAGCTTTTCCCATGATGTCTAGACATGTACCAATAGTCCATAAATGCAATTTTCATGCAAATTTTCACCTTAATTCCATCAATTGTTTTATATATATATGATATACATATTACATATGTAATATATATGTATTTTATATATATACATATATATACACAGAGAGAGAGAGAGAGAGTATATTGCCCATCTAATTATAGTCCTATATTAGGGCTTCATCAAGAGGTTTGAAATCACAGTGCATTGGGCTCCATGTGAAGAAGCATCAGAGAGATTTCTTCTCCATTCCTGGCCATTTTAACCACACATGTACATATGAATTTTAGTACCCAGCAAGGGCTCAGGCTAAGGAAACCAAGACTCTGTTAATCTTCAACCTGATTAATTTGCCCCTGTTGATTCCAGTTCAGATTTCTCACTGCCATCTTTGCCTTCTGGCTTTAAAAATATCCCAACCTGTTTGAACAGAATAGATTTGTTTCAACCATTAAATGTTGGGGGATCACAAAGGTCTCCTACCAGTCCATCTAACCTCTGACTTAAGACTTTGCTTGAAATTCATCAACATCCACTTCATTTTCATTCTTTCCTTAATTATCATTTAAGTATTTCTAGCTGCAGTCTTTGCCCTTTCTTGTGCTAATCACTCTAATTTTCTTAACATCTGAAAAACCCATAAGAGAATGCTGAAACAAAGGAGCTGATACGGCTGTTGGACTGTTGTTTGATTTTATAACAATAAGTTTACATGAGACACCCGTGCAACACATGCCCACTTAATCACAACATTTACAATGACCTGAGTAGGAAATATAATAAGTTGATAAACATCTTAATCATCATAAAGCTAATCCACCATGGCTTGTATTGTGGCATATAAGCAAATTCCTCTGGAGAGCTCCTCTTGGCATGTAAGAGAGAAGGACGATTTCCCTTCTCAGAGTTAAATGACTTTGCAGCAGCTTTTATCTAGTTCATTATGCTAGCTGATCTGTCATGAACAACCTGCTTCACTTGGACCATGTGATTCTTCAATACTAAGCTCTGGTCACCGAATCAACTCAAACTTTTTTCTCCATTTTGCATCATCTAAGACTAAGTAGTTGGCTCCTTTTCTAACTAGATGCTCTGGTGATTTTTAAACTTTCATCTGATTAATATTATTATTATTTTAGAAATGAAGATCTTCCTCTTCAATATGTTTAACCTGGAGATGTTCCATGTTTTATCACTTTAAATAATTAAATTATCCTCCAATCTTTTATATCCTGGTAACCCTTAATCTGGATTGAAGTATTTTGAGTGACTGTATCTCACTGCTAGCCGATTACAAGTAGATAAAACAGTTTATCATTTTTTTAATTTTAAAATTTTTGGAAAAAAGTTATTCACAAGACTAACCAACTCAAGGAAAAAAATTAATGAAGATATTTTTAAAGCTGTAAATTTTCTTTGGCCTAAATTCTATCCTAGAAAAAAACCATAAAATTATCTTAACTTTATACAGTAAATCAAACTGACATTATTTAGATTCAGGTGATGGTAACATTCTATATAAAACCAATTGTGTGACTATGTGAGGGCCCCCACTCTCACATTACATATTATCAGTGCCAGAAACAAAACAAACAAGCAAAAAATTTACTAAAATTAATAAATAACTTTGGAATAAGAAAATACATAAACAACATTTTCCCTCTGGGTTCAAAATGTTGCATCTACATACTCATATGAAAGCATGTAAAATCCTTTGACACAGGAGTCAAAACTCTAATCAAGTTTTTAGGTATGTGTTTCAAATTATTAATTTAAGAATAAAAGCATTATATAAATTTATTAATTTGTTGATCATTTTGGGGCATGACTTGAAATATATAAATTAAAAAGCAAGCATCTATAAAAATAATGCTAAATTCAGATTCACGATGGTAATCATAACATATTTTGAAGCTATAGATATTATTTGTAGTACAGAAAAACAAAAAATAAATTTTCTTGAAAATATTGCTGATAAAGCATTATGATATATAAATTACATTTGGAGAAAGTGGAAAAGCATCTTTATGATAGTGATGCTTCATATAGTATTTTTCCTTTATGAAAGTCCATCTTGTTGAAAGGGCTCCTGTAGCCATGAAGAGTTAAATAATTGACAACATGAATCAGGAAAAGCACAATTCTAGGAATAAGAAACAATCAATTTTATAGCACTTGTTTTCTACAGCCTCACCCAGATAGCAGAACAATTTGCACATCCCAGTAAATTAATAGACTAGGAGAAGTATCTATGTTTACACTGTGAAATTTCTGTTGTGTCAAATGCTTGTAATATTTTGTGAGGCCAAAAAGTATCTTCAGATTAGTTATAACAGAAATTCAAATTCTGTGATTTTTTTTCAATGTACTCAATGTGGATATTAAGTAATTTTGTACACATAATCTTGAGGAGATTAATGTACTTCTGCCACTCTACAGCTCTTAACATGCACTAAGGATAAATTTGAATTTCATTTGAACTGTGAGAGGTAAGTTAAAATATAAATGTCCATTGCCATTCACTATTAAGAAATTGATTTAGGCCAGGTGCGGGGGCTCATGCCTGTAATCCCAGCACTTTGGGAGGCCGAGGCTGGCGGATCACGAGGTCAGGAGTTTGAGACCAGCTTGGCCAACATAGTGAAACCCTGTCTCTACTAAAAATACAAAAAATTAGCTGGGCTTGGTGGTAGGCAACTGTAGTCCCAGATACTCGGGAGGCTGAGGCAGGAGGATGGTGTGAACCCAGGATGCAGAGGTTGCAGTAAGCCGAGATTGCACCACCACACTCCAGCCCGGGCAACAGCGCAAGACTCTGTCTCAAAAAAAAAAAAAAAAAAAGAAATTGATTTATAGCCTAGTGAACTTGTATCCATCTTTATTGCCACAATCCTTTTTTTTTTGTAGCCTCCATTAGATTATAAATTAATTTCATTTCTAGATTTGGCATAATTCTTGACATATGGTCAGTATTTTATATATATATATATGTATATATATATACACACACACACATACATATATACATGCACATATGTATACATACATATATGTAATGATATATAATACAGGATATTGTCTTGTACCTTGACTAACAACTTAGCTACAGGGGAGTAGAAAACCGAGTGGGATCTTATTGTCCCTGATTCCAGAATGTGACTCTTAGAAAGCATATCTGGACCTGCCCTGGGCAAGAGTGGAGTCAATTGGCCTAAAGGATGAATCTCAGGCCAGAAAGCACGTACCATAGGTCGAGTAAAGTGCCCGTGGTCTTTAAGGAATACCAATGAGCCTGGCAGTATTCTTCATGGGCCTACGGTGGTGGTGGCCATGGGTTAAGGCTCCTTTATGGCCATGGGCTGAGGCTCCTTTGCCTTTGGAAAGGGGAGGAAAAAGTGAGAAAGATGTGTCTTGTGGTTTGAGTATCAGATTTGCTGGAGTACAGTAGAATACCAGATAGACTTCTAAGATTTTTTGACTCTAGTCCCAGGCTCCTAGGCACCTCTGGACTCACCTGGGGACTGGGAAACTTGCCACCCTAAAAAGAACACATGCCTGGCTGGCTTTGCAACCTGCTGAGTGTAAAGCCCCAGGATCTTGAGAGAATGTAGGCAGTATCCAGGGAGTGGCTACAGCAGGACTTGGCCAAGACCCATTGCTGTTCTGGCTTCAGGTCTGACCCAGTGCAGTCATAGTGTTGGTAACAATAGGGGTGCTTGTATCACTCCACCCTCAATTCCAAGTGGCTCAGAACAGAGAGAGACTCTATTTCTTTAGGACAAAATAAGGGAAGAGAATAAGAGTCTGCCTGATAATCTAGAGTATTATTTGAGATCTTATTCAAGGCCATCTAGGTGGTAACTGTATGAGATTGAAAGAACCACAGTGCTCTTGGGGTGCCTCCTAAAGCAGATACAATTTAGATCACAACACTCAAGTTTTTTGAAATATCTGGTAAGCTTTCCCAAGAAGGATGGGTACAAATAAGAGCAGACAGTGAAGACTACAATAAATATTTAACTTTTCAATGCCTAGACACTGAAGAACATCTACTAGCATCAACACCATCCAGGAAAACATGACCTCACCAAATAATCTAAATAAGACATCTGGTACCAATCCTGGAGAAACAGAGATATGTGATCTTTCAGACACAGAATTCGAAATAGCTGTTTTGAGGAAATTAAAAGAAATTCAGGAAAACAGAAAAGGTTCAGAATTCTAACAGATATATTTAACAAACAGATTGAAATAATTAAAAATAATCAAGTAGAAATTCTATAGCTGAAAAAATGCAATTGGCACACTGAAGAATGCATCAGTGTCCTTTAATAGCAGAATTGGTTAAGCAGAAGAATTATTGAGCTTGAATAATTAAAAATACTATTAAAATACTATTAAACTATTTGAAAATACATGCAGGAGACAAAAGAAAAAAGAATTTTTTAAAAAGCATGCCTACCAGGAGAATGGCATGAACCCAGGAGGCGGAGCTTGCAGTGAGCCAGGATCGTGCCAGTGCACTCCAGCCTGGGTGACAGAGTGAGACTCCGTCTCAAAAAAAAAAAAAAAACAAAACAAAAAAACACACACACACAAACAAAAAAAAAGCATGCCTGCAAGATTCAGAAAATAGCCTTAAAAAGGCAAATCTAAAAGTTATTGGCATTAAAGTGAGAGTAGAGAAATGGATAAGGCTTATTTATTTAAAGTTTATTTAAATACATAGAACTTCTCAAACCTAGGAAAAATATCAACATCCAAGTACCAGAAGGTTATGAAGCAGCAAGCAGATTTAAGACAAATAAGACTACCTCAAGGAGTTTAATAAACTCTTAAAGTTCACATTTTTTTTTAAGAACTCTAAAAGCTCAGATAGTTGTAGATATGTGGCATTATTTCTGAGGGCTCTGTTCTGTTCCATTGATCTATATCTCTGTTTTGGTACCAGTACCATGCTGTTTTGGTTACTGTAGCCTTGTAGTATAGTTTGAAGTCAGGTAGTGTGATGCCTCCAGCTTTGTTCTTTTGGCTTAGGATTGACTTGGCAATGCGGGCTCTTTTTTGGTTCCATATGAACTTTAAAGTAGTTTTTTCCAATTCTGTGAAGAAAGTCATTGGTAGCTTGATGGGGATGGCATTGAATCTGTAAATTACCTTGGGCAGTATGGCCATTTTCACGATATTGATTCTTCCTACCCATGAGCATGGAATGTTCTTCCATTTGTTTGTGTCCTCTTTTATTTCCTTGAGCAGTGGTTTGTAGTTCTCCTTGAAGAGGTCCTTCACATCCCTTGTAAGTTGGATTCCTAGGTATTTTATTCTCTTTGAAGCAATTGTGAATGGGAGTTCACTCATGATTTGGCTCTCTGTTTGTCTGTTATTGGTGTATAAGAAAACAAGCAATGGGGAAAGGATTCCCTATTTAATAAATGGTGCTGGGAAAACTGGCTAGCCATATGTAGAAAGCTGAAACTGGATCCCTTCCTTACACCTTATACAAAAATCAGTTCAAGATGGATTAAAGATTTAAACGTTAAACCTAAAACCATAAAAACCCTAGAAGAAAACCTAGGCATTACCATTCAGGACATAGGCGTGGGCAAGGACTTCATGTCCAAAACACCAAAAGCAATGGCAACAAAAGACAAAATTGACAAATGGGATCTAATTAAACTAAAGAGCTTCTGCACAGCAAAAGAAACTACCATCAGAGTGAACAGGCACCCTACAACATGGGAGAAAATTTTTGCAACCTACTCATCTGACAAAGGGCTAATATCCAGAATCTACAATGAACTCAAACAAATTTACAAGAAAAAAACAAACAACCCCATCAAAAAGTGGGCGAAGGACATGAACAGACACTTCTCAAAAGAAGACATTTATGCAGCCAAAAAACTCATGAAGAAATGCTCATCATCACTGGCCATCAGAGAAATGCAAATCAAAACCACTATGAGATATCATCTCACACCAGTTAGAATGGCAATCATTAAAAAGTCAGGAAACAACAGGTGCTGGAGAGGATGTGGAGAAATAGGAACACTTTTACACTGTTGGTGGGACTGTAAACTAGTTCAACCATTGTGGAAGTCAGTGTGGCGATTCCTCAGGGATCTAGAACTAGAAATACCATTTGACCCAGCCATCCCATTACTGGGTATATACCCAAATGAGTATAAATCATGCTGCTATAAAGACACATGCACACGTATGTTTATTGCGGCACTATTCACAATAGCAAAGACTTGGAACCAACCCAAATGTCCAACAATGATAGACTGGATTAAGAAAATGTGGCACATATACACCATGGAATACTATGCAGCCATAAAAAATGATGAGTTCATATCCTTTGTAGGGACATGGATGAAATTGGAAACCATCATTCTCAGTAAACTATCGCAAGAACAAAAAACCAAACACCGCATATTCTCACTCATAGGTGGGAATTGAACAATGAGATCACATGGACACAGGAAGGGGAATATCACACTCTGGGGACTGTGGTGGGGTCGGGGGAAGGGGGAGGGATAGCATTGGGAGATATACCTAATGCTAGATGACACATTAGTGGGTGCAGCGCACCAGCATGGCACATGTATACATATGTAACTAACCTGCACAATGTGCACATGTACCCTAAAACTTAGAGTATAATTAAAAAAAAAAAAAAAAAAAAAGAACCCTAAAAGCAGCAAGAGAAAAAGGAAACATAAAATACAATGGAGCTTCAATACATCAGACAGCAGACTTTTCAGAAGACACCTTTCAGGCCAGGAGACTGTGGCATGACATATTTAAAGTGCCGAAAGAAAAAAAAAAAACTTTTTTAACCTAGAATAGTATATCTACTGAAAATATTCTTCAAACATGAAGGAGAAATAAAGACTTTCCAAGACAAACAAAAACTGAGGAGTTTCATCAGCATCAGACCTGTCCTACAAGAAATACTAAAGGGAGTAATTCAATAGAAAAGAAAGGGGCATTAATGACTAATAAGTAATCACCTGAAGGTACACAACTCACTGGTAATAGTATGTACACCACAAAAAAATCCATAATACTTTAACACTGTAACTGTGGTGTGTAAACTACTTTTCTACTAAGTAGAAAGACTAAATGATGAACTTATCAAAAATAAGAACTACAACAACTTTTCAAGAAAGAGACAGTAAAATCAGATATAAATAGAAAAAAAGTTACAAAGCAGGGAGAGAAAGTTAAAATACAGGCTTTTCATTAGTTTTATTTTTGCTTGTTTGCTTGTTAAAACCAGTGTTAAGTGGTTATCATGTTAAAATAATGAATTATATGATAGTAGTTGCAAGCACCATGATAATCCTCAAACTAAATATCATGCAACAGATAGAGGAAAAGTAAAAAGCAAGAGACTAAATCGTATCACCAGAGAAAATCACCTTTACTAATGGAAGATGGGAAGAAACAAAATAGGAAAGGGAAGACCACAAAACAACCAGAAAACAAATAAAAAAATGGCAGGAGTAAGTCCTTAATTATCAATAATGACATTGAATGTAAATGAACAAAACTCTCTGATCAAAAGACGTAGAATAGCTAAATGGATTAAAAAACAAGATTCATTGATCTGTTGACTACAAGAAACACAATTCACCTATAAATACACATATAGACTAAAAATAAAGGGATGGAAAAAGATGTTCCATGCCAATGGAAAAAAACCCAGCAGGAATAGCTATATTTATATCAGACAAAAAATATTTTATTTCAAGACAAAAACTATAAGAAGAGGCAAAGAAGGCTACTATGTAATAATAAAGACATCAATCAGGAAGAGGACACAACAATTCTAAATATATATGCACACAACCCTGGACTACTCAGGTATATAAAGGCAATAATATTAGAGCTAAAGCAAGAGATAGGCCCCAATATAATAACAGTTGGAGACGTCAACACCCCACTTTCAGCATTAAACATATCAAGACAGAAAATCTACAAAGAAACCTCAGACTTAGTCTGTGCTTATAGATCTAATGGATCTAATAGATATTTGAAGAACATTGCACCTAATTGTTGCACAATACACATTCTTTTTCTCAGCATATGGATCATTCTCAAGGACAGACAATATGTTACATCACAAAACAAGTCTTAAAACATTCAAAAAATTGAAATCATATGAAGCATTTTCTGTGAACACAAGGGAATAAACTAAAGATCAATAACGAGAAACAAGTCCAGACACCTACAGTAAACTCATTTTCAACAAAGCTGCCAAGTACATACACTGGGGAAAAGACAGTCTGTTCAATAAATGGTACTGGGAAAACTGGATATTCATATGAAGAAGAATAAATCTAGACCATTATCTCTGGCCATATAAAAAATCAAATCAAAATGGATGAAAAAATTAAATCTAAGACCTCAAACCATAAAAATGCTACAAGGAATTTTTGGGGAAAATTTCCATGACATTGCTCTCAGCAAAGATTTCTTGAGCACACACAGCACAGGCAGTCAAAGCAAAAATGGACAAATGGGATTACACCAAATTAAAAAGTTTCTGCAAGCAAAGGAAACAATTAACAAAGTTAAGAGACAAAACAGTCAACAAAGTGAAGGGACAACAAACAGAGTGGGAGAAAATATTTGCAAACTGCCCATCTGACAAAGGATTAATAACCAGAGTATATAAGGAGCTCAAACAACTGCACAGAAAATAATAATATAATGATCTCATCAAAAAAATGGGCAAAAGATTTGAATAGATATTTCTCAAAAGAAGACATACAAATGGCAAACAGGCATATAAAAAGGTGCTCAACATCATTGATCATCAGAGAAATGTAAATCAAAGAAAAAAGAACCTTCACACAGTATTGGAGAGAATGTAAAATAGTACAACTATAATAAACAACAGTTTGGACATTCCTGAAAAAACTAAAAATGGAGCTACCATATGACGTGGCAATCCCACTCCTGGGTAGATACCCAAAAGAAAGGAAATCAGTATATCAAAAAGATACCTGTTCTCTCATGTTTGTTGCAGCACTTTTCACAATAGCCAAGATTTGGAAGCAAGCTAAGTGTCCATCAACACACGACTGGATAAAGAAAATGTGGTACATTTACACAGTGGAATACTATTTGGACACAAAGAAATGACATCCTTTCATTTGCAGCAACATGGATGGAATTGGAGATCATTGTTTTAAGTGAAATAAGCCTGGCTTATCTTATACCTTTTTGAAATTATCCCACAGTCTTTGTATGTTATGTTATTTTTCTTTTTAAATTCATTTTCTATTTGCATTTTATTTTGGAAGTTTTGATTGATTTATCTTCAAGCTCACTCATTTTTTTTCCCCAGCCATGACTATTCTACTGATGGACCCATCAAATATTTTCTTCACTTCTTTTACAGTTTTGCATTTTTTAAAATTTCTAACGTTAAATTTTTTTTTAGTGTTTCTACCTCTCTGTTCACATTGTGCATTTGTGCTTGCATATTGTCTTTTTCCATTGGAGCCTTCTGTGGTTTGGATGTGGTTTGACTCCACTGAGTCTCATGTGGAAATTTGATCCCCAGTGTTAGAGGTGGGGCTTGGTGGGATATGTTCATATCATGGGAGCAGATCCCCTGTGAATGGCTGGATGCTATTCTCTCAGCAGTGAGTAAGTTCTCACTCTTTTTTTTCTTTTTTCTTTTGAAATGAGTCTCACTCTGTCACCAGGCTGGAGTGTAGTGGCGGGATCTTGGTTCACTGCAACCTCTGCCTCCCAGGTTCAAGCATTCTCCCGCCTCAGCCTCCCGAGTAGCTGCGACTACAGGTGCGTGCCACCACGCCCAGCTAATTTTTGTATTTTTAGTAGAGATAACGTTTCACAATGTTTGCCAAAATGGTCTCCATCTCTTGATCTCGTGATCCACCCGCCTTGGCCTCCCAAAGTACTGAGATTATAGGTGTGACCCACCGCGCCTGGCAGTTCTCACTCTTAGTTTCCATGAGAACTGGCTGTTAAAAGAGCCTGATACTTACCCCGCAACTGTCCACACAAACCCTGGCCTTGCCTTCTCTCTTGCCTTGCACATGCTAGTGATACAAAGAGGAGGTAGAGAAATACTGGGTAGAAAAGGGTGATTCTCTGGCAGAGGCGTGTGCCATGCCCAAGGGCCAAGCACGGCAAGAATGTGCTGCGCACACTGCCCAGGTGCCAGGGCTGTCTTGGGGGCTAAGGGCTCCATCTCTGGCTGGCAGGCACCTCCCTTTTGCCATCCCCTCCTGTCATGCACCCTCACCAATGAAGCTTTTCCTCCCAATGCCAAAGGGTCCTCCTAGGTCTGAACTGGGGGATACAGTAATTAAAGAAACCCATTTCGACAGAGCAAGAGGCTCTTCCCCCAGTTCCCCCCATTATGTATTTTAAGCTATTTTTTTTGTTTTGTTTTAAGTGAGAAGGTTCTTTTTGTATCTCAGCACTCTGCTTATAATAGGGAAGCAACAGAGGAGTGGCCCCTGCTGGCTGATTACTGCAAACTTGGCAAGGTCTGTCTGGGATTTAATGTAAATAGATGCTTGGTGAATTTGGCCCTAGTAAGGTCCAGGTCCCCTTCTCTCTGTAGGACTTAAGGCAAATTAAGGGGGATCCTGGCATGTTTTCAGATGACCCTGACAGATATATAGAGGCTTTCTAGAAATTTAACTCAAGTATCTTAACTCTCCTGGAAAGATGTTATGTTACTTTCGAAGCAGACACTGATTAACACTGTGAAGCAGGCCACTCTGCAAGCAGCAGAGAGATTTGGGGATGAGCTTTGTATAACATATAGCATCAGGGAAGAGGCTAAACTGCATCCAACTGGAAGAGAAGCAGTAGCAGTGAATGACCCTAAATTGGATCCCAAATTTGAGATCGGAGAATGGAAGAGGAGACACTTTCAGGTGTGCATAATGGAAGGCTTAGGTAAAACTAGAACCAAGCTTCTCAATTACACCAAGCAATCCATGATATACCAGGAATTTGATGAGAATCCCGCTGCCTTCCTGGAAAGGCTAAGAGAGGCCTTGGTAAAGCACACCTCTCTATCTCCTAATTCTATCAAGGGATAACTAATCCTAAAGGATAAATTTATTATTCAGGCAGCCCCTGATATCAGGAGGAAGTTGCAGAAATGGACACTGGGGCTATATAGTACTTTAGAGAACCTCCTGAAAGTGGCCACCTCGGCCTTTTACAATAGAAATAGGGAGACACAAGAAAGAAGCAGAAGGTTTAATGGCCACTGTGCAAACCCACAAACTCCAGAATTCCCAAGATGCATCTGTTAACTGACACAGATGTGGCAAGAACAGTTATCTCTGTCATAAAGTTTAACCACTCTCAGACAAGGTTTAATTTCTTTCACCGGGATGAAACAGCTTGGGGTAAAATGTTGTTACTATATTTCACTTCTTATTTTTGTAATCTTTGCCACTAGATTCTTTCCTTGCATAATACATGTATTTAACCCATGCATACTTAACTTTATAAAACTTGTGTTTTTTTTTGTTTGTTTGTTTTTGTTTTTTCTGTTGCCTAGAAGCCATCAAACTCCAAACAGTCAGGCAACCAGAGCCTGGGATAATGGACCCTTAGGTATGATTAAGGTAATGACCCTTTGCCATGGACCCTTAGGTAAACATCTGAGAAGAATCTGACTTCTGTTTTCCCCAAAACAATGCCTCCTTTCAGCTAGAAATAGCTGAGATTGGTCATTGTCCCTATTCTAATGGCAGTTAGCTGTACCTTTCCAGAGTGGGCAAACCATATGGACTGAAGGCAGGGAAATACTGGCTCGAACAGGGTGGTTTCCCAGCAAAGGTCCCATCCTCAAGCCTGGAAACCATGACCTTAAATAAAAACAGTTATCCCTGTTTTCCTAAATGTTGCTTTTTCCAAAACTACCCAGGCCCACCATGCCCCTACATCCTATACCCATTACAACCCCAAACTCCACTGACAGAGAAGTGGAGTAGCATGCCAGAGAAGGAGAGAAGAGAAGAAGCATCTGAACATTGAGAGGAGTCTGGCGAGGGACAGTTGCAAAGAAGTTCTGCCAGGCATAATTGAAAGGCTTATGATTATCTTCCCCCTCCAGGGGAAGATTATTCTTCCTGTTCCATCCCCTTTTTAGCTCCCCATACCACTGACAACCATCACCATCACCCAACAAAATCTCTGCATTCACCGTCCTTCAAGTCCACGTGACCTAATTCTTCCTGGACACTGTGCAAAAACCCAGGTACCAAGAGGCCAAGGTGTTAAAGACTGTCACCCTGACTCTCCACTGAGCTGGTGAACACTTAGCTGTCCATGGATGGCAACTGCTAAAAAAGCATTAACTGTAACACACCCCTAGATGTTTCCATGGGGCCAAAGCCCAAAAGTGCTTGTCCTGGTGCCCGCACCTACTATCCTGCATGCTCCCCCTCCTGCAAGGGGTTTGAGTGTGGTGGTAGCCTAGTAAGGGATCCACACCCTTGTCACTAGTCTCGTGAAGGGGTCAAGTGAGTTCCCCTGTCTCACTGGTTTCCCTGCCCCTCCTGACACTGTTACTAGAAAAGGGTCCCAATTCAGACCCCAAGCAAGGGTTTTTGGATATTGCACAAGAAAGAATTTGAAGCAAGCCCATAAAGTGAAAGTGAGTTTATTTAAAAAGTAAAGAAACAAGAAAATGGCTACTCCATAGGCAGAGCAGCCCTGAGGGCTGCTGGTTGCCCATTTTTATGGTTATTTCTTGATGATATGCTAAACAAGGGGTGGATTATTCATGCCTCCCATTTTTAGATCATGCAGGGTAACTTCCTGATGTTGCCATGACATTTCTAAATGGTCATAGTGCTGGTGGGAGTGTAGCAGTGAGGGTGACCAAAGGTCACTTTTGTCACCATCTTGGTTTTGGAGGGATTTGGCCAGCTTCTTTACCGCAATCTGTTGTGTCAGTAATGTCTTTATAACCCATATCTTGTGCTCACCTCCTAACTCATCCTGTGACTTGGAATGCCTAACCATCTGGGAATGCAGCCCAGTAGGTCTCAGTCTTATTTTACCCAGCCCCTATTCAGCATGGAGTTGCTCTGGTTCAAATGCCTCTGACACCATGAGTGAAAGCAGCCTGAAGCTCACACCAGAGGCAGATGCTTGCACCATGCTTCCTGTACATCCTTCAGAACTCTAAATCAAATAACCCTCTTTATAAATTACCCAACCTCAGATATTCCTTCATAGCAACACAGATAGAGCCCTTACCATATTAGTTATTGTTGTTTTAAATTCTGTCTGACATTTTTCATATGTTAATCTAGTTCTGATATAAGCATTGTGTCTTCATACTCTACTTTTTTTTTGAATTATGACTTACCTTGTAATTTTCTGTTGGATGCCAGACATGTTGCATTCGGATAGAAGGAACTGAAGGAAATGTGTTTTTTTAAGAGAATTTTTATGTTAACCTGAGTGATATTTCAGCTCTTTCATGTTGCTGTAGCTACAGACATTAGAGACTTCAAGTTACTCTAATGTCCTTGTTTTTGTCTCACCTGCTGAATATAAGCTTTACTCAACAGTACTACTCATGTAGATTCTGGACCTTTCCACACTTTTATCTATAATACACCATCATTACACTGAGGCACTGTTGATATGGTGGTAAGTTGTGAAAGAAAGGGAACATTCTATAATTATCTAATTAAATCTTACCCAAAATTTTAGTGGCCAGTGAATCACAATGATGAGCCTTCACATGTGTTTTACCAGGGCAACAGCTCTTTGTCTCTAAACCCCTCTACTGTCTTCCTGCATCAGCTTCCCCAGTATAGTTTCTTGAAGCTCCTTTTTTTCCTGTTTTTTCCTGTCTTCGATGATCAGGAAGGTTAAAGTAAGATGGTGTGGGAATACTCTGCCCCATGTGGGATAGGACCTATCAAAGTCTTTTCACTTGGAGAAAGAGTCTTTATTAAATCTAAGGCTCTAGATGTATTTCACAATGGTTACTCCTTCCTCAACTTGCCAGAGACCAGGGGCTATCTTTCTCCATCTTCACCAAGAAAACCCGGTAAGACTGCTGGAGGGAAAATTGATGAAAGTATAGTGGTCTACTAAACCTGTAGAATCTAACTGATTCTCACTCTTGGGCTAGCCCACACTTAGTCTACAGCAATTGTTCAATATTTACATCTAAGTATTTTTTTCCAGTTTATGACTTTAGCAGCTTCTGCTCTATGCAAATTTCAGCCGTGGCTATCAGATACAATTGTTTCTTCAGATTTTGCAGTAGGGGTTCATTCTGCAACCTAAATTTTTTGATGGGTCTAAAAAATGTCATTGATTTTCAAATTGCCCAGGTTTTTCTTGTGTAAGTATGGTAGTGACAGTTACCAGGTTCTTTACATATAGGAGCAGAAACTAAGTCAGAATTAAGTCTTCAATAAAAAAAAAGTTAGTAATTTTATCTACAAACTGAAGTACCAGATAATGTTGTCAAAAACTTTGGAAATGTTTACTATTGTCAACCACTTATAGAAGTGAAAGTTATAATATTAAATGTACATATTCTATATGTCATTAAATGTTATATGGTATAATTTCAGGAATAACAATATTGAAAGTAAATAAAACTGAAAATCCAAAGTTGTTATAGTATTTTTAACAAACAATAAATACTGGATTAATGTATGGATTTGAAGAAACAATTGTATCTGATAGCCACGACTGAAATTTGCATAGAGCAGAAGCTGCTAAAGTCATAAACTGGAAAAAAATACTTAGATGTAAATATTGAACAATTGCTGTAGACTAAGTGTGGGCTAGCCCAAGAGCTCTGCTAAAAAGCAGAGCACCTCTCCTCCTCCAAAGGAACGCAGTTCCTCACCAGCAACGGAACAAAGCTGGATGGAGAGTGACTTTGACGAGCTGAGAGAAGAAGGCTTCAGACGATCAAATTACTCTGAGCTATGGGAGGACATTCAAACCAAAGGCGAAGAAGTTGAAAATGTTGAAAAAAATTTAGAAGAATGTATAACTAGAATAACCAATACAGAGAAGTGCTTAAAGGAGCTGATGGAGCTGAAAACCAAGGCTCGAGAACTACGTGAAGAATGCAGAAGCCTCAGGAGCCGATGCGATCAACTGGAAGAAAGGGTATCAGCAATGGAAGATGAAATGAATGAAATGAAGCGAGAAGGGAAGTTTAGAGAAAAAAGAATAAAAAGAAATGAGCAAAGCCTCCAAGAAATATGGGACTATGTGAAAAGACCAAATCTACGTCTGATTGGTGTACCTGAAAGTGACGGGGAGAATGGAACCAAGTTGGAAAACACTCTGCAGGATATTATCCAGGAGAACTTCCCCAATCTAGCAAGGCAGGCCAACGTTCAGATTCAGGAAATACAGAGAACGCCACAAAGATACTCCTCGAGAAGAGCAACTCCAAGACACATAATTGTCAGATTCACCAAAGTTGAAATGAAGGAAAAAATGTTAAGGGCAGCCAGAGAGAAAGGTCGGGTTACCCTCAAAGGGAAGCCCATCAGACTAACAGCAGATCTCTCGGCAGAAACCCTACAAGCCAGAAGAGAGTGGGGGCCAATATTCAACATTCTTAAAGAAAAGAATTTTCAACCCAGAATTTCATATCCAGCCACACTAAGCTTCATAAGTGAAGGAGAAATAAAATCCTTTACAGACAAGCAAATGCTGAGAGATTTTGTCACCACCAGGCCTGCCTTACAAGAGCTCCTGAAGGAAGCACTAAACATGGAAAGGAACAACCGGTACCAGCCACTGCAAAATCATGCCAAAATGTAAAGACCATCGAGACTAGGAAGAAACTGCATCAACTAACGAGCAAAATAACCAGCTAACATCATCATGACAGGATCAAATTCACACATAACAATATTAACTTTAAATGTAAATGGACTAAATGCTCCAATTAAAAGACACAGACTGGCAAATTGGATAAAGAGTCAAGACCCATCAGTGTGCTGTATTCAGGAAACCCATCTCACGTGCAGAGACACACATAGGCTCAAAATAAAAGGATGGAGGAAGATCTACCAAGCCAATGGAAAACAAAAAAAGGCAGGGGTTGCAATCCTAGTCTCTGATAAAACAGACTTTAAACCAACAAAGATCAAAAGAGACAAAGAAGGCCATTACATAATGGTAAAGGGATCAATTCAACAAGAAGAGCTAACTATCCTAAATATATATGCACCCAATACAGGAGCACCCAGATTCATAAAGCAAGTACTGAGTGACCTACAAAGAGACTTAGACTCCCACACATTAATAATGGGAGACTTTAACACCCCACTGTCAACATTAGACAGATCAACGAGACAGAAAGTCAACAAGGATACCCAGGAATTGAACTCAGCTCTGCACCAAGCGGACCTAATAGACATCTACAGAACTCTCCACCCCAAATCAACAGAATATACATTTTTTTCAGCACCACACCACACCTATTCCAAAATTCACCACATAGTTGGAAGTAAAGCTCTCCTCAGCAAATGTAAAAGAACAGAAATTATTTAGAATTTTAAACACAAAAAAGTTATATTTAATTAAAATATTGTAGTGAAACAAATGGAAAAGCTAAGATGATGTTTATCTCAAAGTCCTTGCAAGAATATATGTTTAAAAAGACTGTGATTTTACAGGCTATAATACAATCACAATAAATATTAATTTTGACTGAAGTTATATCAAATATTAAAATTTTGACTATTGAAGCTTGCTCAGTTTTTAAATAATTATACTTCTAGGGATGTTAAAATTTACCAAATTTATGGTTCAATTTTTATTGTGATTGTGTTAGTCCATTTTCATGCTGCTGATAAAGCCGTACTTGAGACTGGGCAATTTACAAAAAGAAGAGATTTATTGGACTTACAGTTCCACGTGGCTGGGAGGCCTCACAATGATGGTGGAAGGTGAAAGGCACATCTCACATGGTGGCAGACAAGAGAAGAGAGCTGATGCAGGAAAACTCCCCTTTTTAAAACCATAAGATCTCATGAGACTTATTCACTATCACAAGAACAGCACAGGAAAGACCCGCCCCTATAATTCAATTACCTCCCATGGACCCTTCCCACAACATATGGGAATTGAAGATGAGATTTGGGTGGGAAAAAGCCATACCATATCATTCTGCCCCTGGGGCCCCTCAAATCTCATATCCTCATATTTCAAAGCCAATTATGCCCTCCCAATAGCCCCCCAAAGTCTTAACTCATTTCAACATTAACTCAAAAGTCCACAGTCCAAAGTCTCATCTGAGACAGGGAAATTCCCTTCCACCTATGAGACTGTAAAATCAAAAGCAAATTAGTTACCTCCTAGATACAATGAGGGTGGAGGCATTGGGTAAATACAGCTGTTCCAAATGGGAGAAATCGGCCAAAACAAAGGGACTAGAGGTCCCATGCAAGTCTGAAATCCAGCAGGGTGGTCAAATCTTAAATTTCCAAAATGATCGCCTTTGACTCCAGGTCTCACATGCAGGTCACGCTGATGCAAGAGGTGGGTTCCCATGGTCTTGGACAGCTCTGCCCTTGTGGCTTTGAAGGGCACAGCCTCCCTCCTAACTGCCTTTGTGGGCTGGCATTGAATGTCTGTACCTTTTCCAGGCACACAGTCCAAGCTGTGGATGGATCTACCATTCTGGGGTCTGCAGGACGGTGGTCCTCTTCTCACAGCTCCACTAGGCAGTGCCCCAGTAAGGATTCTGTGTGGGGGGCTCTGACCCCATATCTCCCTTATGCACTTCCCTAGCAAAGATTCTCTATGAGGGCCCCAACCCTGCAGCAAACTTCTGCCTGGGTATCCAGGCATTTCCATACATCTTCTGAAATCTAGGCGGAGGTTTCCAAACCACAGCTCATGTCTTCTGTGCACTTGCAGGCTCAACATCATGTGGAAGCTGCCAAGACTTGGGGCTTGCACCCTCTGAAGCCACTACCCAAGCTCTATTTTCGTCCATTTCAGCCATGGCTGGAGCAACTGGGATGCAGGGCTCCAAGTCCCTAGGCTGCACACAGCATGGGGACCCTAGGGCAGGCCCATGAAACCATTTTCTCCTCCTACACCTCTGGGTCTGTAATCGGAGGGTTTGCCACAAAGGTCTCTGGCATATCCTAGAGACATTTTCCCAGTCGTCTTTGTGATTAACATTCAGCTTCTCATTACTTGTTCAAATATCTGCACCCAGCTTGAATTTCTTCTCAGAAAATGGGTTTTTCTTTTTTATTGCATTGTCAGGCTGCAAATTTTCTGAACTTTTATCCTCTGCTTCACTTATCGAATGGAATGTTTTTAATAGCACCAAGTCACCTCTTGAATGCTTTGCTACTTAGAAATTTCTTCTGCCAGATACCCCAAATCACCTCTCTCAAGTTCAAAGTTCCACAAATGCCTAGGGCAGAGGCAAAATGCTGCCAGTCTCTTTGCTAAAACATAACAAGAGTCACCTTTGCTCCAGTTCCCAACAAGTCTTTTATCTCCATCTGAGACCAACTCAACCTGAATTTCATTGTCCATATGATTATCAGCATTTTGGTCAAAGCCATTCCACAAGTCTCTAGGGAGTTCCAACCATTCCCACACTTTCCTGTTGTCTTCTGAGCCCTCCAAACTGTTCCAACCACTCCTTGTTACCCAGTTTCAAAGTTATTTTCACATTTTCAGATATCTTTTCATCTTTTCCCTAATGCCCCACTCCACTGGTACCAATTAAATGTATTAGTCCATTTTCATGCTGCTTCATAAAGAAATACCCAATACTAGGCTATTTACAAAAGTAAGAGGTTTATTGGACTTACAGTTCCACATGGCTACGGAGGCCTCACAATGATGGCAGAAGGTGAAAGGCACATCTCACTCACATGGCAGAAGACAAGAGAAGAGAACTTGTGCTGGAAAGCTACTTATTTTTAAAACCATCAGATCTCATGAGACTTATTTACTATAATGAGAATAGCACAGAGGAGATCCACCCCTATGATTCAATGACCTCTTATTGGGTCCCTCCCACAATATGTGGGAATTCAAGATGAGATTTGGGTGGGGACACAGCTAAGCTATATTAATGATACTCTTATTTTGCTTTCTATTCAGACTTGAAATAGTGTGCCATCATAACATTTACTATAAAACATAAAACATAGTAAAATTTATAATTATTTTGTTATACTTATTAACACAATATAATTTAAACTATATATGTATATGAACCAAAAATTCTCACTAAGTGTCAAATATTAATAATCTTAAAAGCCATTTTAACATTGTGAGTGTTTGGGGTTAGTTTTCCTATTTCATGGAATGTGAAAGAATGTCACTTATAACATGAAAAATGTTAAGCTGTATCTTTAAAATTACATTTTAAAGCATTTGAGATTAATTCAATTTGTTATTCATGCCTTCTCTTTTAAATGCTGAGTGAAACAGGTGTTTTTACAGAATGTATGACAAAAAGGATTGGGATGCCCAAGGGTTATTTTTAATGAGATAACATTTGTTGACATTGCATGGAGCAAGTCTTTGTTGGTTCTGTTTTTTAATTAAGATAATAATAATTACAAATTTTTAAGATAATAATTATAATATTTAAAACTTTATAAGAAACTTTGAATAAATTTATTTTATTAGGAATACTAAAATTTCTTCTTAGATATAATACTGAGTGGGATTAAAGTACATTCAATTGCCTGTGATTAAACATGAGTTAGGGGAAAAAGGCTCAGAATCATTTATAGGCATGAGTATTTGTAAAGCATAAGAAAACCAAATTAAGAAAAAAACTCAAATAAATAATTAGCACAGAAGAAGTAATAGGCAATAGCAACTAATCAAAATAAATTTCATTTCAGCTAACAACCCATTGTAATTTGTGTTATTTTTATGAAGAAAAATTTTTAAATGTATTAATTGGTGATATAATTTTACTCATTAGTTCCACGTTCAGGTAGTTAACTTAGGAAATTCACAGATACAAATAATTTTATATTTATACACATGTAAGTATATGTGTGTGTGCATGTCTATATACTCCACCACTTATTTATTACATTTATTATAGAGAAAATTGATGACAACCTAAGTATCTAGTAATTACTTACTAGGTAAATTATACAGTAAGATTGTCTTAGAATTTATTTTCTCATGTATTAAATATTATACTTTTAGATATCTTAACTTCCACTTAAAAACTTCAATAGCAACAAAATATTTTATATTAATAAATGACTTATTTACTATTATTCTTTTTATGTTTAAAAATTTATAAATGGTTCTCTTCGGATGCATAGATTAAAAATTCCCAGGTTCTATAATAATTTATTAATAAAGATTGTCAGTAGAAGTTAAAACAATAGGGGGCACTAATTCTTTGCTTTACATTTCTGCATAAAATGCATCTGGGAGATACTGATAACCCAGATGTTCTTGCTCTCTCATCTTGGCTTGCATTTGCCTGCCTTTGCTGCTTATTAAACCATCCACCAACTTCCTATGCCCAATAACTCTCAAAAGAACACAAATGGATATAATAGGTGTTCTTTCTAAAATTCCTCAGCTTTCCAATATTCTGCATGTTAAGCAAGGGGAGTATTTGAAGCCAGATGTTATATATCAATATTTGTTATTTTGTCAGTTTTGTGCCCTGAGTATGCTCTTATTGGGCTCAGAGTGTGTAATAGCTCTCTTAAATAGTTTCACTAGTTTTATGACCCTTTTTCCAGTGGATAAGCAAACCATTTTCAAGGGATCAATGGTAGAACAAAAAACACCAACCCAGTTCAAACTTTTCTTTTTTTAATTAAAGTACGCTGCTCCCAAAATTTTATTTGCATGTATTGGTATGTATATTTAATTATCAAACATTTTATATACAGTCACGCATCACATAATGATGGAGATATGTTCTGAGTAAGGAATCATTAGGTGACTTTGTTGTGCAAACATAATAGTGTGCTTACATAAACCTAAATGGTATGCTTGCTACATACTTAGGCTATAAGGTATAGCCTATTGCTTCTGAGCTACAAACCCATACAGTATGTTATTTCATGGAATTCTGTAGGCAATTGTAACACAATAGTAAGCAGTTGTGTATATAAACATAAAAAAGATGCAGTAAAACTATGATGTTATAATCTTATGGGACAATTGTTGTATATGTGGTTTGAAATATTGTTATATGGTACATGACTGTAAATACAGAAAGAAACACATCTATATGTGAACATACACACAGACATGTATGCAATATGTATTTTTGTGATTTATTTAGTCTTTCAATTATCATTCAACTTTGAGATAAATACAACACTATTAATTATTTTACTGTTTTAATATATTGTGTAATATACAATTTATATTATAAACTTATTTTTGCAGTGCAATAGTTAATTTTGTGTGTCAACTTGTATAGGATGTGTAGTGCCTAGACCTTTAGTCAAACATTATCCTTGCTGTGTCATCAGGGGTATTTTTAGATTGGATTAACATTTAAATCAATAGACTGAATAAAGCAGGTTGCCCTTCCTAATGCGAGTGGGCCTCATCAAATCAGCTGAAGGTCTGAATAGGCTAAAAGGCTGATCTTCCCCCAAATGAGAAAGAATTCCTCCTGCCTCACTGCCTTCAAGCTGCAACATTAACTTTTTTCTTGCCTTTGGACTGAAACTGAAGCCGTGAACATTCCTGGCTGTCAAGCCAACCAGCCTTCAGACTCGAAGTATGCCATTGCCTTTCCTAGTGCGCAGGCCTTTGGACCCAGACAGTAGCCACATCATCAACTCTTCTGGGTCTCTAGCTTGCCAGCTCATCCCACAGATATTGAGACTTGCCAGCCTCGTAATTGTGTGAGTTAATTCCTTATAATAAATGGCTTCATATAGATATATATACACACCCATTGGTTTTGTTTCACTGTAGAACCCTGGCTAATACACGAAGTATGAACATAGCATCCTTAAGTTATGAAATTTGTTATTATATTAACTTTTTTGAGTAAACATAAAATATTTTCAATTTTCAAATAAAAATACTCTCATTAAAATGTTAACAGTTATACCTTTATTACAAAATAAAAACTAATTTTAACCTCTTTATAGCACTTCAAAATTTTAATCTTACAATATGTTTATCTCTTCATTTAGTGAGGTCTTGTGTTAGTTCCCTTAGAAAGTATTAGTTTTTTTCACATAGTTACTTGTATTTCCAACTATATATTTCTAGGTAAGTTATTTGCTGTTACTAGAATATTTTCCCTCATCTCTTTCTTTTAAGTAAATAAATCTTTAAAAATACAGCTCAACAGCCAAAGCCCTAAACTTTCTTTTTCTTTTTTTATTGAGATAGGCTCTCACTCTGTCACCTTGACTGGAATGCAGTGGTGCAATCTAGACTCACAGCAACCCCTGCCTCCCGGGCTCAAGCAATCCATTAACTTCAGCCTCCTGAGTAGCTGGGACTACAGGCATGCGCCACCATGCCTGGCTAATTTTTGTATTTTTCCTAGAGACAGGATGTCACTATGTTGGCCAGGCAGGTCTCAAACTCCTGGGCTCAAGTGATCCACCATGCCCAGCGAACTTTTCTCCTTTAACTTTTCTTTTTCTAGCAATGAACACTATCCAAAGTTGAAGTGGATCATTTGCATATAATATTCAGTAATTAACAAAAATTGGCATTAGTATTGCTTAAAAATGACAAACATTAGCGATTTCATTTGTCTCAGTCTTGCCAGATATAAGCAACTATTTTGATGTTTTTATTTTTTATTATTTTAATTTTCTATTTTTTATTTTTAAACTTTCATTTTAGGTTTGGGGATACATGTACCGGTTTGTGATATGAATAAATAGCAGGTCATGGGGGTTCGGTTTACAGATTATTTCATCACCAAGGTAATAAGCATAGTACCTGATAGGTAGTTTTTCAATCCTCACTCTCCTCCCATCCTCCACCCTCAAGTAGGCTCCAGTGTCTATTGTACCCTTCATTGTGCTCATGTGTACTGAATGTTTAGCTCCCCTTATGTGAGAGCATGCGGTATTTGGTTTTTGATTTCTTTGTTAATTTGCTTATGATAATGTACTACAACTGTATCAACTTTGCTCCAGGGGACATGATCCCATTCATTTTTTATGGCTACGTTGTATTCCATGGTGTATGTGTACAAAATTTTCTTTAACCAGCCCACCATTCATGGGCATTTAGGTTGATTCCATGTCTTTGCTATTGTGAATAGTGCTGAAATGAACATATGCATACACGTGTATTTATGGCAAAAATATTTCTATTTATTGAGTGAAAACCAGGTAATGGGATTGCTTGGTCAAATGGTAGTTCTGTTTTAAGTTCTTTGAGAAACTCCAAACTGCTTCCCAAAGTGCCTTAACTAATTTCCATTCCCACCAGCAATGCATAAGCATTCTTTTTCCCCACAACCTCGCCTGCATCTATTATTTTTTGACTTCTTAATATTAGCCATTTAGACTGGTGTGAAATAGTATCTCACTATGGTTTTTTATTTCCATTTCTCTAATGATCAGTGATGTTAAGCATTTTTTTGTATGTTTCTTTGCCATGTGCATTTACTCTTTGCACAAGGGTCTGTTCATATCGTTTGCTCATTTTTTAATAGGAATGTATGTTTTTTCAATTGCTGATTTGATTAAGTTCTTCATAGATTCTGGATATTAGATTTTTGTTGGATACATAGTTTGAAAATATGTTTTCTCATTCTGTAGGTTTTCTGTTTACTCAAGTGATAGCCTTATTTGCTGTGCAGAAGACTTTTTTCTTTGTGTTGTTGTTGTTGTTTTTTGAGACCGAGTGTCGCTCTGTCGCCCAGGCTGGAGTGCAGTGGTGTGATCTCAGCTCACTGCAAGCTCTGCCTCCTGGGTTCTTGCCATTCTCCTGCCTCAGCCTCCCGAGTAGCTAGGACTACAGGTGCCCGCCACCACGCCTGGCTAATTTTTTGTATTTTTAGTAGACATGGGGTTTCACTGTGTTAGCCAGGATGGTCTTGATCTCCTGACTTTGTGATCCACCTGCCTCAGCCTCCCAAAGTGCTGGGATGACAGGCGTGAGCCACTGTGTCCAGCCATCCTTTTAGCTTAATTAGGTTCCATTTGTCAATTTTTGCTTGTGCTGCAGTTACATTTGGCACTTATATCATGAAATCTTTGCCAGGGCCAATCTCCAGAATTGTATTTCCCAGGTTTTTGTATTAGTCCATTCTCAACATTGCTATAAAGAACTAACCATGACAGGGTAATTTATTTAAATAAAAGTGAGGTTTAATTGACTCACAGTTTCACAGACTGCACAGGAAGCATGGCTAGGGAGGCCTCAGAAAACTTAAAATCATGGCAGAAGGCAAAGGGGAAGCAGGCATGTCTTACACGGCCAGAGAAGGAGAAAGAGTGAAATAACAGGTGTTAAACACTTTCAAGCAACCAGATCTCATGACAACTCACTCACTATCATAAGCACAAAGGTAAAATCCACCCCTATGATCCAAAGACCTCCCACCAGGTCCCTCCTCCAACACTGGGGATTACAATTCAACATGAGATTTGGGCAGGGACATAAATCCAAACCATATTAGTTTACTTGTAGGGTTTTTATAGTTTTACATTTTACATTTAAGTCTTTAATCCATCTTGGCTTGACTTTTTCTATGGTGAAAGGAAGGAGTCCAGTTTCAATCTTTTGCATATGGCTATCCAGTTATCTTGCCACCATTTATTGGATAGGGAGTCCTTTCCCTGTTGCTTGTTTTTGTCGACCTTGTTGCAGATCAGATGGTTGTAGGTATGTGGCTGTACTTCTGGGTTCTCTATTCTGTTTCATTGGTCTGTGTCTGTTTTTATACCAGACTGTCCTGTGTTGGTTACTGTAGCCTTGTAGTATAGTTTATAGTCAGTAATGTGATGCCTTCAGCTTTGTTATTTTTGCTTCAAATTGTTTTGGCTATTTAGATACTTTTTAGCTTCCAAAGACATTTTAGAATAGTTTTTTCTAACTCTATAAAAAATGTCCTTGGTAGTTTGATAGAAATAACATTTAATCTTTAAATTGTTTTGTGCAGTATGGACATTGTAATAATGTAGATCATTTCCATCCATGAGCAGGAAATGTTTTTCCATTTGTTTGTGTCATCTCTGATTTATTTCTGCACTGTTTTCTGTTTTGTAATTATCATTGCAGACATCTTTCACTTCCTTGGTTAGCTGTGTTCCTAGGTATTTGTGTGTGTTTTTGTGTATGTGTGTGTGGGTGTGTGTGTATTGTGAATAGGATAATATTCTTGATTTTGCTCTCATCTTGAACTTTGTTGGTATATAGAAATGCTACCAATTTTTGCACATTGATTTTGTATTCTAAAACTTTGCTGAAGTTATTTATTAGACCTAGGAGATTTTGGGTATAGACTATGGGGTTTCCTAGGTATGAAATCATAGTGTCTGTGAAGACAAGTAGTTTGACTTATTCTCTTCTTATTTGGATGACTTTAATTTCTTTCTCTTGCCTTATTGCTATGCCTGGGACTTCAAGTTCTACCCTTCCAGTACTTGAATAGGAGTTGTGAGAGTCAGCATCCTTGTCTTATTCTAATTCTCAAGGGGAATGCTTCAAGCTTTTGCCTGTTCTATACAATGTTGGTTTTAGGTGTGAGATAGATGGCTCTTATTGATTTAACTTATGTTGGTTTGATGTTAACTTGTTGATAGTTTTTTAACATCAAGGGATGTCACATTTTATCAGCTATTGAGATGTTCATGTGATTTTTTTTAGTCCTGTTTATGTGATAAATCACATTTATTGATTATCATATGTTGAGCCAACCTTGCATCTCAGGAATAAACCTTATGTGATTATAGTGGATTAGTTTCTGATCTGCTGATAAATTTGATTTGCTTGTATTTTGTGAGAATTTTTGCACCTATGTTTATCATCAATATTGTTAGACTGGTCTCTTGAAGACAGTATAAGTTGGGTCTTGTTTCTTTATCCACCTGAAATTTTATTTTTTATTTTTGTTATGTCTCTTCCAGGCTTGATATCAGAGTAATGCTGGCTTCCTAGAATGAGTTAGGGAGGAGTCCCTCTTCCTCAATTTTTGGGAATAATTTCAGGAAGATTAGTACTAACTCTTCTTTGTACACCTGGTAGAATTCAGCTGTGAATCCATCTGCTCCAGGGCTATTTTTTATAAGTAGGTTTCTTTTAACTAATTCAATTTTGAATCTCATTATTGATCTATTCATGAATTCAATTTCTTCATGGTTCAGTCTTGGCAAGTTGAACATTTTCAGGAATTTGTCTATTTCTTGAAAATTTTTTTCATTTGTGTGAATAGAAATGTTTACAGTAGTCTCTGAGGGTTTTTTTTTTCCTGTGGGATCAGTGGTAATGTTCCCTTTGTCATTTCTGATTATTATTATTTGGATTCCTTCTCTTTTCTGTTAATCTAGGTAGTGCTCTATCAATCTTATATATTCTTTTCAAGAAACAGCTTTGGGTTTCATTGATATTTTGTATGATTTTTCATGTCTCCATTTCAAGCAGTTCAACTCTTATATTGGTTATATCTTTTCTTCTACTAGCTTTTCAGTCAGTTTGCTCTTTTTTTTCTAGTACCTCTAGGTGTGATGCTACCTTGTTAATTTCAGATCTTTCTTTTTGATGTGGGTGTTTAGCACTATAAACTTTCAACAATGATTTCACTGTGTCCCAAAGATTCTGGTTATGTTATATCTTTGCTTTAATTCACTTCAAATAATTTCTTGATTTCTGCCTTGATTTTATTGCTTACCCAAAAGTCCTTCAGAAGCAGTTTTTTTAATCATCATGTAATCATATGGTTTTGAGAGACCTTCTTAGTATTGATTTCTACTTTCATTGTATGTAGTCTAAGAGAGTGGTTTGTATAATTTCATTTTTTTGAATTTGTTGGGAATAGCTTTATTCCTGATCATCTGGTCAATTTTAGAGTATTTGCCATATGCAGATAAGAAGAATGTATATTGTGTTGCAGTAGGGTGGAGTGTTCTCTAGATGTCCGTTAGGTCCATTTGTTCAAGTGTCAAATTCCTGAATGTTCCCAAGTCCTAAATGTCATTGTTTTCTTCCTCGATTATCTGTCCAATAATGTCAGTGGGGTGCTGAAGTGTCTCACTGTTATTGCGTGGTTATCTAAGTCTCTTCTTAGGTCTTGAAGAATTTGTTTTATGAATCTGGATGCTCCAATGTTCAGTGCATATATATTTAGGATAGTTAAGTCTTCTTGCATTGAACCCTTATGTAATGCCCATCTTTGTCTTCTTTGACTGTTGTTGATTTAAAGTCTGTTTCATCTTAAATTAGAACAGCAACACCTGCTATAGTTTGTTTTCTGTGTGGTTGACAGGTTATTCTCCATTCCTTTATTTTGAGTCTATGGGTGTCATTACACATTAGATTGGTCTCTTCAAGACAGCATATAGTTGGGTGTTGTTTCTGTATCCACCTTGCCACTCTGTGACTTTTATTTGTAGTGTTTAGTCCATTTACATTCAAGGTTAATATTGATATGTGTGGATTTGATTCTGGTATCATGTTGCTAGCTGATTGTTATGCAGACTTGGTTGTGTAGTTGTTTTATAGTGTCAATGGTCTGTGTACTTAAGTGTGTTTTTGTGGTGGCTGGTAATAGGCTTATTGTTTTCTTGTTTAGTCTCTTAAGGGCTTCTCATAATGCAAGTCTGTTGATAATAAATTACCTTAGCATTTGTTTGTCTGAAAAGGATCTTATTTCTCCTGGGCTTATGAAGTTTAGTTTGGCTGAATATAAAATTCTTGATTGAAATTTCTTTCCTTTATTTATACTGGATTTAGTCCCCCAATCTCTTCTGGCTTATAAGATTTCTGCTGAAAGATTCACTGTTAGTGATAAAAGTAAAGTGTTTGGTATAATAATGAAGGGATTCAAACTAAACTTCTATCTTTTCCTCTCTGCATGATAATTTTTGTAGCAAGGTGTTTCCTCTGTGAAATATGAATAGTGATATCATCTCCATCATAGGAAGGTATAAGGCTTAAATGCAATAATATGTGTTTATAAAGTATTTAATTCAATAGTCTCAGAAATAATATGCATCTAAAAATCTTATTAGTGTTGTTATACACATCCACACGTGTGTGTACATAAATGTGTGTGTATATTTATTCTTTATATATATAAACCCTTCATATATATTCTTCATATATAAATAAACTGCAAAACCACATAATTCTCTAATTCCACTTACCATATGTGCATTAACAAGGTTGAGAGGCTGAGAAATTGAATGAGTTCTTTCCATAATCGAAAGAATTTAAAAAAAGTAGTTTTCTTCTATTTCAACAGAAGTCACTTGGGGAGACTTAAAAGCCATTTCATATGGAGTTTTGGGAAAAATTTTTAATAAATTAAATATAAAAATATGTAAAATGACTGAATATTTTTAGTAGTAAGAAGACAATCTATACCATGTATATAATGTCAAATAAGTTTTGTCCAGCAGTGTCAAAGTCAGTGATGCTTTCTTAGTTCAGAGGATTTTCAGATTTGTATGTAAATTTATCAACATCACAGGAAAATAAAATATTTTCCCCAATAAAAGCTTTCTTCATAGATATAGATGGCTTCATATATAAGCTTTATATATATATATATATATATATGAAGCCAAATCTTACTAGCCAAGAAAATGGGGAAAATGGCTCCAGGGCATGTCAAAGTTCTTTAAGACAGTCCCTCCTATCACAAGTGCAGAGGCCTAGGAAAAAAAAATGATGTCATAGGCTGAGCCCAAGGCTCCGCTGCTCTGTGCAGCCCGAGGGCATAGCACCCTGCATTTCAGCCACTCCAGCTAAAGCTGTGGCTTGTTTCAGAGGGTTCAAGCCCCAAGCCTTGGCAGCTTCCACATGGCTTTGTGCCTGCAGGTGCACAGGAGTTAAGAGTTGAAGTTTGGGAACCTCTCCCTAGATTTTGGAGGATGTATGAAAATGTCTTGATGTTCAGGCAGAAGTCTGCTGCAGTGGTGGAGCCCTTATGGAAAACCTCTGCTAGGGTAGTGTGTAAAGGAAATGTGGGGTTGGAGCCTCTACACAGAGTCCCCACTGGGGCACTGCTTAGTGGAGCTGTAAGAAGAAGACCACCATCTTCCAGAGCCCAGTAATGTAGATCCACTGACAGCTTGCACCATGCACTTGAGAAAGCCATAAGCACTCAACACGAGCCCATGAAAGCAACCACAGGGGCTGTACCCTGCAGAGTCACAGGGGCAGGGCTGCCCAGGGCTGTGGGGGTGCCCCCTTGCTTCAGTGTGTCCTGAATGTGAGACATGGATTCAAAGGAGAATTTGGAATTTTAAGATTTAATGACTGCCCTGTTGGGTTTTGGACTGGCATAAGGCCTGTGGCCCCTTTGTTTTGGCCAATTTCACATTTGAAATGGGAGCATTTATCCAATGCTTGTACCCTCATTGTATATTGAAAGTAATTAACTTGCTTTTGATTTTACAGGCTCATAAGTGGAAGAGACTTGACTTGTCTCAGATGAGACTTTTGAATTGGACTTTTGGGTTGATGCAAGAATGAGTTAATACTTTAGGGGGCTGTTGGGAGACATGATTGGCTATTAAATGTGAAAAGGACATGAGAGTTGGGAAGAACCAGGGGAAGAATGATATGGTTTGTCTCTGTGTCCCCATCCAAATCTCAATTTGTAATCCAAATTGCAATCCCCATGTGTCCAAAGAGAGACCTGGGGGAAGGTGATTGGATCTTGGGGGTGGTTTCCCCCATGCTGTTTTTGTGACAGTGATTGACTTCTCACAAGATCTGATGGTTTTAGAAGTGGCAGTTTCCTCTGTTTCTCTCACTCCTGCCACCTTGTTAAGAAGGTATTTGCATCTCCTTCAGCTTCCTCCATGACTGTAACTTTCCTGAGGCCTCCCCAGCCAAGTGGAACTGTGAGTCAATTAAACCCCTTTTCTTTATGAATTACCCATTCTTAGGTAGTATCTTTATAACAGTGAGAAAATAAACTAATCCAGCATTGGATCTAAATTTTACTACTTAGAATTTCCAAGCTTTGTAGCTGAGACTTTAGGGATCTGCATTTTATATCTGAATTATTCAATGCAGTGGTATTGGCCACATGTCATTATTGAATACTCAAAATAGAACTAGTCCAAATTGAGATGTGCTACAATTGTAAAGTGTACACATGTTTTTAAAGGCTTTATGAGAATAACATCACAACAATGATTCTATATTGATTAAATGTGAAAATGAAAATATTTGGGGTATAGTTATTTAAATAAAATATAATATTAAAATTAATTTCACTTTAATTTTATTAAACTGTGGCTACTATAAAACTTGAAATTACAAATCTGGTTTGCATTGTATTACTGTTGGATGGTACTGTTATATATGCTACAATAATTTTTCACATTCCTTATATTGTACATTTATTAATTCAATACTATTTTGAAGCATCTTTTACAAAAATAAATAGTGTTTTGAAGCTAATTTGTAGTGTTCAGCAATTAATTTTAAATTCTGTGTAAAAGTTAATAATAGCATCAGTTTTTATTGTAAAAATAATTGATGTTTTCAAGAGTTAAAATATGTTCTCATTTGTATTGTATCACAATTTTTAATATCATATTAAGTTGATAAATGTCACAGCTAATCATAAAATGAGAAGTATAACCCATGTTCAAGCCACGTTTTTAAGGCAGGTATAAAACTTTAATTTTAAGGACAGTTTTCAATAGATGTCAATTACTTCCACAAAAAATGTCTGGATTAGATCTAATTATTGACTCATTAAAATTTAGTTCAATTTGTAATGAAGAGAAAAACATTATTGATATAGTTTGGATATCTGGCATCATCCAAATCTCATGTTGAAATGTAGTCCCCAATGTTGGAGGTGGGGTGTCTTAATGGGAGGTGTTTGAGTCATGGGGACAGAATCCTCATGGAGCTTGGTGCTTTCCTCACAATAGTGAGTGAGTCTTATAAGATCTGGTTGTTTAAGTGTGTGGCACCATGCCACACTAGCTCTTGTTCCTGCTTTTACCATGTGACATGTCTGCTCCTTTTACATCTTCTGCCATGAGTAAAAGCACCCTGAGGCCTTCCCAGAAGCTGAGCTGATGCTGGTGCCAGGCTTATACTGCCTGCAGAACTGTGAGCCAATTAAACCTCTTTTTTTATACATTATCCGGCCTCAGGTATTACTTTGATGCGATATTAGAACAGCCTAATATAGAAAATTATTAACAGGAACAGGGTCTTACCATAAGGACACCTGAAAATGTGGAAGCAGCTTTGGAAGTGGATAATAGGCAGATTTTGAAAGAATTTGGAGGGCTCCGAAGAAGACAGGAAGATAAGGGAAAGTTTAGATCTTAAAGAATGGTTAAATTGATGGGACCAAAATGGCAATAGTGATACAGACAGTGAAGTCCAGTCTGAAAAGGTCTCAGATGGAAATGAGGAACTTATATGGAACTGGAACAAAGGCCACATGGGTTATGCCTTAGCAAAGAACTTGGCTGCATTATGTTCATGACCTAGGGATCTGTGGAAGTTTGAATCTCAGAGTGATAATACAGAGTGTCTGGCAGAAAAAATTTCTAAGCATCAAACACATCAACATGTGTTCTGGTTGCTTCTAACAACCTACACTCCGATATGGAAGCAAAGAAATAATGTAAAGTTGGAATTTATATTTAAACAGGAAGCAGAGCATAAAAGCTTGGAGCCCCCATATAGAGTCCCCAGTGGGGCACTGCCTAGTGGAGTTATAAGAAGGGGAATATTAATTCCCAGATTTTTGTTTGGTTCTTTTTTATAATATCAACCTGTGTTGGATTTTTCATTCACATCATATACTGTTTTACAGATATTGTTTTTTTATCTGTGTTCTCTTGTATCTCACTGAGCTTACTTAAAACATTATTTTGGATTCCTTTTCAGGTATTTTATAGATTTTCTTATCTTCGGGTCTGTTACTAGATAATTATTGTATTCCTTTGGAGGCATCACATTTCCATGCCTTTTTATGTTTCTTTTGTTTCTAAATTGATAGCTGTACACCTGATGGAACAGGTGCTTCTTTTAATTTTATAGAATAACTTAGCTTTCATAGGGAAATACATTTTTCTGTAGATATGTCCAATAGTGTCAGTTGGGTAGGTTACTTTGGCTTTGGTTGCGGGTGGGTACCAGAGTGTACTCTACATATGATTTCTTTAGCTATTGTCAATGTCAGTACTATCTGCAAGTACTTCAGCGGCCTATGCTGTGGTTGCTTGTGAAAGCTGTGGCATGGATTTGTTGAAGAAAAAAATGCAAGTGGAATGATCCTCAGTCTCTGGGGTGTTTCATCAGTGCAGGTAGGGGCTCAGCTGCTGGAGTGGGTTGGATGCCAGGAGTGGTGGGCTCAGATTATGAGCACGTTTTGATGTTGTTGTTTTTGCTAAATACTGAAGAGGATAAACTAGAATCCTTCTTCATGAGGAATATAGATATAACAAGAAGAAAATACCTGTATACATACATCTAATATGCAAGGCTTATTTATTTAAGTATCAGAGAAGTGATTTGGTTGATGAGTTTGGAGAAATAAGAAACCATATTCACCTGACTTGAAAAATATTTTAGTGAAGAATATTAAAGATGAACTAGTTATGAAAATTAAGTAGATTTTGACAGAAAAAAATATGTAATGAAATAAAATAGATCCACATTTGGTAATCAGCAAATAATTCAAGTAGAAATAATTTTCTTGTAAGTAGGAAGTAAAAACTAGTCTAGATAGTGAGGTTCCAGACTATGATGATATAAAGCAATTGTGGAAAATTTTATATTTTTTTCTGGTAGTATGAAAAGAGCCAAGCTATTGCTAGATTTATTTCATAAAATTATAAATTTTATAACAAAAAGATTAAATAAAGAGAGATATTTAAAATATCGTTAGCTATAATACTACTATATAAAGTGCACTAATAAGATCCTGAATAAGAGTGATGATATTGGAAATTGAGAAGTGGAAGTAAGGTATTCTGGATAGATAGAATTGACTATACTTGAGAACCAGTTCAGACCTGTTTCAGCAACAAGACCAGAATAAATATTGAGCATGGTTGGCTATGTTTTTTTACTCTTCAACGTGAGATTGATTTTACATTTCTAGTATATTGTATTAGGAATTTTAATAAAATTGCTAAGATACATATTTTTCTCACCTCCAAGACTTGGGACATTATGTTTTATGTATTAAATTTCTATTTATTTATTAAATGTTGAAGCAAGCTCAAATTTATACTGTGGTCATGAGAATAAAACATTTTCAATTTCGTTGCTGCCCTGATGTTCTGTCACCTTCCGAATATATTACTTTTTATTTTCTCTATATAAGACATTCACATTCTTACCCTTATCACAGTCATTTAAAATTAAGGTAGGAATGAGACATTATTATATGTAATCCACAGACCTCTTACAAATATCACAAATTTTCAGAAGTCTAAAATAATTAAATTCATAATTCCATATTGCATTTAGTTATCATGTCTTTTAGTTCCCGTCAACCTGGAACATTCCCCATTCTTTTCTTGACTTTCATGACCTTTTTAAGATTACAGGCCGTTTATTTTGTAGAGTGCTAATCCATTTAAACGTGTTTGATGCTTTTTCTAATTTGATTCACAGTGTGTTTATTTGGCAGGAATATCACAGCAGTTATGCTGCCTTCCTATTGCATCCTAACAGATGTTAAGTTTCAAACTGTCCCAGTACTGATGAAGTTCATTATGATTACTTCATTAAGATGGATTCTGACATGCTTTTTCTTTAGAGAGTTATTCTTATTTCTCATTTGTAATTTCTTACTTTATGGAAAAACACTGTGAAATTATATAATATTGCATCCTTTATTATTTTTAAATATATCAATTTTTAATTAATTTATGATTTTATATTTTATAAAATTTCCTCATTTTCAGGTTAAATTGTCCAAGATTTGGATAATGACAGCTGGTTTCTATGTCTTTCTGACATGGAAAACTTTCCTGGGAACTTTCTTCTGTCCTGGAGAAACAAGATGCCTCAGACTCATCTTGTATTTTTACTGCTTCAGTCCTCCAACCAGACATTTTGTCCAAGATGCCCTGGTTTGTTTATGGAAAAATATATTTAGAAGAGAAGATACATGTGCTATATGTGGTAGTGTGCTTACTACTCTTGGGATGTTACTGCTCCTAGACTGTTTTAGTGCACAAAGCTAGAAAATTTTTATGTACTGTATGAATAAATAGAAGTGCACATCTTTAGGTCTATACCTATTTCTCTATCTATCTGTTCATTGGACCATAACTTGAAAACCACAAGTTCATACTAATATTCCCAATTCTAATTCAATCCCAAAGGGTACATTTTATTCTTCCAGTTTCTGTAGTTGTAAATACAGGCTCTGATAATGAGACATTTAGTTCACATCAACTTATTTACTCATTTAGCCAATTTTTCATACGTAACAAATTTCTTAGCTTCACTTTGACCCTCCTCCACTACATAAATGCTCTTCTCACCCCAGTCTGACTCCCGTATCCAACACTAGGCTGAACGACCAGGGAGAAGACATTTTCTCCTCCTCCAGCCTCTAGAAAGGCCACCACTCTTCTCAGAAATTTCACTGGCCTTGCAATCTCTCTGTAAACAAAACCCCTGTGTGGACACAATTCTTATTCTGCTGAGACTTTAATACTGTAAGATAACATCTCTACCTACCCCAGTACTTAACAACCCACCACTAAACTTTAAATTTGGCAGAAATAAAATTTTCTACCACAATTCTCAGTTTTTAAGAAACCAAAATGTTGCAGTCAGCTTTGAAAAGACATGTCTTAATTCTCTTGCTATAGATAATACAATTTCCTTCTGTCTTCCTGTAATCGCCCAATGGATTCATTTTGCCTGCTGTCTAGACAGAGTCAATTTATCAAGATAAAGAAATTGCAATAGAGAAAGAGTAATTCACATAAATCTGGCTGTGCAGGAGACCAGAGTTTTATTATTACTCAAATCAGTCTCCCCAAGGATTCGGGATCAGCGTTTTCAAGGACAACTTGGTGCGTGGGGGGAAGCCAATGAGCCAGGAGTCCTGATTTGTTAGGTAGGAGATGAAATCATAGGAAATTGAAGTTGTCCTCCTGTGCGGAGTCAGTTCCTGAGTGGAAGCCATAAGATAAGATGAGCCAGTTAATCTTTCTGGCTGGTGCCAGCTGATCCACCAAGTGCGGGGTCTACAAAGTATCTCAAGCAGTGATCTTTGGAGCAGTTTAGGGAGGGTCGGAATCTTGGAGCCTCCAGCTGCATGATTCCTAAACCCTAATTTCTAATCTTGTGGATAATTTGTTAGTCCTACAAAGGCAGTCTAGTCTCCAGGCAAATGGCTAGGTTTGTTTTGGGAGAGGGCTGTTGTTATCTTTGTTTTAAACTATAAAAGAAGTCACTCCTAAAGTTATTTTAGCTTACACCCAGGAATGAACGAGGACAGCTTGGAGGTTAGAAGCAAGATGGAGTTGGTTACATCATATCTCTTTCACTGACACAGTTAGAATTTTGCAATGCTGTTTTCATTCCGATATCACTGTTAGTATTTCTCCTATGATATATTCTCTTGTAGTCATTACTATTACTTTCATCATCCTTACTCAACTGAAATCTCCTCTGTGACACTGGAGATGCCATATACTTTGTAGTTGAGTTTTTGTGGTATCTTACATAATGACTTATAACCAATAGAAGCTCAATTACTAACTACAATTTAGAACAATTATTATATTCACAAATAACCATTTGATTCTATGTGATTTTTACGAGCATTAAATGAATACAATCTGGGAAAAATATATAATGTAAGAATCTAAAGAAATCTATAGTTACTGTACGAAAAAATGTAAAAAATTTATATATTACCTTATTTCATTGAAAACACTTCTTTCATAGAGACAGAATATAAAAGGATCTTCCAAAGGAAAATACTATCAGTCAGTCCTAGAAAATAAATGGAAAATAAACCAAACGTATGTCAATACTAACGTATTTAAATGCTATTACATTTTCAAAGAGAAAATGCTTTTATGTTTGCAACAAAAGGTCAAACGTGATTTTCATTTAACTTGGCTGTCATCATAGACTCTTTGGCAGAAGCTTTCAAATACCATGGTACCATCGAGTTGAGTTTTAATAAATTTTGACAGAGCATTTTAATTCAGTATTTATGTATCATTTATAATATATTTGAATTCATTATCCAAATAAAGTAGTATAACCTAATTACTATAATTAGCTATACTAAACTATAACTGAAAATAGTTATCTTCTTTAACTACTATATATAAAAGTTTAGACATTATTTGAGCTGAATACACTTGTTCTAATAGATTTGTATAATAAGTAAGTAGGTGTGCATAAAGTATTTGAGAAAACATTTTTTTAAAAGCCCACTGATTTTTTAACTGTTTTGAACCTTTATACATATGGGACTCTCTTACCGTTATATACAAAACCTGCTTTATGAACTACAAAGGTAATATTTGCAACTTAGGACGTCAGACTGTTAAATCAAAATAATGCTAATGGCAAAAAAATATATTATATCAAATGACTATTAAACTCAATTTTGACTGAGGATGCCTCTGTACCTTAAGTCCCCACCAAAAAAAAAAAAAAAACTGCAACCTAACTGAATACGTAAAGAAACCAAAAGCCTAACTTAGGAGCAAACGTGTTTAACAACCAGCTGAGTCTCAGCCAATCACAGCAGCTGAGCTTCCACCATTTACAGGCTGTCAAATAATCTGAGCATGTTCAAATAAGGCAAACTTCAATCTGTAACCTAACAAGTAGTTTCTGCATCTTACTTTTCATTTTCTGTCTATAAATGCTGCCTGCCCGTGTGGTGGAAGGGAGCTCTCTGAACCTTTCTGGTTCTGAGGGCTGCTTGATTTGTGAATCATCCTTGTTTCAATTACACCCTGTCCAATTTAATTTGTTTAAAGATTTTCTTTTAACAAGACATAAAAAAGAACAATAGTCCCTATCTAACTCTTCCCTCATTCTTCCCCACTCTCTAGCCTTACTCCCCACAGCTAACTCCTCATATTTAATTATTTTAGATGTCACTTCTGGTAGTTGTTGCTGTATCTCCAAATATTATATTTACATTACTTGAATTTTTTTTTTCATTTGTGGAAGAGAAAAGGTTCTATAATGTAAAAAACAAAGCATTTATCAACTATGGCCATATTTACCTATTCTGTAAAAACAGGAAAAAACAATTCTAAAGAATTACATGGGATTACATTAAACTTCTGTAAAAACAGGAAAAAACAATTCTAAAGAATTATATGGGATTACATTAAACTTATTTGAAAGGTTCTTTGTCCATGAATTTGAAATAGACTAATGGGATTAGAGTTTATCCATTTTTTTTATGGAAAGAAAATAGAAAAGATTTCTTAATATTTTATGTTACTCTATGTTTACTAGTTTGGGGGGAATTTATTATCTGTCATATTATAGTTACTTGTGGCAGAAAAATGATAGTAGGCATTCTGCAAATGTCTGTGCTGTCTGTGCAGTAAAATATTTGGCCTTGCCTGAAGAAAGTTCTAGCATTTTCCTTGGCATCTGAGAAATAATCTCTGGGTCCTTGGAATGTCATGCCTGATAGATATATCTTTGTTTGACTGGGAGCCATGGGCCATAATATGTAGTCTTAACAAAGTGATTTAGGAAAGTGCAGGCCACACCCATATATTCTTAGTGAAGCATGCTCACTACAGAGTGACTCACTACAGCATGCACTAAGTGATGCTTAGCCTGCTCACTACAGAAAGACCAAAAATGTGACTTAGAGATGGGGTTTTGAGTCATACATCAAGTAGTCTAGAAGTTGAGATTTATTACACGAAACATCAGTCAATCAATTATGCTTATATAATTGATTGGAGCCCCAAAGAAATCTCTGAACACTAAGACTTCAGCATACTTTTCTGGTTGGCTAAATTCTGCATGTTCTGCATGTTGTGTCAACCTGAAATAATGGAAAGGATCGATCTAGTTTTAAAGAGTTTATTGAAGTAAAAAGCTGGAAATAACCATTTGGAAGACACCAACTTCAGAAAATGAGATCAGTATTTTGAAATTAAAAGTTAAGTTCCAGTTTATATAGGCAGAAAAGAAAGAAATTTAACAAGATTAAAACTTTTTTTATACAAAACTGGGTTATGAGTTACAACAATTAGTTACAGTTTGTTTTCTCTTCTGCATGGCTTGTTCATTTTCTTTTCAACTTAAAAGAATATATTTAGCATTTGATCTTAAGACAATGTGAGAGCCATGAAGTCTTTGTGTGAGAAGGGTAAGAGGAAAGTTAATCTATAATGAAAATCAATGGTGAAGATGGAAGGGGTCTTCCCTGTTTCCCTTCAGTAATTTACAGCATTTTATAAAACAATGCAAGTAAAAAGTAAACTAATCTATAATCAGAAAAACAAAGGTTACAGCTGCCAAGGTTACAGCTGCTTGTTATGTGACTCCTAATCACATTCCATAATCATATTCCTTTAACAGCATAGATTATGAATTGCTTATTTTCACAGTTGTCACATATCAATGCAGAGAAATCCACACATACCAAATCCATTGAAAGAAGAAAGAAGTAGCTCTGTGTTTGGTAGTTTTCTGAACTCTGTCCTATGTGTCTTTTCCTTTGCCTGATTTAAAATATATGTGTGTATATATACACATATATATATAAACATGTGTATATATACACATACATATGTGTATATATAATATGTGATACGTAATATATGATATATATAACATATGATATGTATATAAATATATATGATATATATACACACACACATATACACATATAGTTGTGTATACAAACACACACACACATAATGGTTGTATGCTTTGGGGTTGCCTGATCTTAACCTGTATACTTTCTATAATAAACTGTAACCATAAGTGTAACAGCTTTCAGGGAGTCTATAAGTCTTTCTAGTAAACGATTTTAAATTAGACCTGTTTGGGGGCCTTCCCTTCCCCATTAGTATTGCAATTAGTGTTAAAAGGAATGTCAGACTTGGGAATTTTTGCCTCCTAACTTAGCTGTTGGTCCAACTCTCTGCAATATTACAGCAATGTAAACCAAAAATAAAATTCTAAGCCCGCCAACGGACTAAATGAACCCCTCCTTTCAGCCAACGGCATTCCAAACAAACCTGAAAAATAGTTGCCATTATGAGAAGAGGGAGTGGACAGGATTCATTATACCCTCCACTCTTTGGAATTCAAGCACAATTGACCAGCAATAACATTAAAACAGAGATCTTAAGACTTACAAAACAGACTGTTTGTAGCAGTAAGATGCCAAATTCCAATCTGACTCTAGTATAGCAACAAATGATAAGATAGCAGGCCTGAAAGAAATCAAAGCAATTTACTCCAAAAAATATTTATTTGACATATTTTGAAATGTCTCTGCAAATGTGTCTCTTATAGGGAAAATTTACATTCTCTAGAGAATCACCTTCTTTTTCCAGGTATGTTTCTAATCCTGAAGAGATTAGCTGAGAGCCTAGCACCTTTTAAAGATCTGAATAGGACACATTTACCATCTATTGTCTCTAAGTGCAGCCATCTGAGGCATCACATACACCATAAGAACTTTTGTCTCTGCAACCCCTTATGTTAACCCAGACAGCTTTGCTATTGATTCTAGTTATGTAGATAATACCTTAACTCTTTTAACCAGTTACCAATCAGGAAATCTTTGAATCTGCCTGTGACCTGAAAGCCTCTGATTTGAGATGGGCCATGTTTCTGCACTGAAACAACATAAATCTTACATGTATTGCTTTAGTTTCTACTTGTAACTTCTGTCTCCCTAAAATGTATAAAATCAAGCAGTAACCCAACCACCTTTGGCATATGTTATCAGGACCTCCTAAGGCTGTGTCAGGAGTCATGTTCCTCACATTTGGCTCAGCATAAACTTCTACAAATAGTTTACAGACTTTGGCTGTTTTCATTAGCAGTAGTATACGTGAGAGACAGGACTAGCTGGATTTCCTAGGCCGACTAAGAATCCCTAAGCCTAGCTGGGAAGGTGAACGCATCCACCTTTAAACACGGGACTTGCAACTTAGCTCACACCCAACCAATCAGAGAGCTCACTAAAATACTAATTAGGCAAAAACAGGAGGTAAAGAAATAGCCAATCATCTATTGCCTGAGAGCACAGCGGGAGGGACAAGGATCGGCATATAAACCCAGGCATTGGAGCCGGCAACTGCAACCCCCTTTGGGTCCCCTCCCTTTGTATGGGAGCTCTGTTTTCACTGTATTTCACTCTATTAAATCTTGCAACTGCACTCTTCTGGTCCATGTTTGTTACCGCTGGAGCTGAGCTTTTGCTCCCCATCCACCACTGCTGTTTGGCGCCATTACAGACCCGCCGCTGACTCCCATCCCTCCGGATCCAGCAGGGTGTCCTCTGTTCTCCTGATCCAGCGAGGTGCCCATTGCCACTCTCAATCTGGCTAAAGGCTTGCCATTGTTCCTGCACGGCTAAGTGCCTGGGTTTGTCCTAATCGAGCTGAACACTAGTCACTGGGTTCCACGGTTCTCTTCTGTGACCCATGACTTCTAATAGAGCTATAACACTCACCACATGGCCCAAGATTCCATTCCTTGGAATCCGTGAGGCCAAGAACCCCAGGTCAGAGAACACGAGGCTTGCCACCATCTTGGAAGTGACCCACGCCATTTTGGAAGTAGCCCACCACCATCTTGGGAGCTCTGGGAGCAAGGACCCCCGGCAACATATGGAAATTAGAGGAGTTAGCCATATGGCTTTAAGCAGACAATAAGGGAAGAGTCCCTGGAGAAGCTCCAACCCACCCAGGTCATTGCCTAATCCACACATACCACAAATGCTTTCACCAGATGTTTTGTGCAGATGAGGGGACTTGCACATGGGGCTTCCCTAAACATGCCTGCAGTGGAAAATTCCATCTTTTGACACATTCACAGTAAGGGAAATAAATCAATATGGAGTAACACAGGCTAAGAGCACGCATGCGCACTGAAAGGATGGGGAGAAGCCTGCAGGAATTTTCACCTTATGCAAATAAGGAACCCTGCCCCATCAGCTTTTCTGTAAAAGCCCTTGTATTCAACTGTGAAATGGCAACCTGCTTTCAGGACCCCCTCTTTGCTGAAAGCTTTCATTTTGCTTAATAAATTATACTCTGCCCTACTCACTCTCCAGTGTCCACATGCCTCATTTTTCCTGGTGATGGGACAAGAACTCAGACTTAGCTGAACTAAGAAGCAGGAAGACCACAATAGAAATAGATATGGACTAACCAGAAAATAGCGTCAATAACAAAGTAGTAGAAAAAAAAGTGAGATCTAAATGCAGTTATTTTGATTCAGTGAAATTGTCAAGAATACTAAGGTGATTATTTAAGATAGAAGTTGCTATATTTTACATTTATAAAGCTCATCAGAAAGTATGGGATTTTAATTAGTTGAACACAGGAAGCAAGAAATTTCAATAGGATATAAAACAGGTGTCTTTGGTACTTTTGGAAATTGAGCAAGTTAATTTCATTTTTACTGTAAATATTGGAATGAGTTAGTACCTGCAAATATCAATGTTTACAGTTGAAATATTTAAGTTAACAAAAAGATATATACAACTGGATTAAATTCAGAAAATCATAATATTAAAATCAGAAATATAATTCATGGATCGTTTATGTTGAAAAAGAAAACAGGAGCCTGAGTATGGATGACCATGACAGTGAGAAACTGCTGGGGACCTCAGTCTTGGGAAAGGAGTTTCCACATTTCATGAGTTTTAACCAGTAGGACCCTCACCATTTCTCACAAGGAAGATCTGAGAAAAATACTTTTGAAACTCTGGCAAGGGAGGGAAGAGTAATCATTTTAAAATAATCCAAGTATGTTGCCTAAAAAAGGTCTACTCTTTAGGACAAAAGGCATTATCAGAACCTCATCCCCTCTGAGAGAAGGGTATTCTTTCCACTACAGCTCTTGCTAGCCTTCTTAGTCTTACAAGGGGAAATAAAAACAATGCTACAGGAAAAACACTTTCAAAAGTCACATCCAAGAGTCTACTTCAAAAAAAAAATAGAAAGAAAATCACACCGAAGAGATGCTGGAATAACAAAAAGGAGTTTTAATCACAATATTTCAGAAAGTTTCTCCTCTCTAAAACCTTATCCTAACACCTGTGCTTTAATATAAGAACAATAGATTATAGCTGAAAGTGCTCCACAATGGACTCCTTATGAAGAGTAGTTAGAGAAGCTCAAAATAAGAATGACAAAAAGCAAAAACACTAATGAAATGTGAAGTGTCTAGCACTAATGACTACAACAAACATTGAACACAGTATAATACCTAGCCAGATTAACATTTAATCTCAAACTAAATACCTATCTAACCAATTTGCTATTACCCACTACAGGATATCTGGCATATACGTGTGTGTGTGTGTGTGTGTGTGTGTGTGTGTGTGTGTGTGTGTGTGTTGGGAGGTGTATACATGCCAAAGTTGAGGAGGAAAAAAACAAAAACACATGAACACAGGCTGAAGAGGTAACACAAACATCAAGACCAGACTCAGATATAGCTCATGTGAGAATTATTACAGAATATAAAACAATTATGTTTAGCATGTTAAACGCTGTAATAGAAAAAAAGTAGATAACATGCCGAAAGAGAATTAATAATGTAACCAGATATATAAAAACATTAGAAATTATCATAAGAAAATGATGGCTCTAAAACAATGTAATAGAAACAAAGTCTTTGATAGGGTCACGAGTAGACTAAACACAGCCAAGGGATGGGGCAGAGGACTTGATGATATCTCAGTAGAAACTTCCCAAGTTAAAATGCACAGAAAATAAAAGGCAAAGAAAAGGAGCAAAACATCTAAGAGCTCTGGAACAATTTCTGATTGTATAACAAAATTAATTGGAAAATAGGAAATAGAAGAATTAAACACGAGTTATTTGATATCATAATGGCAAAAATCCAAAGTTCAGAACTGACAAACTACATATCCCAGAAACTCAGAGAACTTTAAGTAGTATAAATAGAAACAAAACCAAAAAAAAACCATACACTACACTTATGCATATAATATATAAACTTCAGAAAACCAAAGCGAAAATATGAATAAAAAGTCAAAGAAATAAAAAAGAAAACTTTACTTATAGAAGAACAAGTATAAGAATTATAGCAACTTTTTGTCTGAAACTATGCTAGAAGGGAGTGGAGTGAAATATTTTAAATGTTGAAAAAAACCAAAGAACAAACAACAAAAAGATGCCAAAACCAAGAATTCTATATCCTTTTAAATTTTACTACAAAAGTTCGGGAGAAATACTTAATCTAGAAGTATGATTGTACTTGTTTGAACTGTTTTGTGAATCTGGCCAAGCACACACTTTTTGCAGAACTAAAATAACTGGATTCCTTGTGTCAGATTCCTACCTGTGATAAAATCAGGCATAGCCTGGGAATGGTTAATGAAATGTGTAAAACATTGCTCTATATTGGTAAGAATTTTGGTTCCAATAAATGTGGAACTCGGCTTCACAGGAATTCTCAGAATACTGTTTTATTGTTCTGCCCACTTCTTGAGATACATGTATTTTTATTTTATTTTCATTTTTTAAAATTTTTGGTGCTCCTCTTTGCTTATTCCATTTTGCTATTTTTCATAATTCTTTAACTTCTTCCTATGTTTTCCAAGCTTCTTCTCATATACATCTGAATATTTAAAATACCATCTTAAGTACCAAATTTTGCATCTTTGTCCATTTAACTTAAAAACTTACAATATTTTCCACTACTGAAATATTTTAAAACTTGATTTTCCCCAGATTACTCTGTCAGCATTTTCTCCTGGTTCCTAATCTCTTTCTGCCTATGTTGCTTCATAGTATCTTCTTCCTTTGCTTACTATACTGATTTTGAAAATTTTCAAGGGTCTATATTTCATCTCTTTTTTGTACTACGCATCCCCATGTATTATGTCATACAGTCGTAGATTCAACTAATATGTGTATTACTATGATTCTGAAATGTATATTTCAAACCTAAACCTCTATCATGAGTTATAGGACAATATGCCCAAGGCAACTACAAAAATAGACTAACCATAAATTAAATAAAATATTAATAGAAAAAAAAGTTAAGTCCTAATAACACAAATCAGAAAATTGAGATAGGATGATGATATTGGTCCCAGTTTGGAAAGCTTCATGCAGGAGATGGGTAGTCAGGTGCATAAATACATTATTAAAAATATTAGGTAAAATTAAAAATATATTTAGCATAATGGAGTATCATAGATTAAATGTCCATGAAGTTTGCCTTCTATTGCCCTCTGCTCTGGCAAAGCTGTCAACTTAGTTACCTATAAAAGGTCAGACCTCTTATAAATCTGTATATAATATAAATTTATAGAAGTTTCCCCAATTTGTAGATTGTGTGTTAAGGGATAGAGGGATGGAGTAGAATAAGCTACAAGGAAGGCTGGAAAGGAAACTGCCCCAAATCGTGGTGCAATCCAGGGCCTAGAACCAGGAAAAGGTTTTGGTTGTTCTAATTCATGTAGACATTTGAATTACTTTAGAGACTGTACCGTGGTGTTGCAGCCTTGATGTACAATATTATGAGCCTTAAGAGCTATGAACTGAAAACTCACGTCTGAGCACACTATGTTGAGTGCAATACTGAGAAAGAAGAATCTTTAATGGTGTTTCTATCTTTTAAATCACAAAATTGATCTGTGCTGGCAGTTGGATCTGCAAGATTTAGGTCTAGTATGGCTCTGATTTGTTGGCCAAATGTTTGAGGACCACATATAATAGCAATACTGTGTGCCAGTAAGAAGCAATAGCTGCAGCAAAGGCAGTAGGATGATAAACAATAGAAATTTTCTTTCTTTGTCCTAAAAATTTGAGGCATTGTTTGGACTGTAAATGTTCATAAGCAGTAGAAACTCAGCCTTATAATAGGTTTATTTTTCTCTTTTAAGTACATTTTATATGACAAATGGAGCCATTCATATTGGATGTATATGTAAAATTAAAGAAACAGAGCATGCCTGTGAAAGATGACTTTTGTTAGAGAAAGATTCACAGTAATTATGCCTGGCTGGAGTTCTGAATAATTTATAGTATGTTTGCCAAGAGAACATGGCGGTAAAGAGTATGCTACTAAAGAGTAGGAAAATTGAACAAATGCATTAAGGTAAGAAACAGCATGATATATTGAGGGAGTATAGTGGTGATAAGATGTGTGCTTCAAAATAACAATAAATACATTTCTTCAAGTATCTATAGCACCAAAGCAGTTTCAAGCAAAGAGTAGATCATTAATAAATATATAATGAATGAATGAATAAATGAGCACATAAATTAATGGAACCTGGGGAGGGGAAATTAATCAAGTAAAACAGGTAAGAAAATGTTAATTTATGAAGTTTCTTATAGGCCATATTACTTTGGTTTTATCCTATAGTAAGAATTGTTGAGTTGTGATCAAGAAAGTGCTTACATTTTTTTCAAGGTTTCTATGAAGGCAATATGAAAGAAGGAATGCTGTAGCAACAAATCTCATAAATCCTTTTTTTTTTTTTTTTGCCAATTGAGACATTGATATGTGTCTTAAAAGGAAGTTGATTAGAGACAAAGTTTATTTAAAATTGTAGAAATATCACAAAATATCAAAATCACATATCTTATGGATCATCTTTTTGCTTCTTTAAATTTCTTAAATCAAAATGAAATTTAAAATAATGCAATCACAACTTAAAGTGTTTTAGTCTCAAGTATTTCAACATTAATTTTCTCATCTCTCAATTACATTTCAATTGCAAATAGCTTTATCTTGATTTGTAATTAATATTATATTTATATTGTGATAATAAAAATGAGTGTTTCGATGACTAAATCACTTAATATAACAAATTCACTACATAAATTTATATAATTGCTCTGACCAAAACTTATTTGTACACACAGCTGAAGACAAAATTGTCTTTGATGATGAGCCCATTTTATTGTAATGCTGTGCATTTACAATGACTTCTAATAAGTGACACTGATTGAGGAATAAAATATGATGCACACAGACCCACACACAATGAGCTTAGGTATGAGTTTATAGAAATTCAAATTTATTAAATATATTTTATATATATTATCGATGCAAAGTCTAATGCTTAGAGTGTTGGCATTGAAAAAAAACTTCAATTTTAAGGTCTCAGTTCACTCACAAACAATGGGCTTAATTGACTTTAAAAGAGTTAAACATCTTAGTTGTGATGTGATAAAAAACTATCGTGATGAAAGAAAGTTGCATAAACACATGTGAATAGTGATTACTCTGTAGAGCTCCTTAGCATCAGAAATGGGCATTTATGTTCAATGCTCAGATTAATTTTCATAGAAGATTAATCCAAAAAGTAATTAGTGAGGTTCAATAATGGTAATATTATTTTTACCCCATTTTATGCATGAAGTAAAGGTGTCTCAAAGACACTGGGTAATTTCTATGGTGCTTTCATAATTGTATATCACACGATTAATAGCAGGGATTTGATTTTAAGTTAAGTAGGTAGTGTGTCACATCCTATTGAGAAGACCTCCCTTGATCTCTAACTTCTAAATTAGTGCCAGTAATTTTATTTCTTGGTGCGATTTACTTTTCAAAATAAAAAATAAGGTTTCATTCTGCTATCTTCTACTTACAGTAAACTTGAGAACACATGCTTTCAAAGTAAACAATTTTAATTCAATTTTCATACAAACTAAATGTAATTAGAGGAGGAAACAATAAAAAATACTAGTTCATTTTGATCTAAATATAGTAATCCTATAACACTGCTGAATTCCATAAACTGTGGTCAGCTTACTAGTAATTTCTTAAGGACATTAACATTCCTTTTAGTCTTAGACTCTGAAATATATAAAAAAGATTTTAGGTTTACACAGAACAATGTAAATATTCAAATATGTGTAATGCAAATTTTCAAACTTTTATATGTTACTTACTGACTTCAAAGTAACAATTTTTGATATTTCAGACTTGTAATTTTTTAAGTTTCAGTCACTTAGGTTGTTTTCACCATGAGTGTTTGTGCCAATACCTTTCATCATTATGTTATGCCTGTGAAACTTAATGTAATTTGAATTATGAGACAATTTGTTTAAAACTCCAAATAATGTAAACAAAATCTTAAAAATTGAGTTTTAAAATATTAACTAATTAATATTTTACTTTGGTATAAAATCATATTAAAAAGAGAAATATTTTTATTAATCGTTTTAAACTCTGGAGAAATGTATTAAAACATTAGCTGTTTTCTCTTAAACTATATTTATAATAAATCTGTCTCTCAAATGGAAGAGGATACTCCCTGAAACTAATGACTTAGATATTTCTTGCTTTTTGCTATTTGAAATATCTCTTGGAAAGTTTTTGTCAAATTCCATGAAAAACAAAAGAAAGGGTAGGAATTTTAACAAAAATGTGTGGAATTTACAGTTCAATGTTTTTTAAAACATTGGGTTTTTTTCTATCATAAAATGTGATATTCCTTATTTGTCTTCCTTTATACTTGTCAATTGATTTTCATAGTTTTCTCCAGACATATATCTCTTGTATATTTTCTATGATATATTTTTAGAAACCTTAATTTTCTTCCCTTGTTATTTAAGTTTATTTCCTTTAAGTTACATTTTCTACTGTTTGTTAAAAATTAACCAACTTTTATATACTGATTTTTAAATTCTAACACCTTGCCTATCTCTTTTGATAATTCTAATAGTAAGTCAAGTAATAGATATTTTGTGTTGTTTCTTTGTTTTTGGTGTGTATTGATATGTGTGTGTAAGGCTGTTTCTATCAAAACACATTTCCCTGTCCAATTGTTGTATCTCTCTACACTTAAAAAGTTGTGTACTTTTCTATTTTATTTCAGTAGACAGAGGCTTCAAAAATTTTAAAGAGTAATTTTGAGTAACCTTATTTTATTACTGATTATGAGTATGCTTTTAATGTTTTTTTTCATTGAACCCTCTAGGTTTTGTGCTTGCTAATATTTTTTCAAAGTAAGCAAGTTTTATTCAATCCTTAATTGTGTTTTTATTCCGTGAAAAGTTTTTGAATTTCCTAAAATATTTTTTGTACCCAATGAAATAATAATTTGTATTTATCTTTCAATCAGTTAATATGATATATCAGTTAATAGGATAACTAACGTTGAAATGATCTCAAATTCCTGAAATAAACTAAATGTGGTAATGGTTTATCAACTTCACTCGTGGAATGAGGTGATAAATATTTCATTAGCATTTTGTCATCTGAGTTAAAATTTGAAACACATTTTTGTTTTTAATTTTGTCCTTATCTGGTTTTGATATTTAATTTATACCAAACTCATAAAATAATTTGAGTGGTAAGTATTCTTTGTCTCATATCTTAACGAAATACTATAAAATGGAAATAATCTATTTCTAGGGTATCTAGTAAAATTAATCTCCCTATCTATGTGGGCTGCTGTTTTGTTGTTGTTGTTGGAAGACACTTAATTACTCATGTAAATTATAATAATAGTACCATTTAGTTTTCTGTTATACAATTTTGTCATTTACACTTTTCTAGGAAATTGCAAATTATTAGCCAATTGTATTAAAATGATTTACAAAAGATTATTCTAAAATTCTTATTTTATATTTTTAGTGTCTCTGGATACACTGATGTAATCTAATATATTAATATATTGATATAACCTATATGTATTATTTTTATAATTATTTATGTGTAGCTTTTTTATTTATTACTTCAGCCAGATGTATTTTTTTATTGTTATTTTATACATTTTTATACAGGAAATTTTTTGGTTATATTCTTTTATTAGAGTTCTCCAGAGAAACAGAATCAATAGGATGTACATACATATATGTAAATATATAGACATAAATATAGATTTATTGTAAGGAATTGGCTCATGCAATTATAAAGTCTTCTAAGTCCTAAGATTTGCAGTTGGCAAATGGGAGACACAAAAAAAGCAGATAGTATAGTTCCAGTCCAAAGGCCAGCAACACAAACAAAAAAAGAAAAACAATGTCTCAGCTCAAAGACAGTCAACAGGTGGAATTCCCTTCTACTCACAGGAGGAACAGCTTTTTGCTCTATTCAGACCTTCAACTGATTATACTCACTCAAATTAGAGAGGACAATCTACTTTACACAGTCTACCAATTCAAATGTTAATTTCATCCAGAAACACCTCACAGACATATCCAGAACAATGTTTGACGAAATGTCTGGGTATATCATAAACCAGTCAAGGTGACACATAAAATTAACCATCACAATTCTATTTGTTTTCTGATTTTTTAATTTCTGTACTACATTTTCTAATCATGCCCTACTTTCTTTGGTTTTATTCTGTTTTTCTAATTATTTTTATGTTGGATTGTTAACTATTTAAAACATTTTTTTCCTTTCTAGTTCAATTATTTATTACTAAAATCGCTACTTAATATTGCTCTTCCAGATTCTCAGATGAATTACTTTTTTTCAAATGTGTATTAGTTATATATTGCTTATCTATTGCTAAAATAATACTGAATATCAAAAAAGCAAAACATGTCAGTGGCATAAAACAATAAATATTAAATTGTCGTGTATCTCTGGGACCTCTGAGGAAGCTTGGTAATTGCAGCTGAGCTGGTTCAGGTAACCTAGATTCAGCTGAGCTGGGTGGCTGTGTTAAAATCCATGGGCCAAGCATGGCATGGATCTTCATTGTGGTTTGAACTCAGGTCTACTCCACATATATTTATCCTGGGGCCTTGAATAAGACAGGGGTACTGGCGAGGGGAATCTCTTCTCATGACGATGGCATGAAGTTTAAGAGGCAACCCCAACTGCACAATGCTTTTCCATTTCCCACTTCCATGCATGAAACCTCCCACTGGCCAAAGCAAGTCCTAAGGCTGAGTGGAAAGAATACAAGTGAAAAAAACTCTACCCACCATAAGAAGCAGAGGAAGAGAAGTGAAGTTTTCTGAATTATAGTTAAAACTAACTTTTTTTGTTGTTTAACCATATTTTTTTTTGCCAGGCCAATGAGTTTAGAGAAGTACATTTTTTAAAGTTTTAAATGTATGTGATTCACATAATTTACACTTCTGTTATTAATATTGAACAATTGCACTTTGGTCAAAGAATGTGACCATATGATGTCAATTCTTTGAATTTCTTAAGAGCATTTTGATAACCAAAACTATGGTCAATACATGTAAATATTCCACATGTGCTGGAAAAGAATAAGTGTTCTTAAGTTATTCATTCAAATGTTTCATTAATGTCCATGGTCAAGCTCGGATTTTTGCTCTCCAGATCTTACAAAGCTGTTTTTTGTTTGTTTCCAGCTCTATGAGTTGCAGAGAAAGTATGTAAAAATCTCCAAACAAGTTTCATATTTTCATTTTCTCCTTGCATTTATCACGATGTATGTTTTCTGACTGTGTTATTAGAAACATGCAGTTTAAAGCTGATATATCTTCACATTCAATGATATTTTCTTCTATTGATTTGATGACAGTGCTGTTTTACAAACTATTTAACTGTTAAAGTCAATGATCATCAATAGACAATGAAACCCTTGGCTGACAAAGAAATGGAGGATTTTGTGATCATGATGTGCCAAATGCTAGTCACTGCTTATGTTGTCATCATTAAAAAACAACAACAACAACAAACTTTAAAATGAAGGGATAAGGTTGTAAGGTTGCAACTTCCTCAAGCTCTACCGATATAAGTCATCTCATACACCTTGCTCAAAACATGACATGATTGACATTTGTGGCATTATGGTTTAGGTCCCAATGTTTATTGGAAGTCTACAGGCATAGGGCCTAGATAACATTTTTATAACCAATCCATTTAGGATATAGATTATGATAGTTTGATAGGTACCTAAAATTATTTCTATTTATTTTAGAATCACAATGAGTTAAAGTCTGAAAGACTGAAAACATAATTTATTTGTACAAGGTTTATTTCAATTAATCTAAATTAATCCCCATTTTCTGACCAGAAACTAATACACAGAGAGGTTACTTGCCCATTCCCCAATCAGAAACTTGTAAAGCTAAAATTTTAACACCAGTCTGGCTCCACAGTTTTATCCACCACACTCTGCTACTTTTCTCATTTAAATATTTGTGTGGAATAGTGACATTAACGTTTGCTCTAGTCCTCTCTTCCTTTAGAAATTTTTCTAAATTCCCACACTAAAGAATAACTATAATTCTCTTCTATGTCTCAACACTGCTCTCTCTTTTGTAATAAAATTGCCAAATTATGTTTCAACATTTAAGAAAAGAAAAATTTGACAGCTATCTCACACACACTTCAGCTTGGAGGCAAATTATACATAATCGACAAAATGGCATTTTTAAGGACAGAGAATCTGTTACTTGGTATCCTTTTTTGTTTTTGATTATGTTTAATAGCTGAAATTGTAAAACACAACATGATGTACTGCCTGATAGCTGCTTAAACAAGCTTAAAAACAGCAAATTAATAATGGAATATTCTAATGTCCTGTTTCCTGTCAGTGAATCTCATTTTCAATATTTTAAGACATTTCTGAATATATCTAATACTTGCATCAAATCACTAACTTTTTACAACTCTCATTTTTTAATTTCTCATTATCTTTTTTCTGTTTTTTTGAAATGGTACTTGCCAATACTGAGTTGAGATATTTTCAATCCTCATATGTATTAATTCTTACACAGATAAGAAAATACCAATTATATCTACATTTATGTGTATACACATGTACACACACAATGATTCAAGCATTTATTATGCACTTATACTCAAATGGTCATTTTAAAATGTCCAAATAATTTATAGACTATTAAGTCAAAGTAATATTAAATATTTGCCATCTAAATTTGGCCTGTCTATTAAAGAACAGATTTTTAAAAATTAGGTAACTCTTTTAAGCTAATTAAAAATCTTAGAATGGTTTACACTTGGTTTCTCCATAATAATCTACACGTAATTACCTTCATCTATTTTACAACAATTAAACATACTACATAGTTTTTTTTATACATTAAGAATCAAAAGAATCAAGTCTAGGTTTTTTGTTTTTTTTTTTTCTTCATGATGGCAGACTGGAGGGAGTGTTAGCATGCTTCTCCCACTTGGAAAGACAAAATAGTATATAAAGGTTCACACCATGAACTTTTTTTGAAGAAGTAATGCAGGAACTTAACTGGAAAATAGAAAGAAATGACAGACCCTTTGAAAGAAGCAGCAGGCTGCAGCCTACACTGTACACCAGGAAAAAAACTTGAAGTCCCCAGAGTGTGAGAGACTGCCTCCAGGATATACACCCCCACCAGGAACCTGGCAATCCAGCCTACAGGGAAAGGCCTTAAGCTTTCCCAGCACTGGAAGTGATATAGAGAGTGGTGGGGAATATAAAGTAGAAGCAACAGTGCACATTCCCAGTCTGTAGTGCCAGACAGAAGGAAGCCATTCCTGATTCTACATCACAGGAGACCTAGCAGAAGTCTGCCAACTAACTTAGGCAGCAGTCACAGGTGGAGAGAAGGTCCGAACTGAAATTTGTAATATAATCTCCAGTGGGGATGAACACCCTTGGCCAAAACTACGGGGTGTGTAGGAAGTGTGCTGCAGCCAGGGATGCAGGAGCTGGTTGCCCAGGGTTTGCAGGTTGACTGAGAGGGACATGGCCTGAAAGCCACGGTTCCTGTCTCTGCAGCAAAGGCTTATGGCCTGGGGCAGTTTTGAGTTCTGAGTGTTCACTGCCTGGAATTTAGCTAGCTGTTGCTAGTGAACTACTGGGGGGGAAAGACCTGAAAAACTAACTTTAATAAATGAAGGAGAAATAAAATCATTTTCACAAAAACAAATGCTGAGGGAATTTGTCACTACCAGATGCTCTATGAGAAATACTAAAAACAGTTCCAAATCCTGAAACAAAAGGTTGTTATGCACCGGAATAGAACCTCTTGAAATCATATAACTCATAGGACCTATAAAACAATAATACAATGAAGAAAACTAAATATCTAGGTAACAATTAATATAATGGCTGGAATAGTGTGTCAAAATTCAATATTAACATTGGATGTAAGTGACCTAAATGCCCCCACTTAAAAGATACAGATTGGAAGAATAAATAAAAAATCACAAACCAAATATCCACTGCCTTCAAGAGATTCACCTAACAAGTAATAATTCATACGAACTCAAGGTAAAAGGGTGGAAAAAAATTTTCTACATAAATGGAAACCAAAAAAGAGCCAGAGTAGCTATTCTCATATCAGATAAAACAGACGTTACTGCAACAACAGTAAGGTCATTATGTAATAATAAAAGGATCAACCCAACAGGAAGATATTCCATACCTAAATGTATTATATACCTAACATTGGAGCTCCCACATTTATAAAAAATTTACTACTAGGTTAAAAATGAGAAATACAGCAACACAATAATAGTGGGGGACTTAAACACTCCATTGACAGGACCTAACAGATCATCAATCCAGGAAGAATTGCCAACAAAGAAACAATGAACTTAAACTACATTCTACAACAAATTGACATAACAGATATTTACAGAACTTTCTACCCAAGAACTGCAGAATACACATCCTTCTCATCAGCACATGGAACATTCTCCAAGACAGACCATATAATAGGCCACAAAACAAGTTTCAATAATTTTTTTTTTAAATGATGTAGCAGCTCATGCCTGTAATACCAACACTTTGGGAGGCCGAGGCGGGTGGTCAGGAGATTGAAACCAACCTGGCTAACAAGGTGAAACCCCGTCTCTACTAAAAATACAAAAAAAACAAAAAATTAGCCGGGCATGGTCGTGGGGGCCTGTAGTCCCAGCCACTCAGGAGGCTGAGGCAGGAGAATCACTTGAATCCTGGAGGCCGAGTTTGCAGTGAGCTGAGAGCACACCACTGCACTCCACCCTGGGTGACAGAGTGACTCCATCTCAAAAAATAAAATAAAGAAATCATATCAAGTGTATTCTCAGACCGCAGGGGACTAAAACTAGAAATCAACTAATAAACCATCAAAACTATAAACATACACGTAAATTAAACAATCTGCTCTTGATTGATATTTGGTTTAACAATGACATCAAAATGGAAATTAAAAAATTCTTTGAAATGAATGATAATAGTGACACAAGTTATCAAAACCTCTGGGAAACAACAAAAGTAGCGGTAAGAGGAAAGTTTGTGGCACTAAATGCCTACAACAAAAAGTCTGAAAGATCACAAATTTACAACCTAATGTCACACCTCAAGGAACTAGAGAAACAAGAACAAATCAAACCCCAAACTAGCAGAAGAAAAGAATTAACAAATATCACAGCAGAACTAAATGAAATTGAAACAAAGGAGATACAAAAGATCAATAAAACAAAAAGCTGCTTTTTGAAAAGATAAACAAAATTGACAGACCATTAACTAAATTAACCTAGAAAAGGAGAGAGAATATTCAAATAAGCTTAATTAGAAATGAAACTGAAGACATTACAACTGACACCACAGAAATACAAGATTATTCGAGACTGCTATGAACTCATCTATGCACACAAACTAGAAAATCTAGAGGAAATGAGTAAGTGCTTGGAAACATACAGTCCTCTCAGATTATATCAGGAAGAAATAGAAACACTGAACAAACCAATAAGGAGCAGTGAGATTGAATCAGTATTTTTTTTAAATGCCAACTAAAAAAAATATATATAAAAATACCTAGGAATATACTTATCCAAGGGGGTGAAAGATCTTGATAAGGAAGACTACAAAACACTGCTGAAAGAAATAATAGATAACACAATCAAATGGAAACACATCCTGTGGTTACAGATTGGAAGAATCAGTAGCATGAAAATGACCATTTTGCCCAAAGCAACCCACAGATACAATGCAATTCCTATCATAATGCCAACATCATTTTTTCATAGAATTAAAAAACATCCTAACATTTATATGAAACTAAAAACAAATCCAAATAGCTAAAGCAAGACTAAGCAAAAAGAACAAATCTGGAGGCATCACATTACCTGACTTCAAATTATACTACAATGCTATAGACACCAAAACAGGATGGTACTGGTATAAAAACAGACACACAAACGGATGAAGCAGAATAGAGAACTCAGAAATAAAACCAGTTACTTACAACCTCCTGAACTTCAACCAAGCATACGAAAATATAAATTGCGGAAAGGACTCCCTATTTAACAAATGGTGCTGGGAAAACTGGATAGCCACATGTGGAAGTATGAAACTTGATCCTTATCTCTCACCTTATACAGAAATCAACCCGAGATGGACCAAAGACTTAAATCTAAGACCTGACATCACAAAAACTCTAGAAGATAACCTAGGAAAAACTCTTCTGGACATTAACCTAGGCAAATAATTCATAACTAGGACCCCAAAAGCAAATGCAATAAAAACAAAAATTAACAAATGTAAACTAATTAAACTAAAAAGCTTCTGTAGAGCAAAATACATAACCATCAGAGTAAACAGACAACCCTCAGAATAGGAAAAAATGTTTGCAAATTATGCATCCAACAAAAGAAATATCCAGAATATACAAGAAGCTTAAACAAAACAAGAAAAAAAAAACAAATAAACTCCATCAAAAAGTGGACAAATAACGTGAGTACACATTTCTCAAAAGAAGATATACAAATGGCCAAGAAACATATGAAAAAATGTTCAACATCACTAATCATCAGGGAGATGCAAATCAAAACCACAATGAGATACCACCTTACTTCTGAAAGAATGTCTTAATAAAGTAAAAAAAAAAAAATAACAAATGTTGGCGTGGATGTGGTGAAGAGGCAATGCTTATACACCGCTTGTAGGAATGTAAATTAGTGCAACCTCTATGGAAAACAGTGTGGAGACTTTTTTTTTCTTTTCTTTTTTTTTTTTCTTTGAGATGGAGTCTCTCTCTGTCGCCCAAGCTAGAGTGCAATGGCGCGATCTCGGCTTACTGCAACCTCTGCCTCCTGGGTTCAAGCCATTCTCCTGCCTCAGCCTCCTGAGTAGCTGGGATTACAGGTGTGCACCACCATGTCCAGCTAATTTTGGTATTTTTAGTAGAGATGGGGTTTCACCATGCTGGTCAAGCTGATCTCAACCTCCTGACCTCGGATCCACCAGCCTCAGCCTCCCAACTGCTGGGATTACAGGCATGAGCCACCTCGCCCGGCCGGAGATTTCTTGAAGTGAAGGTAGATCTACCATTCAATCCAGCAATTTCACTACTGGGTATCTACTCAGAGGAAAATAAGTCATTATATCAGAAAAATACCTGCATGCATACGTTTAATTACAGCACAATTCACAATTGCCAAGATATGGAACCAAACTAAGTGTCCATTGAACAATGAGTGGATAAAATAAATGTGATATATATACACCATGGAAAACTACTCAGACTTAAAAAGGAATGAAATAATGTATTTTGTAGCAACTTTGATGGAACTGGAGGCCATTATTCTAAGTGAAATAACTCAGGAATAAAAAATCAAATACCGTATGTTCTCACTTATAAGTGGGATCTAAGCTATGGGCACACAAAGTCATACAGACAGATATAAAGGACTGTGGAGACTCAGAAGGGGAAAGATGGAAGGGGGAGTGAGGGAAAAACTACCTACTGAGTACAACATGTATTACTTGAGTGACAGGTGCACCAAAAACCCAGACTTCACTGCTGTAAAATTCATCCAAGTAACCAAAAACCAGTTTTACACTGAAAGCTATTAAAATTCAAAAAAAAAAAATTTTAAAATCAAGTCTAAGAATATGTATCTAGAGAAAATAACGTTGCAGCAATAGCAATATAAACATAATATTGATATAGAGCTATATAGTTTTTAGAACACATTACATTGTTTATCTCATTTAATGTGTACCATATTTATGTTAGAAAGGAATTATCTTCATTTGATCAAATAAAAATTTGATCCGATTTTTTTATCTTTAATTTTTATGGGTACATATGACAGATTTGAATTTTATGTCTTCAGACAACATTTAATATTATTTAAATTACACTTTATTTGCTTATCTTCTCATAAAAATATTAATGATAATGAATTAAAGTATTAAAATGTATTTATTTAAACCCAACCTATAAATGCAGAACCTCTTCTTTTCCCTGAAAAATACGCATCCTAATTTGGCTAGATAAATAAGAAAGTAATGAAAGAGTGCTGTAAAAGGAATTTCTAATATGACAAACCTGAAAGCTTAGAAAAAGCAGATCTCTTTTACACCTTTAAACTATAAACATAAAAAGCATCTGGAAATTGAATTTTCACAGTAGGGGCTGGAAAGGAAAAGTAAAAACATAACAATATAGTACTTAATTATCATAATTCACCCCAGGTGTTGAAATGCTGAGAAAAGATATATTTATGATGAGTATCAAAACTTGTATTCACAAGTTGGTAAAGAGTCTTGATTAAACATCATATGTATTATACAAGAAAGATAAAATAAAGCAAAGTTAATGTTTTCCAAGTACTCATTTCTTTTCTGATATTCACCTAAAAATAAACTCTTATATAGTTGCATGGTTATAGTCTGTTTACAAATTAGGTAATACATTTTTCTTAAAATCACACACACAGGATTGTTTGTTTTCTTCTTACTGATTTGTTTGAGTTCATTGTAGATTCTGGATATTAGTCTTTTGTCAGATGTACAGATTGTGAAGATTTTCTCCCACTCTGTGGGTTGTCTGTTTACTCTGCTGACTGTTCCTTTTGCTATGCAAAAGCTCTTTAGTTTAATTAGGTCCCAACTATTTATCTGTATTTTTATTGCATTTGCTTTTGGGTTCTTGGTCATGAAGTCCTTGCCTAAACCAATGACTAGAAGGGTTTTTCCAATGTTAACTTCTAGAATTTTTATAGTTTCAGGTCTTAGATTTAAGTCCTTAATCCATCTCGAGTTGATTTTTGTATAAGGTGAGAGTTGAGGATCCAGTTTCATTCTCCTACATGTGGCTAGCCAATTATCCCGGCACCATTTGTTGAAAAGGGTGTCCTTTCCCCACTTTATGTTTTTTTTGTTTGTTTGTTTTTTGTTTTTGTTTTTTGTTTTTTTGTTTTTGCTTTGTTGAAGATCAGTTGGCTGGAAGTATTTGGGTTTATTTCTGGGTTCTCTATTCTGTTCGACTGGTCTATGTGCCTATTTTTGTACCAGTAACATGTTGTTCTAGTGACTATGGGCATATAGTATAGTTTGAAATCAGGTAGTGTGATGTCTCCAGATTTGTTCTTTTTGTTTAGTCTTGCTTTGACTATGTGGGCTCTTTTTTGGTTCCATATGAATTTTAGAATTGTTTTTTTTCTAATTCTGTGAAAAATGATGGTGATATTATCAAAAAGTGGGCGAAGGACATGAATAAACAATTCTCAAACGAAGATACACAAATGGCCAACGAACATATGAAAAAATGCTCAGCACCACTAATGATCAGGGAAACACAAATCAAAACCACAATGCGATACTACCTCTCTCCTGCAAGAATGACCATAATCGAAAAATGAAAAAACAGTAGATGTTGGCAAGGATGTGGTGAACAGGAAACACCTCTACACTGCTGGTGGGAATGTAATCTCGTACAGCTGCTAAGGAAAACAGTGTGGAGATTCCTTAAAGAACTAAAAGTAGAACTACCATTTAATCCAGCAATCCCACTACTGGGATTTACCCAGAGAGAAAGAAGTCATTATTCAAAAAAAGATACTTGCATACACATGTTTATAGCAGGACAATTTACAATTGCAAAATCCTGGAACCAACTCAAATGCCCATCAATCAACAAGTGATTAAAGAAACTGTGTTATATATACGTATATATACAATGGAATACTACGCAGCCATAAAAAGGAATGAATTAACAGCATTTGCAGTGACCTGGATGAGATTGGAGACTATTATTCCAAGTGAAGTAACTCAGGAATGGGAAACCAAACATCGTATGTTCTCACTGATACGTGGGAGCTAAACTTTGCGGACACAAAGGCATAAGAATGATACAGTGGACTTTGGGGACTTGGGGAGAAGAGTGGGAGGGGGGCAAGGAATAAAAGACTGCAAATATGGTGCAGTGTATACTGCTTGAGTGATGAGTGCACCACAATCTCACAAGTCACCACTAAAAAATGTACTCAAGTAACCAAATACCACCTTTACCCCAATAACTTATGGGAAAAAAAACCGCACACATACGAAAGTCTTACAATAATTGCCAGAAGAAATGGTTACCATTCAGTAGCCAATTTATATAAAAATTTTAATAATCTTTCATTATTATTTCTATTGGTACTATTGAATACCACAGGTAAATGTAAACATAACATTAAATACTAAAATACACAATGCTGAAAACATACAGATTGACTAATGTCAAGAACTAATAATTTAAAGAAAAATGAAAAAATTACATATTCAATGTGAAATAAAAGAAATGGGTTGTTGTCTCAGAGCTTTAGGACAGCAATCTTCTAAATGATAGCAGTATTCTGTGTCTTTAACAAAGTAGGGTTACCCAAGTATGTTCACACACTGTGAAAATTGAATTGAAACTGTGCACTTTTTATGTTTCTATATTTTAATTCAATACCAATATTGTCATGAAATATAAGAAATAAAATATTGAGACTACAAAAGAATTACAAAGAAATTCTAAAAGATTTATTTCACATGAATACAACAATTCTGAAAAAATGTAAGGAAAAAATTCTCTGAACTCTTAGTCTTTAGATGGGCTGAATAACATTTATTATATGCTTTTGTGCTATTTGGATATATTACCAAGTGTATATTATACTTTAGATTTTTAAAATACCAACTTTAAATGTCTTCTGTTTATATGCTGAGAGTTCATTAATTGATTTAAAATTATAAAAATAGACATATGTTTTAACAATGACTAGATATGATTGATGCTATTGATTATTGTATAATAAAGTACACACTCAAACAGAGACACAAACACACACATACTGTCACCTGGTATGTTTGTATTCAAAGTCATTGTGACTGAACCCAGCACTAGAAGAATAGATTTTATGTCCCCAATATAGTGTAATTTAATAACTTCCATATATTTTTTCAAAACCAAGCAAGCTTTCAGAGGTCTGTGTTTTGTTTTCTTTTTTATGTATGTTAGCTATGTTTAAACATAAATAGTTACTGACAGCCAGGTAGATTGAGAAAGAATATACACATTGTCATGTTATTTTCAGGATTTTCTGATTGCAAATTTTTAGGATATTAGCATTGCAAATGAAAGGTGCAAATTTGCTGAACAATCAAATTTAGATATAATTGAAAATATCAGCATAATAACCTGCTACAATTTGCAGAGTATATAAAACATTACAATCACATTGTCTTATTCTCGTGAAAATTCAGCAACCAAAAATTAAAATTAAACTGTAGTTATAGTATCCAGTTGAGATTTTATAATTTTGTAGTAAAAATAAAAATAATTCAACACAAAATTACATTTACAATAATAGTATAAAGTGCAGAATGTTTCTATTTTATATTAGCAGTATTGTGAGTTATTTTTTTCTATTTCTTCTGATGGGCAATAATTCACACAAGAAATAGGAAGAAAGCTTAAAATTATTTTTTAGTCATTTTTTTCCTCAAGTTCACCACAATATGACTGCAAATCTGAACCCTCCTTGCTTTATAAGATGTAAACTCTAAAAAGGACAGAAATTAAACCTTGACATAAACACACAACACACACTTGGAAAGTGAAATATCAAAATTATATTTAAAAAGCATTAATATTTACACAAATTTAACATTTATTTAAAGGCACATTGTCCTTTAGTTATAGCTAGAACAAAAATTAAACTATTTTTTCCACTTACAAATTCAGTTACAATTTTACTAAGCCTTTCTTCATACTTTGCAATTATTGAAATCTCCTATATTGTCTTTCAACCAGACCTTATTTCAAAATAATCTCTATGCCATTTTTCTGTAGTTTACCAATAGCACATTATGAAGCAATATACACTTTCATAGGAAAAATTTTTAGTATCACTTAAATCAACTCTATTGCTTTTTGTCATTTTTATTAGTATCAAGATACAGTTTGTAAACTTTTATTTTGGTTTTTAGAAATATTGTATCTATAATTCTTATGTTGAGTTTTGATATCAAGGATGCTCTTGTATTACACAATGAGATAAAAAAATTTCTCATTTTTAATTTTCTGGAATAGTTTGTATATGAGTAATAACATGTCTTCTTTCGTTATGGTACAACAATTTCAAATAAAGCCTTGCAGGCCTGCTTCAAGTCCTAGAGTTTTCTTCGTAGAAAGCTATTTTTATTAAATTGTTCTGTATTTTCAATGGTTGCAGGAATAATTTGGTTTTCTATTTCTCTTTTAATCAGTTTTTATGGCTTATGTTTTTAAGAATTATTCCTTCTCATATAAAGTTTTGAATGTAGAGGCTTAAAGTTTTCAATAACATCCTCTTTAATTTTTGGATAACTGCATTTTCTTTTTGATATCTGATATTATTGCTGCAATTATTCACGGACGTACCTTCTCTTTATCTTTTTTCTTGTCGTATCACTGTTTTAGCCAAGTCTTGGTTATGATATCCAACTATGTCTATGGATTTGTTATTTTTTCTGGTAGTCATTATTCCCTAATATATTTTGAAAACAACACTAGTAAGTATTTATGTATCTAGAATTATTGTGTCTTCATGAAGAAATGAATGTTTTATAATTATAAATTATCTTCATTAATTATTTGCTCCCTATTATCTCTGTATAAAAATTTTATTAGATGTAGATTATATTTAGAAGCCAAATTCTGATACATTTATTTCTGCTAATTCTACTCACGGTAGGTTATTTTTATTTGAAATTTGTCATTTTAGAGTTTGAATTCATTTTAATATGGAAATCAGATGTTTCCTTAAGATTTAAGGGTCTGTCCTTTCTCAACAAGTTTGTGTTTCCATCTTCCTATCACCTGGGTGGATATCGTAGTTCAGGGAAATATTCCACGTTAATTCATTATATTGGGCTATCAATTTAAGCTCCAAAAACACCTAAGGAAAATCTATGGTTAGAAATTCTCAAAGGAGGCTTTTGAATTCCTAGTAAAAATCAGATCAGTCTGCTTTGTCCACATTTTTTTGCCACTGAGAGACATCTATTTGTCTGTGGTAGCCTGTTTTTAATAAATATGTGTACCCTTTATTCAGAAACAAAGCCCCTGTCCTAAGTGGAAAACTCATTTTCTATTTTCTAACTACCTTCCACTCAAGACTTCCTCTCCTGTAATTACAAGATAATGGGAAATAGTTGCCCCTGCGACATTGTAATAGGCAACCTCACCTCAAATCCGCCAGGACTTAACTCTTTTTACTGTTCCTGCTTCAGATTTCCTCTTTGTGTCCAGCTTTTGTGATCTTTATTCCTTGGTAATTCAGCTACAGAATTTAAAAAATCATCAATTTAATTCAGCATTTCTAGATATTTTGCATGGGATTTTTGGATTACTCATTTTGCAACGCTGCCAGTGGTAGAATTTTGTACTTATATCCATAAGCCATAAAATTATAACAGATATTTTGTGATTATTAAAATTTGTAAAACTTTATAAACTATCAAGAAAAGTGCCTAATACATTGTAAGCACTTTATATTAAATTCCCTTCACCTGGATTTGAAGACTGAGAACTTAAGACTTGCTGAGTTGTTCAATTTCAGTTAACAAGTATTTAAAATCCATGAGGTTATTTATTTGGGTTACCAAGATTAAGCCATTTTTTTTACTGCTATTTAATATAGACAATGGCCTTAATATTTCTTTAGACTTTATGATAGATTTATATTCACAAATTGAAATAGCTGTCTTAGTAAGATATTTTATTCTAATTTCCATAACATTGTATAGGTCAAAAAGAAATTTCTTTCTTTACCTATCACTAGGGGCAGGTCTAAGGCCCCTGTAACATAAGACAGATGAATAATAATATGAAAACATACAAATGTATTTAATATAAGCTTTATGTGGCAAAGGAGCCTTCAACAGGAAATGAAGACTCAAAGAAACAGAGAAATTTGTGTATTTTTATGTATAGGTTTGATGAAAAGTGGGCAGGCATGAAGAAATATTATTGGAGAACAAAAGAGTACAATATACTAGTAATACTAGTAATAAACCAGGGGAAACAGCAAAGCCTGTTTATTCAGAATGTCCTTGAGTCTCTGTGTCTTTGGCCCCTTTCTACTGGGCATATAGAGTGAACCTCTTGAATGACAATCTTATGATTTGGTTTAGGGGAAAAGGACAGGAGGCCTGAGAGTGACCTTCCTTAGATTTTTTTTAACCTGTATCAGGGGAGAACAGGGGAAGGTAAGAGTGACTTCCTTGCATCTGCTGTTTTCTCAAACAGATGCCACATTTGGGGATAGCATGTCCTGGCCCTCATCCATTGTATATTTTTCTGATTCTCTTTTCTCACATTTTAAGTCTTCAGCATAGTTAGCATGTGATTGAATGTGCAAAGAAGAGGTCTTGATAGACATTATCCTCCTTGAGTGAATTACATAAGTATATGCTTTTGATATATCTTAGTTTTCTTTTTTCTAAGAAGTATTGTATAATTAATAACCATAATGAATGGACTTCGTGAAATTTTTAATTGGTAATAGTGGTAAAATAATTGAGTTTGATCTTTTGAGAGTACCGGTTAAGGTACTGAAAGAATGCATGACCAATATATTCAAATGTATTTTTGTCACTAATCCTTAAAAGCCTTTTTGTGCTAATGTGTTACTGAAAGAAAATGTGTAAACCTTTTCATTACATAATGAGTTACACGCACATTTAAACTTAATTAATAGTTAATCTAATTCAGATAAATTTAGCCCAAAATTTCTGAGCAGTTGGTAGCAGGTAGCTTTGGGGACCCTGTGCTAACTAACTAGGTAAGTTTTATATTTGTTTACAGTTTCACACATGTTATACAGTAGAATTTTCAACTAGGCTGCTGATTAGTTTCAGACCATATGTTGGATACCTGAATTCTAGTGAAATGACAATAAATTTTGAATACTCCTAGAACTTTAGAGCAAATTAATAAGATTCCTTGATATGGGTGTATTGTTCCATCTCAATTTGGAATGATATTTTGATGAAGGTTTTTCTCTACTTTGCTACTCTAGAATCCTTTCAGAAATATGACAGAAACAAGTTAATTCATGTTTTACTAAAATTTCTCTTTCAGACATCTTCCTTTCACATCCATAAGCCAATATTAGGAACAATATGGACATATGATTAACAAAGAGAAATATTATGGTCTAGATCACAAAATCTATCCGTGTAAATGCTGTAGGTCATGCATAATGTCAACAGTTATCAAAGGAAAAAAATACATATCCTGAATAAAACAAATGTATTAATATAATGAAATCAATTCCAATGTGATAATTTTTGGTTTCACAGCATATGGTTTTACAAGTGTAGACTACACTGTAGAAGGAAAAAATGCCATATGTACTATACTTATTTGAGAGACCAACTACAGAAGTAATCTCTTAATTACTGAAGAAGTATAATCACCAGATGGGTTCTTCCTGCCTGAACAGACAAAACCAATTCACTATGATCATGGCATTGCAATAAAGAACGAGTTTAATTGATGTGAGTCTGGCCCATGAGAAAGAACTGAACTTATTTCTCACATCAGTCTCCCTGAAGGCTCAGAGGTTAAGGGTTTTCAATTAGAGTTTGGTAGACAAGTGGGTAGGGAATTAGTGCTGCTGATCCATTGGGGATGCCATCACAGGTGTGTGATGGGGTGCCACAAGACTGGTTGAGTTACAAATCACAAGTCCAGGTGGAGTTAGTCAATTGTCACAAATAAAAAGTCTAAAAAGACATCTCAAAAAGGCAATCTTAGGTTCTATAGTAGTGATATTATCTACGGGAGTAGTTGGGGAAGTTTCAAATCTGGTGATCTCCAGAAAAATGGCTGATTATCTTCTCATGTAACTATGCCTACATCTTAGTAGAATTTAGGCCCCTTTCATAATCCTAACTTTGTGGACTTTCATGAGTTTTACAAAGGCAGTTTAGTTTTGGGAAGGGCTAATATAAACCTGTCTTTAAGGTTAAAGCATTAACTAAATTTCTCCCCAAGTTAGTTTGGCTTGTGCCAAGGATGACAAACGACAGCTTGGAAGTTAGAAGCAAGATGGGCCAACTATGTCAGAGTTCTCTTACTGTGATAATTTTGCAAAGGTGGTTTCAGAAGTTGTAGTTTATAACTTTAAGCCAAAGAAGCCAGGGACAAAATTTAACAAAAATAAATAGAGAATGAGAAAGAAAGAGAAAGAAGGGGATCTGATAACACAATGATGCCAACTCTCAACAACTAGTTTAGGTGAAATATACAGAGATACTCACTGCTATTCATAAAACTACTCTGTATTTCTAAAACTTTCAAAGTATATTATTGGGAAAGTAAAGTTTACAAACATTAAAATAAAAAATCTAAACTATTGGTTCAGAATGCATTTAGGAGTAAGGAAACTATGAAAAATGAGTATCACAAAATTCAGGGCTGTGGTTCATTTGGGAAGAGATAATAAAATTGTCATCAAGGAAGGGCACACAGGGAACTTATGAGTGTTTTTGTTATTTAATTTCTTGACCTAGTATTGGTGTTTGCATGACTGTTCATTAATCTTAAACTGTACATATTTATATATATGTAAATCCTTAGAGAACTGAAACAAAAATAAAACTTATTTGAGACCCAAACATATGGTTTATTTAAAAATGTGAATAGGCTTCCCTTGCATAACAACAAAAAGAGCAAAATTCCTATTGACTCATAAAAAGGAGACCTTATTCTATGCTTTAAATAAAGTGCAATTGGCTGACCTGAGTCAAAACGGGGGCAGGGGGAGTGGGGGAGAGGGATTAAGATATACCAACCGGTGGAAATAATAAGTAAAAAGATTCAAATTCTAAAATTAGATAAAATAAAATATATGTTAAAAAGCATTAAATATAACAATTTTAAAGACGATTCTCAAAGACTATAAAGCAGTTATGAATTTTTGTGAATAATACAGCAGAAGATTCACATTATAAAGCTAAAATTACGAGAGGAACATTTATTAAAAACAGCAAAAAAGATACAATTCTTAGCTATAAATTTAAGAATTTTGCAAAACCCAAATGAGGAAAATTTTAAAATAATCCTAACAGATGCAACATTACACTTGAGAAAAGAAAAACAGTAATGCATCTCTTATTTTTGGCCAATTCCAAACTTACAAAAAAGAGCACAAGTTTTTCTAATTTGATTTCTAAATCTAACATTATCCTAAAAACAGTATCAGCAATGTATTTTACTAAAGCCAGATTAATTGAAACTTAAATTGCCATTATAAAAAAACTTTAGAAAATAGTAAAATAAAAAACATAGATTTCCAAAGGGAAGTTTAGTCCTATTAATATTAAGTCATAGTAAAGAACTACTATAATTAAAACAGTGATATATTGGCACATGCATACATAGAAATATCAGTAGAACCTAATTGAACATATAGAATTAATCTAGTCCATAAGGAAGTTTCATATATGATAAATGTGGCATTTTGCATCAATAGGCAAAGGCAAACTTTTAAAAATATAGGTTCAGAAAATGGAAAGCCATATGGGAAAAATGGATAAGATTGGATTGTACACAAGAACATTTACAAAAAGATAAGAAATCTAAATGTTAAGCATAAAGTCATACAAATATTTGGAAAAAATCTAGGACTAATTACTCTATAAATTGAGTATGAAAATAGGCTTTATACATACAACTTGAAACCATATGCAACAAAAGATTGATACTCTTAGCTTGATTAAAAATAATGATTAAAATATTTGCCTGGTGAAAATATCTTTAGGTATATCTGAGAGAAAATATTTATAAGACATACTATAGAAAGGGCCATATGCCTAACATATAACAAACCTTTAAAATAAAGAAACAATATAAAGTAAAAATTTTGCGGAAAATGAACATGGGCAAAAGACATAAACAGTGCATTCATTTAAAAATATCTGTAAAAATGACCTGGTGAAAAGTTACTCATCTTTACTAATAATAGGAGAAGTTCAAATTCAACCCATGTAAGAGAATTTGATATATGACAAACTATAAAATCACATAGGTATTTCTTTGTTAATTGAGGAATTCCCATTCTAGGTATTTACCCCTAAGCTATGCTTTCAACTATACAAAAGTACATATACATAAGTTATCCATGGCAATTGATATTTTTAATGGAAAAATATTGAAAGTGATCTAAATGCCCATTCATAAGGAACTGTTTGAAAAACTTTGGTTTGACGTACAATTAAGTACTATGGCTTTGTAGAAAAAATGAGAAAGATCTGCATGAAGTGAAATGGACAGATTACCAGGATTTATTTTTACACTGAAAAAGCCCAGCAAAGTATATATGATATTAATATACAATAATATATATAATGTTTTTTTGTGAAGATTTAAAAAGTAAGAAAGATAGCATTTACTTTGCAAAGAGACTCAAGAAGGATAAGGAAGAAATTAATGAATTTGGTTAGCTACAGGGTCTACATAAAACTAGAGTATAAAAGATAAGATAATATTACATGATTAGCATAATTTTGCATGCTATTGAGTTTTGGCAAGATATTAATGTTTTATATATTCAAAAAATAAGATTAAATCAACAAATATGTGGGAAAAACTAATATTGGATTTAGCTTTACTTCAAATGATTAATTACAACCACATTCAAGGAAAAAAAAGTGTTACAGGAACTCTTGAAAACCTTAATTTCATTATATATTGTCATTCACAAGTAAAAATAAATGCAAACTAATCTAAAACTCTAACTAGTTTGGAACTTTTTTTTTGATAGATGAGTGTTGCCATTCTGAAGCTATTTTATTTGTTTTGTAGAATTAAGCTAATTAAGTAAATATTGAGATGTTGGCAGTCAGGGCCCTCCCTATTGGAGAAAGAAGGTACAACACAGAATTGGGAAATACCAAAAAAAAAAAAAAATAGAAAAGAAAAGAAACTGTTGCGCTGAATTAGAAATTTTCCCATATATTGGGCTGAGCCAATGATTTAATTTTTCTGTTCTCTGCTTGCTGAAGGGACCTAGGAACCATGCTATTTAAGTAGCAATAACCACAGCTGGGACAGAGATATTGGTTTATAAATATCATTCATCAGTAAAGTAAACCTGAGTTTCCTTGGCCTCAGATAAATTTGTGACCCCAGGGCTAGGACTACATATATACATATATATATATATATATATATACAATATGACCCTCAAAATTCTTGAGCCAGAAAGTAAGGAAACACTAAAAAAAGAATTTAGGATCATGTGAAAGGAATATGGGAGTCAAAGGGAAGGGGCTACTACTGTCCAATCAGGCATGATTTGAACTTCAAATCATGAATAATGGTAGCAATACTATATAAGCCATTGAATAAATTACTAATCTATCAAACTATACTTATACATATGTGATAGGTAGATGATAAATCGAAATAAATAGATGGATTGGTAAAAGAGAAGGCAAAAAGTTTATTTTTAACAATGGAATGCAGTATAATGAATAGAGAAGAAATAATAGATTTAGAAAATCATTTTTCAAACATCAGAGTAATAAATGATTCAGGTAATATTTATCAATGGAGACAATGATCACTGGATAAATGAAAAATAGAACGTAAATAAGTATCAAAAATTGCCTCACACATTACTTAAAAAAGGAGGAATGCTTATTTTACCAAGGAAAAATCTGGTGGATACCAATATAATCAGATGATCAAATTTCACCCACAATAGTGAACTAAGAAAATAAAATCTCAGATATTTATTCTGTCAAAAATATGTAAGCTGAATATAATCATGCATTAACATTAGACAATTCAAAGTGAGATTCATTTTACAAACAACTGGACTGTACTCTTCAATATATATCAGTATCTTCCACACTGTAAAAAACCATAATAAAAAATATATCAGTATCATAAAAGAAAAAGAAAGAGAGAAGAATTGGTTCAAGTTAAAGGAAACTAAAGAGACAAGAAAACAAAATGAATTTTGTGATGGTAGATTGAATCAAGAATGGTGATAGATTCTATCAGGACCATCCATTCTTAAGACAATAAACAAAATTTGATTATGGACTTTGTACTAAATAATAATAGTGTGCCATTTTTAAGTGTCCCTAATTTGATCATCTGACTTCTATATAAACAAACATCCTTAGTATTAAAATATTTATGCTAAAGCATTTGGGGATAAGGAAGTAAAATGTTAACTTGTCTAAATCTGGATGCAGCTTATATGAGTGATCTTTGCACTTTTCTTGAAACTCCCCTATGAATTTGAAGTTATATAGAATATGAACATGAAAAAGATTTAGGCTGAAAATCAGAAACACAGAGTGGGATTTTTCTGCTCACTACTGATGCTGAGGAGACAAATACCCATCACCTCTTTTGGAGTAGATAAATTTTAATTTTTGAGGAGAATAGCAAACACTTTTAAAAAGTAGTTTTTCTTCCTAACTGTTGCCTAGTGTATGCTATAAATAATAAAGTAGACTGAAAAGAACATGCTAATCTTAAATCAGATCAATTGAATACAAAGTGGTACATCTAACAATTTAACTATTTATACTGTTTTATTTAAGCCTTATTTGTCCCAAGACCTTGTCTAAATGTCACTTTTTGTGCAACATTTTAGATAAAATACTTTTCAAATTATAACTTCTAAAATCTCAGAGTCAGTATTCATAATGTTTTCTCATATTTGCAAAACACATGGTTTTACATTAAGGATGCACAGAAGAAATTTTGAAGCAACTGTGGTCTATCGATCTAACAGGAAACTTAATGAGAGTTCACAGTGTGCTCACTAGATGATTCTTCTGATCAGTGAGTGAATCATGACTAAGTAAAGGAAGTATAAAATGTAGACAATCAAGTGAAGAGGTAAAGCTCTCTCAACATATGCAAAGCCCATATCTAAGGTATACTGAATAAATTCTGATAGTGACTGCTTAAGAAAAGTATTCATTTCTTTCTCTTAAAAACAAAATTCCACTTCAAGGAAATAAAAGTATGCCAGGTAATAGACAAGAAGTTTGTAACATAACTAAATTCAAGGCTACAATTTCAATCATGATTATAGTTAAAAACACAACCAGAATAATACTATATATATTATTTGGTGGTAAGCAGAGAAACTAATTTTCACCTCTGCTTCCAACATACTTGAACCTTTAAAATGAGTGTGCTCACTGCCACTCTGAGGAGGTGCTAGACAGTTGAGTTGTCGTACTTTAGGCAAGCAGGCCAGCCCCATATCCTTTGGACATTCCAGATATCAGCACTGGATATAAGAGCAGATGAGATAGGCTGGGAGACCAGTTAGAAGATGACTGCAATTACTGATAAGCGATGGATGAATACATATGCTATCTGTTCTGAGGTACCAGCAATAGGAAAGATTTCCTAGCCAGAGTTGCATGCACTAACAGAGCCATTGGAACTGAAGGAAACATGTGGGCTTAAGCATTAGATGTCTCCCCAACAGGAATCAATATAAATTGACAAACAAGGGCCTCCTCAATCATTTTGATTTCAGATTTCTTATTCTTAGAATCTACACAAATGATTTACCAGTATCAAACTACTGGGATCAGATTCACCAAGTTACCTATTAAAATTCAAATTCTTGATTCCCCTCCCCAAATATGGACTTCAAATATTTATGGTGGAGTCCTAAACTCTGCAATGTTTAAAAACACCCCAGGTGACACATACATACTAAATTTGGAAACTACTCTGCTATGTTCTACTGCACAAAGGATTCTTTCCTGGAGAGCTTATTTGTGGCGACTCCTAAGAGAAGCTAAACTTTTTCTCAAAAACTGTATAGATACCTCCTAGAAAACAAACGGCTACTTCATTCTGAATTAGGATAAAAAATAATGTAAAATGTGCAGTGTCCATAAAGATTATAAACTTCAGGAATAAGAGTTTGATAGCAAATAACCCAGTAGCAGTGAGAAATGGAAGAACAAGAACATGCCTATTTAGTAGAGTACTTCATTACGTTGAAGTTTCTAACTACAAGGAAATGGAAATGAAAGTGTAATTCTAAAACTAATTGTGTATGCTAGTAGTAGCTTAAGAAAAATATATTATTTCATGAAATTGCTTACCTTCAGGTTGCCTTTTCCAACTTTTTAAATTGGCACTTACAGTATGCTAAACTAATTGTGAGGCACAATTAAAGACTCCAGATGTGACTGTGATTTAGCTTGATGAAAGAAATTGTGAGACATTGATCATTGATGCTAATTTCCTACATTCTGCTCAAATCTTGGCAGTAACATGAGTAAATCCCACACAATGTTGCTGTACCATATTAATTTTTGTTCTTACTTTACTCAAATATCCACACATTTAAAATTAATAGATTTCTTCAGATAACAACAAATAGAGGAATCTATCAATATATATGTGGTTTGTCTGAACAAGAGTCATATACCTAGAATAAATTAGTAATAGCAACTGATTTATCTTTTTATAACTTAGGAACAATGTACATGATAATATTTTGTGTGTTTGTGTGTGTGCCCAGTTTGTTATTGTTGTCAAGTAACCTAAGATAAGCATTACAAGTGAATGAGGATTTCCACAAATGAATATTTGGATATGAGAAAATGTTCTTAATCTTTGAAGTAAATGATAAATATCTCAAATTATGATTTACATTATGGATTCTTAATCTATTTTTTTCTGTAACTAGAACATTGGGCATCATATGCATTGCATAATCAATCCAACGAAGAAGGGGGCAGATGGCAGGGATATATTGGCTTAGTCAGATTTGAGTTAAATGTAGCCTTGCCACTTACTAGCTCTGAAATCTTTGACACCAGGTATCTCCAGGTCTTGTATTTTCATCTATTAATAAAAATATTAGTATCTATGGGGTGTTAATGATTAATAAAGTATACAATACACGTTAACTGTTAGTCTGAGATTTCTATGTTTAACAGCCGGTCAATTCTTACAAAGATTATATGAGATAAGATAGTTAATAATAGAAAACTAAAGGCAGTCAATAATAGAAAAATAAAATATATTGGATTTGAATTTATTTATAGAAAAATCAGAGAGCCCAAGAGCAAAAAATCGTCTTGGGAGAATGACCTAGCCATGGTAAACCATAAGACAAGCTGGGAAGTCAACCAATCAGAGAATGTATTATCACTATATATCCAGATGAGAAAAAGTCACTAAGGAGTTGTCTTAATATTTTAAGATACTTTGGTACATATACACCATGGAATACTATGCAGCCCTAAAAAAGGACAAGATCATGTCCTCTGCAGGAACATGGATAGATCTGGAGGTCATTATTTTTAGCAAACTAATGCAGGAACAGAAAACCAAATACTACATGTTCTCACTTACTATATGTGAAAGCTAAATTATGAGAACATATGGACACAAAGGGGGAACAACAGACACTGAGGCCTGCCTACTTGAGGGTGGGCTGGGGGAGGAGAGGATCAGGAAAAACAACTACTGAGTACTAGACCTAGTACCTGGGTGATGAAATAACCTTGACAACAAACCCCCATGACACAGGTTTACATATATAACAAACGTGCATATGTACTCCTGAAACAAAAATAAAAGTTTTTCTCTTAAAAAAAAGATCTCTATGTTCATGTTTGTTCTTATCACAAAGTCTAAAAGATGGTGCTCAAAAATTCTTAAATTGATTTTAAAAGGACAGAGGCATTAAAAATAGTTTTTGTGTAACTGATTGCTGATGACACATATAGATATCTTAGTGATTAATGAGGGTATAGTCAGATACAAAATTTGTGGTAATTTTGATTACACACTAGTAGACAAGATATTTTCATATTGAAAACAAATTATATGATAATGTCATATGCATTGCTCTATAGCAATGTAGAATGAGAATCACAAAGAATATTCAATATGTCTTTTGACAAATTTTAAATAAGGTATTTGAAACAGAGGTGTTAGGATCCCAAATTCCAGTGAAAGATTTTGGGTATTTTTAAAATGTAATTCTTCCTTTTTAGAGTCCTTTAAAATCAGAAAATGTGAGACATTCATTTACATTTGTTGTTTTAACACATAAATCCCCTAATTTTCATTGTTTAAAATATGATTTTTTTTCCTTGGTCTATTAAAATCCAATCTGCAGTGTTGGGTGGGAGTTTCACAGAGTCATGTAGAAATACAGGCTGATGAAGGCTCTACCATCTTCAACAAGTACCTTTCAAGGTTTCCCTGTTGGCAGTTAATGACATTACCATGTCCACAGCCTCATGGAGCTTACCAGTGCTGTACATTTCACCCTGACTTCCCTCATCAGCATCCATATCATTGCCTCAGAGCTTTCTTTGACAATATGAATCCACCCTGCCTGCAAGAAGCAGGCTGGAAGTATTGCCCAGTAATGCATATCTTCAGTAGCAGTGCTCAACCAATGATTGATGAGAGCAGGTAACTAAGTACCCAATTTCTTTTGTCCCTTTTTGCGGGCGTATGTTCCACAGTGACACTTCAATTCCGCAAAGGTGTTAATCTTCAGTTACTTACTATGTTAATTTGCTTGATAAAATGCCCTTTATTGTCTGTCTTCCTTTCCTGAGTCTATGATGAAGAAAAAACTATGAGAAACTGAATATTCAATTGTCAATAAGGATCCCTGTATAGACAATGGGGCTAATGTGGGATTTGGAGGTTATATGGGAAAGTGTTTGTGGGGAAAATGACTAGAAAAAAATACCAAAATTAAGCATGCACATGATCATAATAAATGTATGTGTAGAAATTAAGTAAACTATAACTTAAAATAACTCAAATCTAATGTATGGTACAGTAAAATTGCTACATTAAGTCCATTTCATTTGGTTATATAGAAGTTAACCATGTTGCAATCATGTTTGTAAGAATGTACACACACACAAACCCACAACTACATCTTATGACAACATTTGCAAAATCTAGATGAAAAACATGGTCTTAACTCTCTAATCTTAGCATTTAATGTATATAAAATATCTGAAGTTTGTCTTGGAGTGAAGCTTTTTATAATCAATCTAGAAGGATGCAGAGGAAATTAATTCTAATTTACTGTCCAAAATAATATTTATATGGGCATGCCTAATCCAAGAAGTTACATCATTTTCAAGCGATAAGTAAAGGCAGTAACAAATAATTCCAAACGTGCATAATAAAAGCAAATAAAAATTATTTTAAATGTGCTTCCTAAAAATAATCATTTATACAAGGAATGAGTTTGTTGAAATCAGGAGTTTTAGGAATATGCTGTTATTATATATTCATAATACTTAAAATCAGGTAAATTGACAATTTATTTTTTGAATTCATGTAGAAATAATTTGGAGAACAAAACATGTACATTAGAGAGGACAAAAGATTTAGTATTCTTATTTTACCAACAGAATCCAACACATGTATATGGCTTACTCTATTATTTACACATTTAACAAAACAAAATAAATAATCAATTTCTATATTACATATGACCATGTGTGTTAATGTATAATATAAAAATAAATCATTCTTGCCTGTGCATCTGTTCTTATTTTGTTTTTTTAAAAAAACATATTCTTAAAGGAAGAGTTATAATTTTGAGTTTTTTTAAAGTGTTCATGCATACGTGTACTTTTTATATTTTTAAACTACTCTTCTTCTCTCTCTTAAAATTCTTTTAAACTGTTTTTTAATTATTTTCTGTACTTCTTTTCTTATTACTTTATATATTCATCTTTCTTACTAAACTCTGAACTTTTTGAGGATGCTCACTGTACCTTAGTCTAAACAGAATAGATGAATTAAATATGTCTCTGTGGTTTAGAAAAGTGGAATTGTCATTAGAGAAGTTCACACTACACAGTACTTCATTCATCATTCATTCATTCATTTATAAACTTGTATTAAGCACTAACCACAGGCTAACCCCTTGTGCTAAGAGCTAAACATATAAATATAAACTATGGAGCATAAGTTCTATTATGAAATCCAATTAAGTCTTTAAATAGTATTGAGCAGTGGAAAGATGCGTTTATTTGTGTTTATATAGAACAATTTGGGAGCAGTGAGTAATAGGATATGAGAGTAAAAAAATAAAGAAAAATGAATAAGCAGTGCATATTATAATATTCAAGATAAGGGAGTATGAGTTCCTAATACTGTGTATATTTGACACAAATATTATGAAGTCTTACTGTTATTGCTGGTCCACAGATAGCACCTCTAATGAATGAGACCTTTTACTATTCATGCCTAGTGTCATCTCCCATGACATTTAATCTGAGCTTGCCCTATGATTCTTTGATCAATAAAGTGCAGCTGAAGTGACTCTTTAATTTCCAAAAAATAGTCCTTAGAAGAACTAAAGTTTCTACTTTCATCTTTTAAAACACTTCTTCTTAAAAACCAGTCATCACACCGTTAGACATCTAAGTCACATAAAAAGGCTACATTAAGAAAAACTGTGTTGTTATCACCAACATCCATGGAAGGACTCCAAGCCAACAGCCAGCATTAATTCGAATCAAATGGGTGAAATGTCTTGAACATTCCAGCCCAGTAGAGACTACAGATAGCCGTAGCACAAGACGACAATGACATGGAGCAAAACAACCATCCAGTTGAGCCCCAATCAACAAACAGAATCATGAGAAATAATAAAATGATTGTTATTTAATCCAGTAAGTTTTAGAATGAATTTGTCATACGGTATAGACAGCCTAAACAGATATTGGTACCAGAAGTAGGTTGCTGTTGTGACAAAAAGCTAAAACATGTGGCATCAGCTTTGGAACCAGCTTTCAGGTATGAGCTGGAAGGGTCTTGAGGAGGATATTAATAAAGGATGAAAGGGAAAAGAAGAAATTGTTATTAGAGGCTAGAGAAAAAAGCAGATTGTGTTATGAATTTTTGACAGCAGTAGTCCCTGCAAAATGCAAAAAATAAAAGAAAAATGTATCATTGAATTTGTAGGTCTGACCAATAATATTTCCTACCTTTAAGAGAGAAATAACTCCTAGAGAGCCTCTTTGAAATTTGGAAATAATATATACAGTTGACCCTTGAACAACACATGTTTAAACTGCATTTATATAGTGATTTTTTTTCTGCCTCTGCTATTCCTGAGACAGTAAAACCAACCTCTCCTTCCCTTCTTCTCCTCAGGCTATTCAAAGTGAAGAGAATAAAGTTGAAACCTTTATGATATTCCACTTTCAATTAATCAATAGTAAATATATTTTCTCTTATGATTTTCTTAATAACATTTTATTTTCTCTAGCTTACTTTATTATAATACAGTATGTGTGTATATAAATATAAATATATACAATTTATAATTAAATTTTATATTTATAATTTATGTATAATTATTTATATATAAATATATATAGAAACACACATATAATATACGTAAGCTAGAAAAGTTGAGTTTATGAAAATAGAGAGTATGGCCAGATGCGGTGGCTCACCCCTGTAATCCTAGCACCTTGGGAAGCCAAGGAAGGCCCATCACCTAAGGTCAGGAGTTTGAGACCAGCCTGACCAACACGGTGAAACCCCATCTCTACTAAAAACAAAAATTAGTCGGGTGTGGTGGCGGGCACCTGTATTCCCAGTTACTCGGGAGGCTGAGGCAGGAGAATCCCTTGAACCCGGGAGATGGAGGTTGCAGTGAGCCGAGATCACTCCAGTGCACTCCAGCCTGGGTGACAGAGTGAGACTCTGTCTCAGAAAAAAAAAAAAAGACAATAGAGAGTAGAATGATAGCTACCAGAAGCTGGGAAGGATGCTGGAGGAAGGGAATAAAGAAGTTAATTAATCAGTACAAATATACAGATAGATAGAAGAAATAAGTTCTAATGTTCATTAGCATGGTACAGTGACTATAGTTAATAATATATTTGATATTTCAAAATAGCTAGAAGATATGAAATGCTCCCAATTCAAAGAAATGATAAATTTTTGAGGTGATGGCTAACTACCCTGATTTAGTGATTACATATTGTGAGCATGTGTCACAATATACCATGTAATCCATAAATATGTACAATTATTATCTATCAATAAACATAATTTTTAATTAAAAATACAGCATATAATAACTATAACATTAAAAAATGGTGTTAATTAACTGTTTATGTTATCAGTAAGGCTTCCGGTCAACAGCAGGCTCTTAATAGTTATATTTTAGGGGAGTAAATTTTATACACAAATTTTCAGCTGCGTGGGGATTGGCACTCCTAATTCTTGCATTGTTCAAGAGTCAACTACATTTCATTTGGGCATGTAATTCCAATGCCAGTTATGAGTGGGCTGTAGAAAACAGGTGATTTACCAAGTATAGGCTGCCATGTAGGCTGCTGTGCCACTTGTCCATGTTACCCAGATTTAAAGTTAACAAAGTTAGGAATGATGCTTGAAATGTTTGGTAGGTCTCATGGGTGAATAACAATATATACCTTTATAATTTAGAGGCAAAGCTATGCCATACTCTGCAGATTATTATTCACATGTTCAGAAACAACTCTGTGCTTGCTTTTGGGCCCTGGAAAATGTTAAACATTTGATCAAATTGGTGATTTTTTCACCAATTTATCATGAAATTTGAGTTGTTCATCATCAACCGGGTATTGTCTGACGTATGAAACCATAAAGTTGGGTGTGCATAGCAGCACCAGATATTCAAATTGAGGTAGTGTAAACAAATAAGACTCAAGCAATTACTGAAAGAACAAGTAAGTTGCATGATAAATTGCTCATGTCTCCAAGACTTCTAATACCAGTATATTGCCGTCCTTTTCGCAATAGATATTTATGGTCTGTAGAGAGTTTCTTACAGGTTTTTCCCCCTTTTCTAGGGGACAGAAATTTGTCCTGGTTTATAATAATTCCACATAATATTCTAGTGCCAACCAGTAGTAGGCATCTGCAGTATTAGCACCCCACTCAAGGATATCTCTTAATCAAAGTTTTTAGGGAAAATCCTCATATCACCCAGACAACCTTGTTAATTTAACCTGGAAGGAGAAATGACCAGAATTTCAGATCTACATTGACCTTCAGGCAGAGGCTAACAGTTTGGACTGAGCATTAGGAGCTTGGAGAAAACATAATTAGAAAGCTCTTGACAAAAATGACAGGTAAGAGGTATGTAGACAGACATTCCTAATAAAAGTGTCTGCATCTCCTGCCAATGTTTCAAAACAAACAGCAGAAGCAGAAGAGAACCTTAATAATCAAGTGGACAAGATAAATGGCTTGTTGAATGTGAGTCAGCCTCTCACTAAGCCATCCACCTTGCCTGATAGCTCATGAATAATGTGGTCACTGGAGCAGGCATGAAGGTTATGAATGGGCTCAATACCATGGACTTCTATTTACCACACATTATCTGGTTACAGCCACTACTGAGTGCCAAGCCTGCCAACAGCTGAGATTAAAACTTATCACCCAGTGTGCCCCCATTCCTGAGAAGAATATGTCATTATATATGTTTGTTACTTCTTTTATATATGTTTCATTATATATGTTTTCATTATATATGTTTGCTTTCATTATATATGTATGCTTTCATTATATATGTATGCTTTCATTATATATGTATGCTTTCATTATATATGTATGCTTTCATTATATATGTTTGTTACTTTTCTTTTTTTTTCTCATGAAAAGGACCTCTGGAGGAAGTCATGTTGTCTCATATGGCTATCCTAATTAATGAATGACAACAGAAAACATTACCTGGCTGTCTGACCTAATCTGAAAAACATTTTTTCACAAAATATGTGCAAATAACTCTAAAAGGTGCCAGAGCAGCTATCCAAGTTTTCAATTTGCTGCCTAATATGCATTATAATTTTACTTTAGCTTATTATTGGCAGTACCATGGAGTACTAGAGTTTATGACACCACCCTTAGCAGCCCAACAACGCTTTCTCAGCTTCTTTATACTTGATCATAAAGAAGCAAAACATATTATAACTAATTAAATGTCTAAAAATCTAATTCAATCCCATTAGCAATATCAACAGCATTAATGCATTCTACAGTCTAAATTCAAAAATAATTGTCCATTACATATTAGTTTATGTTGATGGTAATTTTATGGTGATAACAAACCTAATGAATTTTTAAAAAATATAATGAAGTATAGTATATATAATATAATGAATTTTTTAAAATATAATGAAGTATAGTAAAATAGAACAATGTAGTCCTTGAAATCTTCAAGCCAATTACTTTTTATCCTGTGACCTGTACAACCTCATACACATTGCTTAAATTTTTAAACCATTATATACTCAATTTTAAATGGGAATGACACATTTTGGCATACGATTGTGATAAGGAATGTACAAAATTACTTAGAATTTATCCTAAATAAATTGATTTTTTTAAAGTCAATCTGCAAAGTGTTCATGTTAAGACGTTATTTCAAAAGTTTACTATTACTCTTACTGCTAACATGGCTTGAGTGTTTTCTTACTAAGTTTATGTCTGTTATTTGCCATGGATTTTTAGGAGAAATTCCAATTTGTCTTAATAGTTACATGGTAAAGTTTTAAACTCTTTACTTAATTCATTCTTTAAAATCCTTCTATCTTTACTTTCAAAAATAAACATCTAATTATAGAATAACTTTTACATTTACAAAAAATTTACAAAGATATAATATGGAGAATTCTCTTCTAACCATATCCTGTTTTGCCTATTGTTAATAACTTACATTGTTAGTATACTGCATGTACCACTCTAGTAAACTGATATTAATACAAAATTATTAACCAAACTCCATAGTTTATTCAGATTTTCTAATTTTTACTTAATATCATTTTTTCTGTTCTGGGATCCATACAGGATACCACATTACATGTCGTCATTAGGTCTCCTTAGGCTCCTCTTGGCAGTCACAGTTTTGAAGACTTTCCTTGTTTTGATGACTTTGATCATTTTGAGGAGTACCGGTCAGGTATGTTTAGACCATCCTTCATTACAAGTCTGTCTGATGTTTACCTCATGATTAGACTGAGGTGTGGGTTCTGATGACGTTAACCTTGATCACCTGGCCTAGGTAGTGTTTGTCTGGTTACTCCAGTATCAAGTGACCCTTTTCCTCCATTCCATACTCATTAGAAACCATCATCTGGACACTATATGTGCTTACTGTTTCTCTCTTCCTATATGTGATACGTATATCTGAATTAATATTAAATTACAATGAACTCATACTGAAGTATCCAACCCAAATTGGTGCCACATGGTTCATTTAACTTTCCAACATGGTTTACCTATGCCCTCTCATGTCATGAGTCTGAAAGCTGGCTCCTACCATTCTCCATCCATTTACCTATTTGCTCAGCCTCAGCATACATGTATCATGTTAACACACACCTCGATGGGAAACAATTTTACCATCTAGAGTTCGGTGCTACATATAGTTCCTTTTGTCCTTAGAGTTTTGATATGGTTTGGCTGTGTCCGCACTCAAATTTCATCTTGAATTTTAATAATCACCAAGTGTAGTGGAAGGGACCCAGTGGGAGTCAATTTAATTATGGGGGCAGTTAACTCATGATAGTGAGTTCTCACGAGACCCAATGGATTTACAAGGACTTCTCTCTCTTTTGCTTGGCACTTTTCCTTGCTGCTGCCATGTGAAGAAGGATGTGTTTGCTTCCCCTTCTGCCATGATTGTAAGTTTACTGGGGCCTCCTCAGCCATGGTGAACTATAAGTGAATTAAACCTCTGTCCTTTATAAATTACTGGGTCTCGGGTATGTCTTTATTAGCAGAGTGAGAACGAATTAATACAAGTTTCCATTTATTTTCAAAATTACTTAGGTAAAAAACATTTTCCACAAACTCTAGTAAGTTAGATTATGTCATACATTTGTAATACATTTAAATTTGTCTTTAGCTCCTTAATTTCATCCTGAGGTTATTCAATACCCTAGTTGATTTTGTTCATATACATTAAGGTTTATTATTTGTACCATAAGTTTCTATGAGTTTTAACAGGATAGTGTCATGTATCTACCACTACGATATTGTATGAAATAATTTCCCCACACTAAAAATTTCCCATATGCTTCATCTATTTAACATCCTTCCCTCACTAAGCACATACCAATAGCTGGTCTGCTTTCTATATCTATAGGGTTTTGTTTGTTTGTTTGTTTTTCCCAGAATGTCAGGTAAGTAGGCTCATAGAGTTATGCATCTGTTTCAGACTGGCTTGTTTCACTTAGCAGCTGGCTTGTTTCGCTTAGCCATATGCAATTAAGATTTATCTATGTTGATCTGTAGAATGATAGTTCATTAATTTTTATCTCTAAATGGTAATTCCATTGTAGAGAAATGCCATCATTTGTATATCCATTCACTATTGAAAGGCATCCTGGCTAGTTTGATTTTTGACAATGAAGAATAAAACTGGGCTGGGCATGGTGGCCCAATCCTGTAATCCCAGCAATTTGTAAGGCCAAAGCATCAGGATTACTTGAGCTAAGAAGTTTGAGACCAGACTGGACAACATAGACCTCATCACTATATATTTTTAAAAAATAAAGTATATTAGACAGATATGGTCATGTGCATCTGTAGTTTTCGCTAGAGGCTGAGGTGGGAGGATCACTTGAGCCCAGGGGCTCAATATTGCAATGAGTTATGATTGTGTCACTGCACTCCAGCCTGGGTAACAAAGTAAGATCCTGTATCAAAAAATCATAATAATAAAATGGCTATGAACTTATACATGAGGGTTTTCATATGAGTTGGTTAAATTCCCAGGTATGCAATTGATGTGCTATGTGGTAAGATTATACTTAGCTTTGTGACAAACTGCCAAGTTGTCTGTCAATGTGACTGTGCTTTTTTTCACTTCCACAAGCAATACATTACAGTGTCTTATACCCCTCCTCTTAAAATTAGTATTTTGAATTATTTAAAAATTATTTTAGCCATTCTAACAGATGTATGGTGATATCTAATTATTAAATCTTTGCTTCCCTAGTGACAAATACAGTTGAACATCTTTTCAAATGCTTCCTTGCTATCTGCATAACTTCACTGATGAGTTGTCTGTTTAGATATTTTGCCCCATTTTTAATTTGGGCTTTTGTTGCTTATTGGTGATATTTCAAAGGTTTTTGTATATTCTTGATACAAATTCTTTATTAGATGTGCATTTTACAAGCATTTCTCCCAGTTTATGATATGCTCTCTATTGTCTTAAAAGTTTCTCTTAAAGAGAAAAAAAAGAAAGAAGGGTAAGAAGGAAGGAAGGAAGGAAGGAAGGAAAAAAGAAGGAAGGAAAAAAGAAGGAAGGAAGAAAAAAAGGAAGGAAAAAAGGAAGGAAGGAAAAAGAAAGGAAGGAAGAAAGGAAAAAGGAAGGAGGAAGGAAGGAAGGGAAGGAAGGAAGGAAAGAGAGAAAGATAAAAGAAAGAAAAAGAAAGAAAGAAAGAAAAAGAAAGAGAAGAAAAAGACAAAAACAAAGAAAATAATAAAATAAAATGTATCCAAATTTTCTTTCAAGTCTGGGTTGTCACTGTATATAAAAATGTATCCCCAAACATATATTTAAACAGATTTTCTCAATATTTTATACTGGAAGTTTTAGTTTTACATTTTATCTTGTATCTTTGATCCTTTTAGTTAACTTTTGTGTGAGTTGTATAGTCTAAGTTCTTTTTTCTTCTTTTGCATATGGACATCAAATTGTTTCAGAACAATTTACAAATGACTACCTTTTCTCAATTGAATTGCTCTTGTAAAAAATAAGTTGACTATATTTATATCCATCTATTCTGGACTTTCTATAATATTGATCGCTGTGTCTACTATTTAGCCAAAATAATACTATATTGATTACAGTAGCTTTATAGTATGATTTGGAGTCAGGTAATGTGGGTCTTCTAGCCATTACTACTTTAAATGTTGTTTTGTTCTACTCTTGTTCTTCTTCTGTTATTTCAATTAAAAGCATATTACCCCTTTTGATATTTTTATTCCTATTTCATTTTGTATTTCTGCTGGTGAATTTTCTATTGACTTTTCTTCAAATTCCTTAATTCTTGCCTTACTTGATGGGCTCAGGAAGTCATTCTTCATTTCTGTTACTGTGTTATTGATTTCTAGCATTTCATTTTGATTCTTTCATAGGATTTTCATATCTCTGATGACTTTCATTGCTCATCAGTTCTTGCATGTTTTCTACTTCCTACATTAGATCCTATAACACGTTAATAAGTCTTATTCTTATTTTAAATGCCTGTGCCAGTAATTCCAACATATATGGCATAACTGCATTTTGCATTCTGTTCTGTCTGTTTTCCTTGTCTCTTCAGTTTTTTGTTTTTGTTTTTTGGGGTTTTTTTTGCTTGTGGTATGAGGTAATTTTGTTTGTTGTTGTTGCTGTTGTTGAAAGCAGGTCATGTTATGTTGCATGAGCTAATAGATATTAAAGTAACTGGCTTTTAGTATGAGGATTTATGATAATCTGAGTTTGCGCTATGTTAAACTTTTGTCGTACCTGCAGATACCAGAGGCTTCAAATTTGTCTACAGTTCCTGTTTTTGCCTCACTTCTCGGCACTTAGAATTCCCTTTTTATTGCCACTCAAGAGAGTCTGTGTATTGCAGTTCTTTCAATGTAATCTCTTGTTGTTATACTGGACACTTACGGAGTAGGGATAGAATATGTGGGAGGGGAGCAGTCTATAATCTTTGGATCATGCCTAAGTCTTTAACAGGGCCTGTGTCTCAGGTGTTTGTCTCCACAAGTTTCTGTCTCTTCTTCAAGGATGTAGCTCCCACAGCCATATTCTCTAGTTCCTTCTCAGGTGCAGCTCTCCTCATTTAATTTCTTGAATTTCTGTCCCTCGGTTGCTATGATATGGCCCCCACCATTCGCTGACTTACAGAAGACATGAAGATTGAAACTGCCTGGAGTTGGGCAGAAATCATTTTTCTAGTTGCAATGAAGGTTCAGAATTGCCCTCTGAGAATTCATTACTCCTAGAAACTGAACCTTTGTTTGGGAGAAGAGGCTGAGATTTTCATGGTGGCTACTGTACACCTCCTCCTTTCAGGACTAGACAGATATTTTTCCCAGATCCTCACCAGAAGAACTGTTTTTGTTCCAAGAGAGAAAGCTATGAAAATATTGGGGTTTCCACATGACTATAACCCCCAGGAGTTTCTCAGCACTTAGACTCCAGCAATTTGTCAAAATTACCATTGAAAGATTCATACCAGTTTGTGGTGTTTAGTGGATTTTGCTCTAGATAAGCAAATCTCCAATACTGTATCTTTCAGAGTGCACCCATCTCTCCAGATATTAGGGGTGTAGTTTGCTATACAACCACAGTTTACTCAAGGATCCAAGAAAAGTGCACAACTCACTTCTCTAAACTTATCTCCATAGCTGTAAAATGAGGGGTTAGATTAAACCACCTCTAAGGTTCCATTCCACCTCTAAAAACCCATTTTAGCCAGTAGCAGACTAATTCTCCATCCCCAGTGACATTTCCTAAACCTCACTCACCATAATTCCTCTTGAAGAGCTGACTGTCTTCAAAATCCACCCCCCATATCTTCCTATTCCACAAGACCCCTCCAAAACCAGTTCAGAAAAATCAGTAAATCAGAAAATCAACAGTATGAACAAGCATGCCACAGAATCACAGAACAGTGACATTACAGTGATAAATTACAGTCCAGAGTTACAAGAGATTTCAATATATTTTTGAAAAATTTCTGGTCAATTTATTTACCCTTCACAGCACAAAAAAACTCAAACTCACTCAAACAGGGGCACTAAAATTTACTGAAAACCTACTCTGTACCAGGCATTTTATTAGGGGTTATGGGAATAGTCTCATTTTAATCTACATATTAACTAGAGAATATGATTGATAGCCAAAATGAACATTTCCAAAACCATGTACCCACAGTCAACAATTTCAACTCTGAACTTCAAATGCAACAATTTCAACTCCGAACTTCAATTTTATATATAAAATCAGCATGCCAGGTGTTGGCTTACACTCCTTGTGAGATGTTGCTACATCTCACTTTAAGGTGGGCGGCAATCCTGTCCCTCTTGTTTATTATCCCTTTCTTTTCTCCAGGAGCTCAAATATACGCCATGCTTTATCTCTGGCTTGTGATTTTTATGTTGTTCAGGTATTCTTATAAGGACAGGGGTGAGGACTTCCAATGCTTTTACAAGTCAGGACTCTTAGCCTACTGGTATGCTATTATTATTTGTAATTGCCTTTTAATTATTATTATTATTAAATTAATTAAATTTTATTTTCCTAATTGCTATTTTACTACCAGAAATATAATAGGTATATTCATATTCCTAAGATACACTTGTATTATAAATACACATATTTATAATAGTTTGTCAACCAGCATTTACAGTTTACCAAATAAAAGACATTAACTTTAGCATACAATCACTCCTTGTTTTTCCTGTTTTTTTCTTTTCGTTTATTTTAGTTCCCGTTTCTGTTTAATTTTCATTGTAGATAAAATGTTATTCACATAAATGTGTATTTTAATAGTTTTTGCATGCCAGTCTTTATTTTACCTATACCCTTTGCATTCTTTTTCTATATTTAGTTGGTTGACTACTTTTATTTAGCTATTGTGCTAGAAGGATTCTTTCAAATATTAATTATAAGTAATAAATGTTGTATATCACCGCATAATACATTTAAAAAATACCTTAAATTTGAATAATATTTTAATATTAAATTCTAATTTAATACGTTCTAAATTAAAATTTAATATTAAAACAAAAATTACATTCTTTATTTTTATTACATTTCTTATTTCTTAATTCTTATTTCTTAATATAGGCATTTACAACTATAAAATCTTCCTAAAATATTAATCTACTGATTTCTAGCCTACTTTATTAATTATGAGAGTTAGGCAATTAAATTAAACTTTATTTGCAGATATCAGTGTATTTTTCTTGTTAAAGTCCTGGAAATGTTTGTTTTTTTTTTTCTTCACCCTAAACTTCTACGTGTTCAACATAATTGGCCAGGTCAGGGCCTTTTTAAAATTAATTCAACCCATATTAAGTCTTTTCATTTGAAAAATTTGTAATTTTTTCTGTTTTAGGAATTGTCTTTTGTAGCTCTTGGTTATTTCTTCTCCTCTATTTTTAATTCTTCTTCCTTTCTGGAGATCCACACAGAATATAGGAAAATCATATAGAAACTTTTTTTCCTTATCCTTTATTTACTTATACTCTAGTACCACAGTGATATTTTGTAGTCTTTTATGTATTGATGTCCTGGGTAAATGTTCAACTGACCTATTTCTTGGTCTAACTGGAGACAGGAATAATAGGTAAGTGTCAAGTCTAGTCTAGTCCTGTGGTCCATCCCAACACTCAGATGTCCATGCATTCTGGCTTAAATGTGTCACGTGTATATTTCACTAGTATGAATTAAAATTATATAAAAATGCCTACATATTGAAGTGAATGTAATTTTTTAAATTATCGCAATTTCATCTTTTCCTACATATTTTCAATGTTTTATTCATTATTTTTAAATATACATTTTAGCAGATATATACTAAAAATGGTTGAAAGTATATGAAGCATTATAACCTTTCCAAACAATTAACACTTCCACTGATAATTTTTCTATGAAGAATTAATAAGAAAATTCTGGATTTTTGTCATATAAAATAGTTATTAGTTTCACTAGTACTATTATAATCTATGAAGTAGAGGGCCGGGCATACTGGCTCACACCTGTAATCACAGCACTTTGGAAAGCTGAGGTGGAAGGATTGCTTGAGGCCAGGAGTTCGAGACTAGCCTGGGTAACACAGTGATACCCTGTCTCTACAAAAAGATTGTTTTTTAAAATTCAGCCAGGCATGATGGCACTCACCTGTAGTAGCCACTTGGGAGGCTAAGGTATGGAGATGGCTTGAGCTCAGGATTTCAAGGGTACAGGGAATTATGACTGTGCCACTCCACTCCGGCCTGGGCAACAGAGCAAGACTGTCTCTATTAAAAAAAAAAAAAAAAGGAAAGATTTGGACAAAATGTAAAATGAAAAGGCATGATGAGCACCCTTAACAGACTTTCATTGTTGTATATACTTAATTGAAAATATTACCCTAGAAATACAATAATATTTCATGAATAAAAGCTTAAGATCTATACTCATTTAGAGAATTATAACTATTATTCTCAAAATAATCAAACTTTTATCTGCCTGGATATTCCTGTTTTCCAAAACAGCTGTACTGTTCTACATTCCCATAGCCAAGTATGAGGGTTCTAATGTCTCTACATCCTTGTCAACACTGCTAATATCTGTCTTTTAAAATTATAGCCACCCTAGTGGTTATGAAGTGGTATATAATTATGGTTTTGATTTGCATTTCCTTCATGATAATGATGTTGAACATTTTTTATGTGCTTATTGGACATTTGCATATCTTCTCTGGAGAAGTATCTATCAGATCATTTGCCCATTTTTAACTGGGTTAATGAGTTGAAATGTTTTTAAATTTCTTAGTACAGGCATTTACAATTATAAAATTCCTGCTAAGCACTGCTTCTACTGCATCCCTAAGTTTTGGTATGCTGTGTCCCTATTTCCATTCACCTTAAGTGGTTTTCTGATTACTTCTCATTTCTTCTTTGATTCGTTGGTTATTTAGGAGTGTCTGGTTTTACTTACACATATTTGTAATTTTCCCAAATTTTCTCCTGTTACCGATTTCTAATATCATTCCATTACTGTCAAAAAGTACTTTGTATTATTTTAATCCTTTTACATTTATTGAGGTTTGTTTTGTAGCCTTGTAAATTGTCTGTCCTAAAGAATAATTCCATGTACCGTTAAGAAGGACATATATTCAGTTGTTATCTGGTGGAATGCTCTATAGCTGTCTGTTAGGTATGATTGCTTTATAGCATTTTTAAGTTTTCCACCTCCTTGTTGACATGTGTCTAGTTGTTCTAACCATTATTGAAAGCAGAGTATTCAAGTCTTCAGGTATTAATGTTGAATTATCTATTTTTCTCTTTCTGTCAGCCTTTGCTTCATGTTTTTTGGGGCTCTGTTTTTTAGTGTTATATATGTCTTTAATTGTTACAGTTTCTTGACATATTTCCCCTTTTATCATTAGAAACCATCCCTCTTTATCAATAGTTGCATTTCTTAAAGTCTACATTGTCTGGTATTAGTATTGTTACAATTATTACTTTACTATCTCTAGTCATTTTCCTAACCCAAGGCAGCTCTGCTCCCATGTGCCCCTATTGTGTTGTTATTGATAAATATATTGCATATGTCTTGCATTTCTATATGTTATGAGCCTAACAATAAATTATACGTAAATTATATATTATTTATTTTGTTTAAAAGAATTATATATCAAACCTAATGCATACTATATATTAGCATTGTATATATAATGAATATCTGTGTATTCTAGTTATAATTTTATACAAAGCTTTTTAAATCAGTTTAAAAAAGAAAGGAGAACAATATTTATTCTTACTGACTTAGATAATTGCGTAATGATCTTTACCAGTGTGTATTTGAATTATCATCTGTGGTCACTTGCTCTTAGCCTAAAAAAAATTTCCTTTAATACTTCTTTAAGGTGAGACTTCTAGTAACACATTCTTTCGTTTTTTTTTTTATCTTGATAGGTCATTAATTTGTCTTCCTTTTTTGAAACATAGTTGTACTAGATACAGTATTCTTGTTTGACAAGGTTTTTTTGTTAAGTACTTTAAATATGCTATCCCACTGTTTTCTGACTTTCACTGTTTTTACTTAGAAATCAGCTATTAGTTTTATTGGTATTGCTTATTTCCTATAGTTCTGTAAATATGATTATAATGGCAAGTATTTTTCTGCTAAATTTGACATTTGAACACTCACAGACAATGTCTATTGCCTGCCTTTTATTCAGTGTGTGAATTTTGCTTTTCTGTTTCTTTGCTTGATTTGTATCTTCTTGTTGTAGTTGTTTGTTGGGAAATGGACACTTAAGATAATACAATGTAGTAACTCCGGCTGCTGGTTCCCCATATATTCCAGATATTTTTATTGTTATTTGCTTGCTTATTTGTTCAGTGACAGACCAAATTATTTTAGTGAAGTACATTCCCCACCTCTCCACCCAACCTGCCACACACACATACTCACACCCACACAAAGTACTGGGCCTCTGGTTGTTCCTCTGGAAGGCACAGGGTTGAATATGCCCACAGTCACCCAGGGATAACAGTGGTTTGGTAGGTCTCTCTTCCTCCCTTTTCCTCCCCATGTGCAGCTGTGAAACTCCACTAATTGCCAGCTGATTTCTCTATCCTTTTCAACAATGCCCCTGGGTATAAACTGATCGATAAACTCATCCAATCAAATTCTGGCTCCTTGGAAGGGATCGTTTCTGAAGTCATTGATGGCTGGAGGGAGAAAGGGCACCTCTACCCTTAAACTGAACTCCCCTGAGACAGTCTCAGCAACTAGTAGTCGGGACAAGATAGAAGCACTGATGTCCTTCTGTTTCCAGAAGGAAAACTCCAAATGGGGCCCGGGTACAGAGAAGTCTTCTGGAGTGGAGTCTCTGCCTTGCCAAATTGAGCAAGAGTCTCTGCCTTGCAGAATTGAGCAGGAGAGGGTGAGGAGTGGTCTTGGTTCAAATACCAATGACATTTAACTTTCCTAAGGAATTTTCATAGATTTTCTTACTAGATATTTCTTCATTTACCGTTTGTCCTTAGGACAAATTCTATAGGCTTAAAAATATTTTTAAAATGTACACCAGTTTCTCTGGAGAGAGGGTCCACAGAGTACATCACATTGTCACTCTGTCTACATTCTTTATTTTTAATCCCTGAATTAATTGGTAATCTCAAGTGGTGTGTATGAGACTCAGTATATCAAATAAGAAACTCCAGTTCAATCAAAGGATAGACTGTCATGCTATATATTAATAACTTTGGTAATAAACTAGGAAAATAATGAGATATGTAAAATATTGTTCCTGCCTATATTTTTTATTATTTTTGGAGTATGTTCTAATAAAACATGCTTGATGAGAGAAATTGACCTGCATGTTACAGAAATGTGATTTGTCAATTAGATGCTAATATCAATATCACTAACTAAAGAAAGACAACAATTTAAGACACATTACACTCACATTAGGTAATTACTTTATAACACTTTAAATTAGTTTAAAAAGAGATTGTCCCATGTCAGTATTCTCTTATTCTAATCTGTTTTACTATTTAATTTCCTAGCTTGTACCTTTTTTATTGAATGAATCAACAATATGTTGTTTCATTTCCCCAAAGTGGAAAAGAAAGTTTACACATGCAGGTGACTCACGCAGCAAGCTTATATATATGTAAGTGCCCCAAGTTCATAACATAACATATTCTTCATATATTATAGTTAATAAAACAATTTAAAACTATATATTTTCATTAATTTAACAAATATTTATTGAATTTCTCTCATGTGCTAGGCATTGTTCCTGGCACTTGAGATACATCAAAAGAACACAATTGACACCAACAGCTGCCCTCATGGAGATTTCACTCAAGGAAGTCATAACTGCCACATAAACAGTTCCCTTTGCTATTGAATTAGATAATAATTATTCTTGTGTTCAAAACTATACAATTTTATGAATTTTCTACCCATATACTTACCATTTAGCATTCACAAGAAGACATTATTTTTCCGCCTTTCAACTGATAAAAGTTATACAGTAAAATTGTAATAAGCAAGCAATGAAATATACTTTTCTCCAATATTCTTCTTTTGTTTAATCCTGAGAGTAACTGACAGATTAAAAACCCTAATAATATAAAGAAATAATTAGGATGCAACATGGGTAAACTGGAAAACAGTTTACCCATGCTAAGTGAAACAAGCCAGGCACAAAAAGAGAAATACCGCATGTGCTTTTACTTACATGTGGGAGCTAAAAAACTTTAGAATGATGGCTACCAGAGGGTTGGAAAGAGTAGTGGGGAGGGAGGGATAAAGAAAGGAAGAAGGATTAGTTAATGGGGGCAAAAATAAAATGAGAAAGCAGGAATAAGGTCTAATGTTTGATAATACAATACAGTGACTATAGTTAACAATAATTGGTTGCATATTTCAAAATAACTAAGAGTGAAATTGGAATGTTCCCAAACAAGGAAATGATCATTGCTTGAGGTGATAGATATCCCAATTACCCTGATTCATAATTACACATTCTTGTATCAAAATATATGTACTCCATACGTATGCAAAACTATTACATATCCATAAAAGTTAAAAATTTAAAAAAATCTGTGTTTATTTTCAAACGTGGTTGTGATGAATTCTTAAATTCTTCCTTAGCTTTTAATATTAAAAGTTAAATCTTACAGATATTCCTTATTTCCTAAAATGAGCACATGATAGAGAATCATCAATTGAGAATTAAGGCAAATGTAAGTTAAAAAGTGAACTTAGATGATTAGCAAAATAAAGATATAAATCTCTTGATATTTGTGATTGCCAACTATGATTAAGTATTTTTATAGATGTTTCACTTTTATTAATAATATAATACGAGGCAAATCAAACAAAATTTTGACAATGAGAGACCATTAGATGTTCATCAAAAAGAAATTACTATTTTCACATGTTTTGTATCGTTGGAAAAATGATGAAAATGTTTTAATGCTTAATTTGTTCTATGTAAAAGAAACTCAATAGGTTATTTTGATCAGTAAATGGAATGACATATAAAATTTAATTATAAAATTATATAAAAGTAAGTTGTATTTTATTAGTAATATATGTTATTATATCGATAAATGAAAATTAATGTAAATCACTTTAATTAATATTTATTGCATTTTTACTTTAACATAGAAACCTGTTTCAACAAGACTATGAGGAAAGGAAATAATCACACTGTTTTAAGGCATGACTAGCAGAACATTGGGTTGAAATACACTCACCTTGAAATGATTTCAGTACAGAATTATGTGCAATAAATAAAGGGCAACAGATAAACAGAGTTTGAGTGTCAGCTCTATCACTAAGTATCTAGGTGATTGTGGTTCAGGGTTTAACCTCTTAGGTTAAACCTTTCCCATTCTACACTATGATGATGCAGAATAGTATCAGCGAAGGTAGGGTGATAGCAGAAAAAGGGTTTGTGATTTACTGAGCCTCATGATACATTTAGTATACAGCGAAATTTGGTGAGAATGAAAGTTTGACATTTACATTTTCTACCAACCTCATGGTTTACAAATATTTTATTTTTATCAGTCATATAAAATATAACTATGCTACAGATAAGCAACAGTATTTCTTTTTCTTAAGAAGTGGGGTCAAACAAAGCAGTGTGCTTGGAAATTAAAGGGAGGGAAAAATATATAAAAGTAAAAGAAAATAAATAGACCTTAAAAATTAAAACATGGAAAAAGTCAAAATAAGTAAAAGTCTTATTAAATCTTAGTAAAACCCAACGTAATTTGAAAAATAATAGTCGGTATAGAATCTACTGACTTCCTGATTTTTTTCTGCTAAGGTATATGCTGCATTTAAAATGACAGGCAACGGGCCACTGAAATTCACTTTTCTCAGCCTAGGGACCTGGCTATCACTTGCTAATAAACTAAAGAAAAGAATCAAGACTAACACAGAAACATTAATTTCAAGCACTTTCAGAATTATATGGAATAATTGATAATCTGAAGAATAAGAAAACTAACTGCTAAACCTCTGATGTTCATAAAATTTACTTCTTATTTCAACATATTATTACTAAAATGTATGTTTAACATAGTCACTAAAATTCACTAGTGTAGTAAAAATGTTTATGTGTGTGTGGATGTGGATCATCTATATTTAATTGTTCTTATATATTTTATTCTAATATTTTAAAAAATCAGTGAATATACTTGTGAGAAACTTGAAATGCTTTAATTCAAGATTAATATATCTTTCATGTTGCTTACCAAGAAAAAGGCACATATATCAATTTCCTTTCAAGAACCATAATTGAATACATATAGTGTCTTGTCAAATCACAGAAGACAAATTCTAAAAAATAAAATAAAATCAGTTGCTTAAGAGTTGATGATTATGTAGATTCTTTCAGTGGTAACTCAGCCTGTACCTAGATGTGTATTTTTTAAGTTCCAAGTTAATCTATCCAGGCTTTAGAAAACTTTTTTTTTTTTTTTTTTTTTTTTTTTGAGACGGAGTCTCGCACTGTCGCCCAGGCTGGAGTGCAGTGGCGCAATCTCAGCTCACTGCAAGCTCCGCCTCCCGGGTTCACGCCATTCTCCTGCCTCAGCCTCCCGAGTAGCTGGGACTACAGGCGCCCGCCACCACGCCCGGCTAATTTTTTGTATTTTTAGTAGAGACAGGGTTTCACCGTGTTAGCCAGGATGGTCTCGATTTCCTGACCTCGTGATCCGCCCACCTCGGCCACCCAAAGTGCTGGGATTACAGGCGTGAGCCACCGCGTCCGGCCAGAAAACTCTTTTATTTATTTATTTTTTTAAGTGGTACAAATAATGCTGTTTTATTTAGAAAAAAAGGTGTGATTTGCCAAGAAGCTAGAACAGTCACGAACTTTTTAGTACCCAAACTACTTTTTTTTTCTGCAACACGCACTTAAATTATATTTAGTGAGATAATTTAACAGCATTACAGAAAGTTTGCTAAATCCTAAAATAGTCACCACTCATAATGCTATGTAACACAGTGCTGAGTTTTTATGTGCTTGCAATAGTTATTATATGCATAAATATATTATTTACATGAATATAGTAATAATGTACATATAATTTTACATTCTAAGTTTTTGCTTAAAATTCACATAATATTTCCATGTTCCACAATTATTATATTAGCTGCAAAAAACTCAGATGATAATGGCAAAATTTGGTGTAGCCATTTTAGGGGAATACTTAGATTGATTTAAATTATTATTCAATAGGAATTCATTTGACCACCAAACTATCTCACTAGTTTCCACTCTAACAACATAGAATATCTATCTAATGTACAACAGTTTTATACATATACTTTTATTGTGGGCCAGGTGCGGTGGCTCAAGCCTGTAATCCCAGCACTTTAGGAGGCCGACACGGGCAGATCACGAGGTCAGGAGTTCAAGACCAGCCTGGCCCAACCCCGTCTCTGCTAAAAATACAAAACTTATTGCATTTTTGTATGGTTGCCGGTGCCTGTAATCACTGCTACTCGGGAGGTTGAGGCAGGAGAATCACTTGAAACCGGAAGGTGGAGGTTGCAGTGTGCGAGATTGCGCCACTGCACTCCAGCCTGGGCAAAAGAGCGAAACTCCATCTCAAAAAAAAAAAAAAAAGCTTTTATTGCATTTAAATAGTAATCTTAGTAATCTTAACAGATAATACTCTGATCATGTTGTAATATAATTTTCTAAAATTGTTACTCCTCAATAAGCTTCCTTATTTCCAGTTGCTGAAAACTTCATCAAATATGGCACTAGTTGCTTAATCATATTCATATATATTTTTATGCAAATGATAATTTTAAATCTCAGATATTTTCTTTTTTTTTTTTAATTATACTTTAAGTTTTAGGGTACATGTGCACAACGTGCAGGTTTGTTACATATGTATACATGTGCCATGCTGGAGTGCTGCACCCATTAACTCCTCATTTAACATTAGGTATATCACCTAATGCTATCCCTCCCCCCTCCCCCCACCCCACAACAGGCCCAGGTGTGTGATGTTCCCCTTCCTGTGTCCATGTGTTCTCATTGTTCAATTCCCACCTATGAGTGAGAACATGTCGTTTGGTTTTTTTGTCCTTGCGATAGTTTGCTGAGAATGATGGTTTCCAGCTTCATCCACGTCCCTACAAAGGACATGAACTCATCATTTTTTATGGCTGCATATATTCCATGGTGTAAAGTAACTGTTACTTCTATTAAAAACTCATCTCTTAAGTAACTTAAAGAGTAGAAACAACATCTAAAAATGCTTTATTGGTAATAAAGAACAGCGCGTCTTCTAATAATGATTCAGAGCTATGATCTTAGGGTCTAGAACATGTTTATTTTAAATCTCATTGGCTCTTACACAATAAAAGAATATCATAAAGTTCTGTTTCTGTTTTATATAGTTATGAAAATTACTATTCTTTTATGAATTCCAAGTATAGGAAAATATGCTGAAAGATAATGAAGTTTTTTCACTGACTATATCATATATCACCAATTTAAGTATACAGAAAAATATGAAGATTACTCCATTGTTAGCAACAATTTGGCATTGGAAGTCATTTCATAACTTTTTTGCATATACCAAACTGTGTGTTGTAATGCTGGAGCAAGATAAGTGAAGATAAAATTATCAGAATCCATTATTATTAATCCAACAATAAATCTAATTCTTTTTTTAATAAAAATAATATGGATAATCAATTGAAATTAAAATTAGTTTCCTCTAAGACTACTAAACAAATAATATTTCTATTTATTTTTGTTGGTGCTAGATTATATAAACATGTAATGTGTTATTTTTCTTATTTTTAATATTTTGAACAGTAGTTGATAACATCTGTGATAAGCATATTCATTTTGTCATATTTACCTTATATAAGATTAAGTTTAGAATAAAAACAACTGCTTTAATCATTTAATATTATATAATTTTACAAATGTGGATATGTATGTATAAAATAATAAAAATGTCAATTTTTCTGGCATCAAGAATATGAGATATATCTAAATACATATTTAGTAAAATATTCAAAACCTCATAATTTTAAGTTAAGTACATTTTACCTTGCATTTGCAACTTAGGCTGTTTCCACAGAAACAGCAGCTGGCACTCAGAAGCAAGAATGTTTATAACTTTGATATTTCAGCTGTGCTTGTCAAGTAGATGATGAAAATGTCATTTTTCAAAGAAGCACCTGCAGCTTTTGGGTTCCAACAGGTTCGTGAAATATAACATTTTAGCTTTTGAAAAAGTTTTTGTTCATAATGTTTCTGTATAAATCATAACCATGCCTGCTTTTCAAAGAGGCTTAATTACCCTAGGTCTATTTTAGAAAATGACTTTTTAAGCGTAATAACTGATTTGAGGTAACTTAGAATTATAATGGTCTGCAGGTCTCTCAGAGTCACAGTGAAAAAAATTATCACAATAATTTGCCTTTGGTCAGATATCTACTGGAGGTAGATTCTGTGCAGAGCCACTTTTGTTCTGATACAGCATCTCTATTCCGGGAGCCCACTTCTATTTGCCTATAAATTCGTGACTCTGGGAGTTTTGTTCTCAGCGGTAAATCACACCTGGATAGTGGGCTGGTCACAATCTCTCCCACTACTAAACAACAAATTTAAAAAGGTGCTGTTTGATACCTGTAATCTGTTGTGCTTGACATATTTCTGCCATAGATAGGGTATAAAGTGCTAATGCTCTACCGGTTGAAAAATTCAATGAAGTACTTATTAAGATGTCATCAAAATTATCTCCTATCAATGCATTTTTTTAAATGCCAGTGCCTAAATATTGTCAATGACAAAATAATAAAGTGGAAGAGAGATGATTTGTGGTAAGAAGTTCCTCAAATTATTATTTCAAGATTGCATTTTCAGTTCAATAAAACACGGTAGTTTTAAGAAAATAAAATGATATCCTTTAAAAACATTACACTCTTAGTTTTATGTTAAGGATTCAGGCAAGATAAACTAAAAGATTTCACAGATCAGAAGAGCAGTTCAGCATGACAAAAGACACCCAGAGCCTATAAACTTATTACCAGAATACATTTAGTCAAAACAACCCAATCAATGGCCACAGCAAGCCGTTGCTATTTTTAATAGGAACTTACTTGCTAAGGGCAAGTGATCAAGTTTTAGTAACTCACTGGAAATTATTGAGCAACCGCAGCATGTAAGACATTATCAGGCTGTTGAACAAAACAAAACAATTAAAGAAAAATAATACTAGTTGATAACAACCCCAGAAGTCTGCTTCTGAACCCAAGCCATGTCAACGATCTTCATGAAAAACAGTGGGCACTAACTTATTATTATGCTGAATTCTGTGTTGGTTTTAAAATTGTGTGTTGTTTAAAAAAAAGGCAAATGGGCTAATTCAAACATATTTTTTGGATTAATAAAAGAATCAAAACATTTAACATAATAATAAAAGTTAAAAATGAATATACACTATGACCAAGTAATCCCTATTGTGCAATCCATACCAATATACATATATATATACATATTATATATACATAATATATAAATATATATAATGTATAAGTTCAAAACATTACATTGTTAAATAAAATAATTAGTTTTCACTGTTTCTGCAACTGAAATTTTTTTCATGATACTTTGCGATACATCAAAAAGTTGTAAACAAATGTAAGTAATATAAGCTTAATGTTATGAAAATAAAATCAGAGCAAACAAAGTGAATATATGTGTGCATCTATAAATACGTGTGTAAAAGCATCAGAAGAAAACCCACATAATTAAGTCAGGTTGGAATTTCAGCTAATTATAGAGAGAGAAGATTGGAAGAATAAAGGAGTAGATGATTAATACATTTTTTGTGTTTTTTGTGGGTTTTTCTTGGTCTCCTTTAACAAAGATTACCTTTTTAGCTAAAGAATGTAAAGAAATATCACAATATATAAAACAAAAGGAAACACAGAACACAGTTTGCTGATTTCACTCTGTGAGTATCACAAGCAAAAGTGTCCTAGATTGACGTATTTTAAAATATCAAATATATTTTGGCTTACTTCTGGCTAGAATTTATTTTCTTTTCCCTTTTTAATTTTTTTTTCTTTTCCTGTTTTTGAGATAGGATATTGCTCTGTTCCCCAGGCTAGAGTGCAGTGGTATGATCATGGCTTACTGCTCCCTCAATCTCCTTGGCTCAAGAAGCAATCCTCCCACCTAGGCCGCCTTAATAGCTAGGACTACAGACATGTACCACTATGCCTGGATAATTTCTTAATATTTTGTAGAGATGGTGTCTCACTATGTTGCCTAGGATAGTCCCCATTATGATACTAGCTGTGGATCTGTTATTTACGGCTTTTATTTTGATGAGGTGTGCTCCTTCTATACCCAGATTTTTTACGGTTTTTATCATGAAAGAAAGTTACATTTTATCAAATGCTTTTTCAGCATCAGTTAAAATGATCATGTTTTTTTCCTTTATTCTGTTTATATATATCACATTGATTGATTTATTTATGGTGAACCATTCTTGCATCCCTTGAATAAATTCCACTTGATCAGGATGAATAATTTTTCAATGTATTGTTCAATTCAGTTTGCTAATATTTTGTTGAGAATTTTTGAGCCAATGCTCATCACGGGAATTGGCCTGTAGTTTTTTTGTTTTGTTTTGTTTGATGTAAATGCTGCCAGCCTGGGTCTCTCTCTTCAGCACAGTGAGCTTCTCTGTCCCAGGGCAGGTCCAGAAGTGCCACAGAGGAAACATGGCCTGGAATCAGGGACTCAAGCAGCTCTCCTGGTGCTCTACCCTACTATGGCCAAGCTGGTATGCAAGATGCAAGACAAAGTTCTCTTTACTCTTCCTCTGTTTCACGAAATAAATGGAGTCTCTCTCTCTCTCTCTCTCTAGACACTATAGCTGGTAATACGCTGGGTTACACCTGAAGCCAGCAAGTCTCTGAGTTTCACCCAAGGCCTGAAGAGGGTACTGCCTGGCTACCACTCCTGAATTTTCAGGACTCAAGGACTCTTTAGTCAGCAGGTTCTGCCAGGACTTGGTCTTTCCTTTCAAATCAACAGGTTCCCATCTGGCCCAGGCTGTGTCTAGAAATGTCATCTGGGATCTAAGGCCTGAAATGGGCGTGTCAGAACTCTTCCTGGTGCACTCCTTTATTGTGACTAACCTGGTATCCAGGGTGCAAGACAAAGTCCTCTTTACTCTCCTCTCCCCTCCCCTCTCCTCAAGAAGAAGAAAAGAATCTCTCCTGGAACTGCAAGCTGAACTTCCTGGGGTTCTGGGAAGGGTGACACAAACACTTCCTTGGCCACCCTGGTTGGTGTCTCACCGGGTCACATGTGCTCCAAGTCCATTGGTTCTGAGCTCAGCACAGCACCAGGAATTGCCTAGGAATTACAGTCCTGGTGATCTAAAGTGCCTCGCAAGTGTATTTAGAACCCCAGAGCACTTAAACCTGCTAGAGTGGCAGGGCTTGCTGAAACTCAGTTTCTGACTGCTGGAATGGACAATTCACCTCTGGCTAGAGCTTATCTAGATGCTCCCTTGGAGGACACAAGCTGGGTTGTTCCCAGTGTTGCTTTCTGCTGTGATAAGGTAGCACTGATTTCCAATGTGAAGTCCCACAATCACTACATTCTCTCTCCCCAAAATGCACAGGTTCTTTCTCCGTGACCCACGACCACTGCTAGGGGATGGGTAACCTGTGGTGTAAGCAATTCAAGACTACCTTCTTCAGTGCATGTTTCCTTAATATGATGTTAATATCAAGTACTGTGATAGCTCACCTGAGTTTCACTTCTTATAATGGTGCTTTTGTTGTACGGATAGTTGTTCAATTTTGTTTTCCTGTTGGGAAGGATGACTTTCGGTGCTTCTCTTCTGCCAGACCTTTGGTGTAGGCAATTCAAGACTGTTTTTTTCTACCCTCTTCAGTGACCTTTTTCTTAATATGATGTTAAAATAAAGCACTGTAATAGCTCACTTGAGTTTCGGTTATTATGATGGTGCTTTTGTTGTGTGGATACTTTTTCGATTTTGTGTTCCTTTTGGGGAGGATGATTGCTGGTGCTTCTATTTGGCCATCTTGCTTCACCACCTCCTGGCATCTCCTCATCATTTTAATCTGACTTTACCTATACATTTCTTTCATTAATTAAGTGTGATGGAAGTGATTTTGTATAACTTCTTATATTGGACCTCAATAGTTCTGTAGCTTCCTCTTCCATACATAAAAGACTCCCTCTTAGAAGCTATATGCCACATAAGTTTTCTGCGTATACTGAGACCAACTATGTGGAGAAACAGAAACATTGCAGAGGTACGCCAGCATGCCATGCAGGTAAGTACAGCCTTCTTGAATTCTTCAGCTCTATTCAGTCGCTAACTGAGTGCTGCTGAAGAATGATACCAGTTGATGCCACACGAACCAGAAGAATCGCACAGCTAGGCTTTTCCCAAATGCCATTCAAAAAATTACTCTGTATTGAAGAGAATTTTTTTTTCACTTAAGAAAAACACATTCATTTTCATAGAATTTAAGGAACACAACTAAACATTTTTAAACCCATAAGGAGTGTATAAAGATAAAAATCTAGAACAAACATACTATTTAATAATATTTTAGAAATACTTATAGAATACTGTGTATCGTGCAATTCTAATGAAGAGTCCCATCAATCTAATAAGGCAAAAAATAAATAAAAGAGAGAACAGGTGTGAGAATTTAAAAAGAAATGTAAAATGTGCTGTATTTGTGTACAACATGATTATATGTATGAGAAATTTCCAGACAGCTTTGAGAACTATGGCAAGCACTTATCAATGTGGTTGAATATTTAAATCACTGTTCAAAATTAGTAACATTTTTATATATGATTAATAGCCATGTAAAAAAATGCAATAGAAAAATAAATGGTTAAAGAGCCTGACCATAAAAGTAACTAATAATTATGTACCTAGAAACAAATCTTAAAGATGTGTGAATATTCATATGGATTAAATCACCAAATGCTGTTGAAGAACATGTAATATAATTTAAATATGAAGAGTTATATATGCTTTAAAAGGAGGATAAACTATTACTATAAAGATGTTATTTTACCCTAAGTATGTGTATCAAATTTAATACAATTTTACTAAATATTTCAACAGCATTTTATCAAGGTTGACAAATTAATTCTAAAAGTAATACAAACAATTATAATATGCTGTAAGGATATTCATGTTAGTTTTGAAGAAAACAACAAGATAGCTAACTCTGCCGAGCCAGATAACATTATTCTAAATCTATACTAATTAGGTAAAGGCAAAGATGAATAGATCAATAATAATAATAAAAAGTCTAGAAACAAAGATAGTTATTGTCAGGAACCAGACAAGAAAATAGAAAGCACTCCAGGTATTTCAAACACAAATGTCTCAATACAGAGAAGTGGTTACAAGGTGTTGTAAGGTGTAGAAGAAGAAAAAAGAGAATGAAATGTCAGCCAGAGAGTCCAAAATTAAGAATAGTGATGCTCTTCTGGATGGATTTTATTATCTACTGCCTGATGCTGCATTGTTAGAGGTGCTGTTTCAGTCAGTTCTGATATCACTGAAAAGATTCTGCCGAGAACAGACCCATACCATGCTGCCTTTGCCTGTGCTCCATGGAGTCTGGAGACCCTGTACACTCACTGCCATTCCAGTAACTGCCTATAACTGCCAGAAGCAAGCATCTTCTTTCTTTCTCTCGCCTTCTGATTATTTCCAGTGTATTTTAATGATAGAGTCTAAAGCAAACCCCTAGCAAATGAGACTCAAAACTGTATTTTGAAGAACCCCAATCTCAGCAATATAGGGTAGAGTATAAGAGAATTTGGGACACAGTGAATACAAGCATGCTCCACAATTCAAATTAGTAGCAAAAGAGAACACCAGTCAAAAATTGACAACTGAATATCTACATAAATGTTATAATTCTCCTGTTTCACACTATATACAAATATCATTTTTTTCACATCTAAGACTATTTAAAACTATTAAAAGACAATTTAGGGACAAATCTTTAATGTCTTGAAAACTAGGAGAATTTCCCATACAAATTACAAAGCAGCATAATCAAAAAGAGAAAATACTGATATTTGAATACAATAAAATTCTGCTTAACAAAATGTATAATAAAATATTAAAATACCATCCACAGGCTGGGAAATAATATTTTAAAGCAAATAACTGTCATAGAACTAGTAGACAAACTATAATGTTTGTCAATATAAATGCATGATACAATAATTTAATTATTATTATTCTCATTTATTTATTTATTTTAGATGGAGTCCTAGTCTATTGCCAGGCTGGAGTGCAGTGGCATGATCTCAGCTCACTGCAAACTCCACATCCAAGATTCAAGCGATTCTCCTGCCTCAGCCTCTCGAGTAGCTGGGACTACAGGCGCGTGCCACCATACCCAGCTAATTTTTGTATTTTCAGTCGAGACAAGGTTTCACCATATGGACCAGGATGGTCTCCATCTCTTGACCTCGTGATCTGCCTGCCTCGGTCTCCCAAAGTGCCGGGATTACAGGCATGAGCCACCACGCCTGGCCACAATAATTTAGTTTAAAAGTTTGTAAAGATTTTATAAATTAGAAAATCAGAATGACCCATAAGAATAGAGAAAGTACTCAAAATAGTAACAGTCATGTAAGCTATAATACTAGTTACAATTTCATATTTATCAATTTGGCTCAAAATTAAATGTTCGACCTGCTGTAGCATATTGAAAACATGGAGAAAAGAGAAATCTCAGGTACCGATAGTTAAAAAGGAAATTACTACAAACAATAAAATAAAAGGTGCTTATACCTAAAGTTAGAACTTGCACACATATTTTAGCACACTTTTCAAGGAGTTTTATTTTACTTAAAGAATGTTAAATAATAATACTAGGTTAGATAAAACCAATCAATATCCTAAACTACAATAAAACAATAAGTTTGAAGTTATCTTTTGTCAAAAAACGTATTTGCAGTTTTACCAAAACAAAATAAACTGCAAATAATGACCTACTAAATGTTAAGAAAACCGTAAAAAAGAAAAGAACATGAGAATAATTATTAAATCATGAAAGGACTTTCTTGAAGCATGATGTTTAGATACAAATTATTTAGAGACAAAGTTTAAAAAATGTGAAATATCACTGAGAATTGATCCACATTATTTATACAAATTACTTGTATAGCTAAATTAGAAACTGAGGAAATGTCACTATGCAGAAATTTCTAACAGGTTCTATTAATTACTAATAAACATCTATAAATGTCAATCCAATAGGAAAAGAAATAAAAATAAAGCACCACAATACCATTTTTAATCTAGCAAATTAGCAAATATATTGAAAAATAATAGCAATGTTTAAATTATGGCTGTATTAAATATGTACAATTTCATGATTTCTAACTTCTAGCAATCAGAGGTAACTTAAATGCTTAACACAGGTGAGGTTTCAGTAAATTGCATGTCATTATTTAACAAGAAAATTAGTTTTTAAAACACTAATGTCTTTAGGACAACAGTCAGGAAATGAGTGTTTTAAAGAGGGACTGAAAAACTTGATGTTTTGCCTATTAATAATTTAGAAAATAAAATTGAAATTAAATAATTTAAAAATAGATGGGAATCTACTACAAATATACATTATATATTTCTGTATTAGAGTCATTATTATATATTTTTTAATATTTATTAAATTCTCTAAAATATACATTTGTATCCTTTTAATAAACTGAATACACACTATTGAATAAAATAATAAAGGAAGGATAATCAGTGCAACACTTCTATATGTTTTGAGGACTGTAGATACAACAGAATAATATAACTATCTTGAACTATGAATAGCAAATGTATTCTTCAGGCCCAGCAATAAAGTTTTATTAATTTTTTTTGCATTTTCCCAAATTCATTTTTACTTTAGTCCTATGGCCATTTCACGACCTCACACAATAGTCCTGCATTTGCAACTGCAATGCCCTCATAACTAGCCTCTTGCTTACATACTTTTAGCACTGTCATGAGATGATCATACAGTGCTGTCTACTGCGGACTAATTCAAAAACTCCCCAGTCCCTACAAAATAAAATTTACTTTGTCTTGCACTCGATGTCATGATCCATAAAATCTAGACTCACATCTATTTTTATATATTTTTAAGTCTTCCTACAGATTGTCTAAACTTGACAAAACTAGTTAGATATCTATTGTAGTCACTTATTAAATACATGTTGAGTGACTGATTTTTTTATGTCTTGGGGGCATAAATTCCATGCATTTCACTGACAAGAAATACCCTCACAATCTCCTACCTCCTTTCCCAATCCTCTTATCACACACATGCATTTAAATCTCTTGGTGGAATTTATGACTTCTTCATGATCCCATTTAGATAATATCTCCATAATCAACACAGGCTGAAGTGTACTCTCTTTTTTTCTAAGTCATTTCTTGCACCTCGGCCCTTGCCCTTAACCTACTTTCTTTGTGCTGCTTTTTGTTTCTGTATGCTAGTTTCTGCTCTAGTGGATCAAGTTCATGAAGCAAGATAGTCACAGCCATTTTAATTTCCTCAAACTTACATACAAATTAATTACCTGATAAAGGAGGCCAGTATTCAAACATACTGCCAGTAAAAGAGGATAAAGCCACTACTACAAAATAAATTGAGAGGAATGGGGTAAATAGACTTTTTGGTATGTTTTAAGACTTTGAATATGTAGAGCAAGCAGATTACACTCAATTAAAAGGTACATTTAATCACTTGCCTTCACTCATTCTGAGTAAATAGTTCTGAGAGGTGACAGCGTGCTGGCAGTCCTCACAGCCCTCGCTCGCTCTGGGCGCCTCCTCTGCCTGGGCTCCCACTTTGGCGGCACTTGAGGAGCCCTTCAGCCCACCGCTGCACTGAGGGAGCCCCTTTCTGGGCTGCCCAAGGCCAGAGCCGCTTCTCTCAGCTTGCAGGGAAGTGTGGTGGGAGAAGCGGGAGCGGGAACCCGGGCTGCGCGCGGCGCTTGCGGGCCAGCTGGAGTTCCGGGTGGGCGTGGTTTTGGCACGCAGCGTACTGGGAGCAGCCGGCCCGCTCTGCCGCCCCGGCAATGAGGGGCTTAGCATCCGGGCCAGCGGCTGTGGTGAGTGTACTGGGTCCCGCAGCAGTGCTAGCCCACCGTGGCTGCGCTGGATTTCTCACCCGGCCTTAGCTGCCTTCCCGCGGGGCAGGGCTCGGGCCTGCAGCCCGCCATGCCTGAGCCTCCCACCCCCTCCATGGGCTCCTGTGCGGCCCGAGCCTCCCCGACGAGCGCCACCCCCTGCTCCACGGCGCCCAGTCCCATCGACCACCCAAGGGCTGAGGAGTGCGGGCACACGGCACCGGGACTGGCAGGCACGTCCGCCTGCAGCCCCGTGCGGGATCCACTGGGTGAAGCCTGCTGGGCTCCTGAGTCTGGTGGGGACGTGGAGAACCTTTATGTTAACCTTTATGTTAACATGAACCTTTATGACACTGACCTTGCCAACTGTGTGGGACCTGGTTGAGGCCTCTTGCCACCAGCTATCTCCAACTTTCCTGGCCAACTATATAATACAGTAGAGGCAACGAAAATCCCCTCTAGAACATAACCTCATTGTCCTGAGAACCACCACCATCCACCACAATGGCTGCAGCAAGCCCCGCCCAAGGTGAGTCTGAGCCAAGACCAGTCTAACTCTGCCCCTACCTGTTTGTATTTCTCTACCCACGCTGGCAGTGTGGGTACACAAAAGATACATAAAAGATAGAAACACAAAAGACAGAAATTCTTGGGAGCTTTATGGCCCTGCCCATAGCCTGAGGAACAAAAATACACTGGCCAACTTAGCACAAGCTTAGATCCCCCTACTACTATCACAACTGGTGCTCTCTTGAAACCACCACCACCTCATTGTTGGCCAACCAACTCAAGCCATTACAGTAACTTATGACAGAATAACCCTGATCCCAGGAAGGAGAAAACAACAGCTAATTCCCCTGCCTGGCTAACCAGAGGTCCTGAGTGCCTCCACGTGACAACTTCACTGCTAGCATAACCAGCATTCCAGAAAGCCATCACAGTAAACAAAACTACAAGCAAGGGCTCTCTCAGACTTTACTTCACTACTCTGCCACCTCCACCAAAGCAGGTGCTGGTATCCACAGGTGGGAGACCTGAAGACAGATTGCATCACAGGACTCTTTGCAAACATTCCCCAGCACAAGCCTGGAGCCTAGTAGCTCCACTGGGTAGCTAGACCCAGAAGAGCAATAACAAATCACTGCAGTCTGGCTCACAGAAGTCCCAACCCTAGGGAAAGGGGAAGAGCACCACATCAAGGGATCACCTAGTAGGAAAAAATAATATTTCTTGTAATTCTAAAGGCTGAGAAATGCAAGATTAATGCACTGGCAGATTCAGTGTCTTATGAGGGCCCACTTCTTCATTAACTGCCAGCTTATCACTCTAACCTCACATGGTGGAAGGGGTGAGGGATCTCTCTTGGGCTTGTATTAAAACTACCCTAATCTCATTCAAGAGCGCTAAGCTCTCAAAACCCAATCACCTCCTAAAGATTTCACCTCCTGCTACCATTAGGAGCAGTTTCATTTCATTTCAATGTGTGAAATGAAATGAGTTAGGAGTTAACATTTCAATGTGTGAATTTGGGAGGACACAAACATTTAAATCATAGCAATGGTGTAAATACAATTATACAAGCAGATACTGTCTTGCCACATACTAGATGGATATTTTAAAGAAAAAATATAACTATGAATAGTATGATTATAGTTATAGTTTAATAATTGCAGTTATTTGAATAATTAATATAGTTTAATAATTTGGAGTTATATTGAATAATAATTGTTGAATAGTTTAATAACAAATAGTTATTTGAATCAAAGTAATTCTCCTGCATTTCAACTTCCCTGTACTCTGCCTGATGGGATTCTACTTAACTACCAAACCAAGATTTCCAAACTTCCAAAAATGTCAGTCAAAGTGAACAAAGGGAGACATTGCAATTTAATTAATATATTTTTAAGAAGGTAATTCTATAATTGGCATTAGCATCATTAGTACATCACTTAATCCACCCCTTGGCTATTGCCATACAGCTGGTAAATGAAGCAATTTATCTGTTTTCATTGATTAAATAAAATTATTTCTAGATATCATGTCGAATATGGAGAGATAAAACTAAAATAAAATGGGTATTAGAATTTCATTTAAAAATGGAATTAAACTACATAGAAATTGCTTTAAGTTACACCCTCATATTTTCTATTGTATCACTTTTTTCTCATTAAAAGGATGAATACATGAAGAAGCTTAATTCTTGTCCACAGGATTAACAGATCCCCAGTGTGCCATAAATTTGTAATGTCCCTTAGTGTTGGATTTGCATTTATAAGTGTGAGCCAAGATGTGAAATATCACACATAGGCAGAGAGCTCTCTATAGACAAAGACATCTGAACAGGTGACTATGTATCATCTCTTCTGGCAAGTACATGAACAACCTTACACCACTGGAGTATAGCATAACTACTTTAATTTTCAATGGGAGTACAGTACATGCATAAATGATGTGAAGAACTAAAACCTCTCTTCTGAGAAATAAAACATTTTTGATATAATTCAACAGGTGCATTAGACACTACTCTCGTTACAGTCTTTTAGGTCACCAAAGTCACCAATTAACCAATTAATTTTTTTTTTTTTTGGGGGGATGGAGTCTCGCTTCTTCACCTAGGCTGAAGTACAATGGCGCAGTCTCGGCTCACTGCAACCTCCACCTCCTGGGTTCAAGCGGTTCTCCTGCCTCAGCCTCCTGAGTAACTGGGACTACAGGCGTGCACCACCACGCCCAGCTAATTTTTAAATTTTTTAGTAGAGACAGGGTTTCACCATACTGGCCAGGCTGGTCTCAAACTCCTGACCTCGTGACCCGCCTGCCTTGGCCTCCCAAAGTGCTGGGATTACAGGCATGAGACACCGTGCCCAATTAACTTTTTTCCAGCTGAAATGTAATAACTTTAGAAGTTTTGTCCACCCTCTGCTTTTAAGCCTACTCTCCCAACATAAAGTTGTAGTATCACTTTATGTTGTAAAGTATCTTGTCTTGGTTTACTAAACTACTGAGCAGTTTTTTAAAGAGTAAGCTTAATTTAAAAATTCTAGGAAATTATAATACAGGCACTTCATAAAACAATTTGTTCAATAAAAAACAATAGTAATAACTTGATACATTTGGAATTTTTTTAAAATATTTGGCTATTAAGCAACTTTTATAACGATCAAGCAACTAAGAAAAAAAAACCTTTACGGTGATAGTACATTCCTCAGGGTACAGATTATTTTGATGAACCCAAAGTTTATTTAAACATCAAAATTGCACTTATTACTCCTCATGGTATTGTCTAAAGCAAGTTGAAAATACTTTTTTCATTCTCAGAAATTTTTAAAGACAGATTTTGATATAAATCACAAAACAATTATAAAAGAATTGACTAAAAAAACAGCCATTTTATATTTAGAATAAGAAATGGTAAATTATTCAACAACGTGGAAGTTTCTTAGAATCATTTTGAAGTAAATTATTTTTCCCACAATTAGATTGATCTGGGATGAAAGACAATATTGAGAATAATGCCATAATTTAAGGAAAATTTTCAGGCATAGGGTAAGGCATAAAAGATATCTTGTGGGCAAAAATCACATATCAAATAACAAAAAAGTTACATAAATTTGAAGAGAATAAAGATGTGAACTTAAAATATAGGCATTGGCAAGCAAGTAAAACTTTCCAGACTCTTAAAATAAGAAGTGAGAATCTTTTCTTATAAATTATTTCCCAGGAACAAATATTGAAACTGAATGAGTAGTCACATAATTATGTAATTAGACCCCAAATAGCCACTACTTTGCAAGTGGCCAACAGAATCATAATGAGCTGCAATATGTGTTATGCAAACTAAACCCTGTTAAAGAATTGGGTTTGAAGAAGAATTGAAGACTCAAGGATACCATATACTTATGAGGTGCAATAATAATAATAATAATAATAATAATCCAGTTCTCTTTTTTTACTCTTGGGTCAAAAACAATCATTTTTTCACCTGTAACATGAAATCAAATTTCAATGAATCTAAATGTATAATCAAGCATCTCCAGGAATTTTGGGTATTATGATGAAGATTAACTTGGATAAATGAGCTCGAAAATTTATTTTGGCTCCATTCTTTAAAAACTATGAAGACTGTATGAACAGGGCTATAGGAAGCCACTCTAAATGTTAAACATCTACTCTGCACCACTGTATCAATTGAATAATGTTATGTATTCAAATGTATGGCAGCCAGATTGATTTTTCCAGTGAAATATAAACCTTCAGCCTGTACTTGTAGTAATTATAAGGGAGGGAAAATAATAAACGTGTGATTTTAAATTAAAAACCCCAATGTAACACTATGAATTACTAACCACACTAGTAATCACCACAGTGATGATAATAGTGGCAGGAGACAGCCAAATGCCTAGGCAGATAGGGCCGGGTCCCTGTGAAACCCCACTTCCAAGCCAGACAGTTTAAAGCTCAAAAGCCAAGCTACAGGTTAAATCCTCTGACCAGATTAAGAACTTGTTTACCTGTTTGACATGGTTTCCTGACTGATCACACCCTTCACCTATTTTATATATACCTACCCTTTCCTAATAGGTTTTCTACACTGTTCTGGCCACCTTTGAGTGGTGTCTTCACTTTAACCTTTTTTGCGTACTCACAAACCACTTAGCACACATTCACCATTCTGAGTCCATAAAAGGCCCTGTACCTGGCCACATGGGGTGCTTTCCTGCCTTCAGTTAGGGGGACCACTCCTGCATCGTCTCTCTGCTGAAAGCTGTTTGATCACTCAATAAAATTCTTCTCTGCCCTCCTCACCCTTCAAGGTTCAGTGCATTCTCATTTTTCTTGTTCATGAGACAAGAACATGGGAAGCAGTGTGCAAGTCAGACTCAGCCTGTGCCGGCCAATTGGGCAGGACACCTCCTGTGGCAGGTAGCATGCCCCAAGCAAGGCAGAGGTCCCCACTGGCAAAGGGACTGAGAAAAATCCTGCATCATTGATGTTTGTTGAACATTAGAAATATTTGAGAGAAGTAGCCAGAAAATATTTTATTAATTAACAAAATATACCATTCTTAATTCCATAAAAATACAATGATTTGCATCCAAACTAAACTTATAGAAAATATGATCTTTGTCCTCATTACTTGGATGAAATCTAAATAAAAAATTACCTTTAGAAAGAAAGAAATAATTGCCAAATGTTCTTTAAAAGCCACAGAAAATGAGAAGTATTTAGAACAACTTCATAAGGCTGAATCACTGCAAATGACATGGATACATATTGTTTTTTTAAACACTCTGATCTATTTGTGAGAATAGGGGGATTGCTTATATAGGTTAATCCCCAGTGAATGTAACATTTGTTACTTTCAAAAAGAGAACTCAATAGGTACGCATCCTCCAAAATTCATGGTGACCATGTTCTGATTTGCTCAGGACATATCTAGCTTATGAGTTATCCTAAAGTAATTCTCATGATCTCCAAAGTGTTCTGGTTTGGACAATAAATTATATGGCCACCTTATCTATGATTCTTAATACAGCTGACGTATTCTTTTTTCTTTTCATTTTTAACAAACATTGTAAATTGCTGGTGTATGTAACAAATAAGAGTCAACGAAATGTTATTTTTGTCATTAAGTATTTAATTACTATGCCTCTATGTTGTAGAATTTTTGTCTAATGATTTTTTGTGGAAAAATATTTTCCATTATCAATAACTCATTTATTATTGTTTTCCTTTAAATATTTTTTTAAACTCCACACAATCTTAATATGCAGAATAAGCAGCTACTTTAGGGTTAAAGTGCATATAGACAGGCAGAATCATCTATGTTAGAGGACTGGAGCACTGCTAACCATGTTTCATCCTGGGGTGTTTAAATGAACCTTGGAGCTCTCAAGCCCTAATTTGAATTTCAATGTGCCCATATATCCTAAGTTCAGAGTTATTTATACAAGATTGCTTATGGCAGACGTCCAAAGTCATATAGCTGTGGATTTTCCTCTTGTCAAATCCGATGTAGTGGCTGTAGCTTGTATTTGCATTTCTCCTGAAGTCAGCCACCATATCTCTGCAGAAAATAGAGTTAATGACTAATAATTTGGCACATTTTTTTATAGACCAGTAGAGAAATGACAGGGCCCAAATTACTCATGGAGGATAGTTCTAATGTTGCTACCTTTCAGACTGCATCAGTAGATCTAAATATAGTTTGAACCTTCTACTTAAATATGATAAATTATTAAGCTCTGATTTGTGATGAAGTGCAAGTCAAGAAAAAAGCATGAGGTAGTACTTTAGTAGATCATACACCTGCCATAAAATGCTGCATCATTCATTGTTCTCCTTAATATTTGTCATAATGTTCTCTGTGTTTTTGTACTATAATATGAATTTTTCCTGTCTAGAGATAGTCAATTTACCCACTCTCACATTATGGAGTCGGCTTGCTGGTTCAAAGAATGTTTGATGAAATTTCAGAAAGAAAGTGATTAATATTCAGAAAAATAGGAAAGTTATGTTAGTTATAAACCGGAAATGGGGCAAAATGACTTGGATGGAAAAGCCAACAGGAGTAAACTCAAGGAGAAAGGTGAATCACATAGAACCAAGGACATCAGAAAACACTGAGAGAAAAATTGCCAAATACACTTTTTTAAAAGTCAGTAATTAAGATGATTTTAGGGTTGTTTGTAATCTTTACAATCTTAAAGAGGAGGAGAAGCAGATAATGAATGAGTTAGTGTCTGCATTCAGGAAGTTCATTTAACATCAGTGGGCTTATGGTTCATGGTTCCTCTATGGATTTAGGTGAACTAACAACCTATAGGTGAACAATTAATTTCATATAGTTATTTGAACTCTTTCTTTTTTGATTTATTTATTCTTAATAGTAGGTTGTTTTTGTTTTTTTTTAATTGAGATGGAGTCTCACTCTGTCACCCAGGCTATAGTGTAGTGATGGCATTTCGGTTCATTACAACCTCCGCCTCCCAAGGTCAAGCGATTCTCCTGCCTCAGCCTCCCGAGTAGCTGGGATTACAGGAGCCTGCAACCATGCCTTGGTAATTTTTGTATTTTTTAGTAGAGATGGGGTTTCACAATGTTGGCCAGGCTGGTCTCAAACTCTTGACCTCAAGTAATCCGCCACCTTGGCCTCCCAAATTGCTGGGATTACAGACATGAGCCACTGCGCATGGCCTCAAAGGCTCTTTGGAAACAGATAAATAAAAGATGCTAATAGAATAGATGGAAAGGGTACAAAGATTTGGGTAAAATGATAAAGGCACACAGAGCGATAAGAAAATGGTCAATGTGCTTTGGGCAAAATTTTGTTTTACATGTTATACTGTTATGCAATTATAAACATTGAGGTAAGTAACAGAGAAATGCAATACTATCTGGTGCAAGAAACAGTGAAGAAGTTCTGTATAGAGGATGCAGCCAACATGCTGTTGTTACCTGACCTGTAGCTTCAGTAAAATTTAAGTGGTTAACGAGAGTTCTAAAAAGCAGCACAAACTAGAAGGAAATTGAGAATATGTGCCATAAATTGTCACGAAGTATTTATCAGACACTCTTTTTGAATTTAAGAGTAGGCAATTTGTAATTTCCCTCCTTTAATACTAACGACAAGCAGTAGAAAATGATTGGAAAGACTAACATAAGTTTATTTTGTATTAAGATGCTTTGGCCCTAACAGTTTAATGATGGTGTACCTTTCCATAGCTTTCTTTGATTTTACTTGCTTGGGCTTTGCTGGACATTTTGGATTAGTAGGCTGTTTCCTACCAATTTACAAACATTTTGAGCCATATTTTTTCACAGATTTTGTTGTGATGTAGTCTATCTCTTCTCTTCTGCTGGGACATTAAAGGAATAATAGCTGAAAAAAACATTACAAGCTCCGGAAGTATAGACTTCCAGGCTGCTGCCTACATAGCCATCCAAATAACAAGCAAAAAATATAATAACACTCATATGTGAGAAGAGAGATTTCTTTCTAGTTTTGAAAAAATGGGGTGTTTACAATTCACTTCTCAAAAAACTCCATTATAGTAAGAGTACATTTTCTGGAAAACAAAATGAGATAGTATTTAAAGATAATTTATAGTAGGATAAAAAAATAACTCAACAAATGCGCTAAAGAAGGCTACAGTGGTATTGGGAGAATTTATTCTTCTATGAACTCTGAGAGTATCAAAACCCAGAGTGGGTTAAGAGACAGAGTGGACTCTAAATCTATTAAATTTAAGAGTTGTGTATATTATTCTTTTGGCATTTAACCCATATACCAACGCTTGCACAATAGCATTTGTCAACTAAAGCCTGAGTTTTTTAAAGTAAAATGAATATTTGTCTTTGGAGAGTGTTCAGTGCTTTATTGAAGATGTGGCATGAAAGAAATAAGAGCCAGATTATTTCTCTTTGGTAATTTAAAATAAAAATATGGAATAGGGGAAGAAAAGGTAATTTTTATCTAGAAATGAAGAGCATTAAGGGACTTTGTGAGCAGAAAATAAGAAACCTTATTTAAAAAAATATCAGATCATAAATGGAAACATAATCTATGACAGCCGTTTATACACATTGAAAAACCTGTAAATGCGAATTAAGGCTATTCATCTATGTGAGAAAACCATTAAATACAAAGAGAAAGAAAATGCTTAAAAAAAATGAAAGTGACAACCTTAAAGGTTAAAGAAACAAAATACAAGAACTAGACATAAATAGAATTAAAAATTGAATTATTTTACTTAGATTCTAAAGGACATAGCCTACAAGCTCAAGAATAAGTTGTGATGAAACAGCCGCAGTGAGAAAACAAGTCTTAATTGTGAATAATAATATATTTACATATGGAGTTACAGGATATGTGAAGACAATCTTACCAAGACTATTTAGCCCAAGAAGGCTAATTTGTATATTAATATTCTAAATGGGTCAAAATCTGACCTACCAAGCATTGAATATTTTAAAATCAAAATTGTTTATAAAAACAAGACGATCAAGAAACCATCAATTTTCGTTTACCTACATTCTAATTTAGAAACACTGAGAGCTGTTTTCAGGAAATTAAATTATTTTTAAATGAAGATGGTAAAGTCCATTTTTTCGTGAAATCAAAGAAAGAAGAAAAATAAATATGTAGCTCTATTCATTAAAAAAGTAATGAGCAGACTACTTGAACCTGAGAAACACTAGAAGTAAAAAATTAATCTGCTTAATTAGGCGGGCAAAAGAATTGCAAAAGAAAAAAAAAAGGAAAATTGCAGCTGTTGCTTCTATGTGGTTTATAAAAGCATAACCTGGGAAATATTAACCTGATCATGGAGATGAGGAAGTTATAATGTTGCAAAAATCAGAGAAAAGTGTAGAAATTAATTAGATAAAGGAAGACAGAGCATTCCAGACAGAGGGAACAGCATACAGGGCACTGGAGGTGAGTTTGCATGTGTGAGGAACAAGGTGGAAAGGAAAAGGGTGGCCCGATCCTGCAAAGCTATACACAAGATATTAAGATTTGTCATTTCATCCTAGGAGCATTGCAGACTTTTCAGGTATTTCAGTCTGGGCTAAAGGGCATAGCAGTAGTGGCAGCAGCATGATCCTACTTATATTTTTCTTTTTTCTTTTTTTTTTTTTTTTGACAGTGTTGCTATCCCAGCTCATTGCAACCTCCACCTCCTGGGTTCAAGTGATTCCCCTGTCTCAGCCTTCTGAGTAGCTGGGACTACAAGCACGCGCCACCATGCCCAGCTAATTTTTTTTTTCTTGTATTTTAGTAGAGACGAGGTTTCACCATGTTGGCTAGGATGGTCTCAATCTCCTGACCTCATGATCCACCCGCCTCAGACTCCCAAAGTACTGGGATTGCAGGCGTGAGCCACCGTGCCTTGCCTTTTACTTATATTTCTAAAGCATCACTTTTCCTACTTTTAGAGCATTGTATTGAAGGTAGATAAGAACAAGGATGCTATTGAGTGCTAGGTAAAGGATTGGTCCTGGAGATGTGAATGCATGGCCATTTGAAGATCTAGCCATCTTTGACATACTCACTAGCTGTTCATGAAGGAGAAATCAGAGTCTTAGATATCTAAAGTGATATATAAAATGATTAGTCATACATAACTTAGTGTGAGTTACAAATGTGTCTACTTAAATTAATGAGAAAATGACAAAATAAAGTGCCAAGGAAGATGATCTGAAACATTCTTACACTTTTATCATTGTTGAACAACTGTTTTACTTGAGAGTCATTCTGAAGAATATTCAATTAGTTCTTCTTGTGTGATCAAATGTAATCCTTCCCTTTCCAGACCAAAAAAAATAAATAAATAAATAAAATCTCCCTATCTAGTAACTGTTTTCTGTAGCTTTGATAAAAGCTCAATTCTTGATCTGACATTCAGATTCATTAAATTCAAACTTTATTTACATAGCTTCTTCCTTTCAGTTAGGGAAGAGACATGTATTTTTAAATATTATCTTTGAGAGTGGGGATAATTTGGCTGGTGAAAGCTTTTTTGGCTTTTGGAAAAATCCTAATAGCAAATATAATGCTAACAATTACTATACAAAATGGGGAAAAACAAATAAAACCAAAAACCTATCAGGGAAAAATTAGTTCCAGAACTAATTTTGTAACAGAAATAATGTAATAAAACAACCTCCAAAAGTTTGAGGCTTAGATCTCATAAAAATATATTAATAACTTTTAGCAGAACAATCATGCTTTTTTTTAGAAAAAAATTAAAACAGCATGGTTGACCTCTTTAAACTCCTTTATCCAATTTACTGGCTGTATTTAGATTTTAGGCATGAAGATTATATGAGATTGAATTGTCCCCAAAACTTCAAAGGCTGAAAATGTTATAAGGTAATTCTGACATAATTTTCCCCATTTGTCCTTCTTTGTTCACTCTTCTTAGACAGTAGGCGGGCAAGCTACAGGGCAAGTTTGAATAATATGCCTAAGGACACATCCTCATTCTGTATCAGTATATTCCATGTTACTAACTCAATATCATCTGTAAGCAAATAACTAGTGACTATTTCCACAAGATACAGACAGCTGCTGAGACAGAGTCAGTTCTCTCTGGTTGCTGGCCTGTGCCCTTATCCTGCAGAGTGCTTGATGAACCACAGTCCATTGCTACTAGTGCCCCAGGTACCATCCTCCTGCATTAATGGTGATCTCTCCTACTGCTATGTACAAGCACAGCCAAAGAGTATTTGCTGTTCCTTTGGCAGCAGTAGACATTTCAACCTTTTAAAAATTTTATTTTGTGTTTTATTCATAGCAAGAAAGCTAGTTTGAAATCCTTAGGCGAGTTTAGGGGAAGGCCACCCTGTGGTTTGTGTGGAAGCCACAAGACTAAACGAAATCCAAAAGACTATTGAGCCTGAAGGACACATTGCAGTACATGGGCTCCTTCCTCTCATTGCTTCTTAAGTACTATCAGGCAGCATTTCTGGGCTCACGGCTCATGCAGCTTTCTAGAGGATGCTGATTAAGAGTATGTTTCATTCTGGTATCTGGATTTCATTGTCAGCCTTTCCTTCTCTATGTTCTGTGGATACATATTTTTCTCTGTACTTTAACATAAAGTCAAATTTATTCACATTTGAAGCATGTTTTTGCACACTACTTGCACCCTCTATTTTAAATCAGTTTAGTAACAAAAAAAGGTAGTTGTAACAACAAATTTCTGCTAGGCAAATTTACTTTCTGGGGGGAGAAACCATCTAACAGCAAACTTTTACTTTTATTACAAATACTCCATTTTTAATATTAAGCCTTTTTAGTGGCTTAATTTGCCTAACTTTAATTTTGTATTGAAATAAAAGATAAAGGTATTAATGGTAAATTTTTGAGTTGTGAAATTAGACACAAAAACAATTCACTATTTTTTCTTATTGTGTACTTTTCATTCAAAGTGACAAATGAAAAATATCTTTAATCTTAAAATCTCACCAGATAGAGGTTGGATTTCTCATTACTTGCTTAAAGAATGGTCTCATAATCAGCTAGGAAATAAATTATGCTATATAATTTTATAGAAGAAATCTAAGGCTCAAAATGGATACATACTTTTCCTGCTAATTACAAAGTAAAGTTGAATGTGAGCTGAGAAAATAATACATATAAATACTGTTCTCTTCCCCTAACCATCTTAGACTCTTCCCTTGACATCGGAAATAAATTGGTATTAAAGTAATCGTCTAAACTATACTGTATTACCTAATCATAAATTAGCCATGTAAGTACTTCTAGATTAAGTAGTTCTATGCCCCTTTTGGTGTGCTCTTAACATGCTTTAAAACTGAACTACAAGTAACCTCATGAAACATGTACACTTCAAAGCATTCACATATTTTTTTCATTGAATTGGTCAACAAGAAAGAATTAGCACAAAAACCCTCTTGCTGATTCATTAAAATGTGATTACTTTTGATGCTAATAAGCAATCAGATTCATTGGTGTACTTGTAAGTAAATTTGTAAGTAAATTAAATACTAGCGACAAAACAAGGGGCTGTAGCAATATAGCATCTTCTAAAAACCATGTCTAGAAAATGGTGGAAGTCTGAGAAAAATACTAACCAAGAACAAATTAATTGATTAATATATGTTCCCCTGAAAGATTTGTCTAATTTATGTGCATTTGTATAAAAATAAGATTGATTGGCAATATTTTAACAGAGAAATCAGATTTTTTTTTCTTTAATGACTCCTTCAGGATTCAATATGATATTAGTGGTGAACTGTCTACAATATCTTGTTTACATTCAAAATTAGTTTGTAACTAATGTCTCCAGGTAAATAAAATAAAAATAAGTAAACAGAGAACAAATGCTACCAAAAAAAGTTATAACACTGACTAATAACAGTCAGCATTATAAGCAAACGTATTTTTATTAAAATAAGACAATAATTATTTACGTAATTTTATTCACATTCTACATAAAAAAGTAAGTGTTCTCCAACACAGCTAGAAGGATGTAAAGTCTAATCTTCTCTAATTGATATGCATTTGGAATATTCCGAGAATTCTCTTCATCTCAGCTACAGTCCTCAACATGGTTTAAATATGCAGACATTAACATACATTTAAATAACACTAGTAAGGTCAGTTAAGAATAGTCTGAATATATAGGATGGTAAATTTGCATGTAAAATGTAGGAGAAAGCCCACATTAATGTATATTCTTTTCCATTCTCATTTCTTTTTTGATAGTACAAATCATTTCATCAGTATATTAAAAATAATCCATTAAACACCTGTAAGTCATCTCAGAATGGAAAAAGCAATGTGAATCTCTGAAGCTCATATGCATTATTCAAATACTATCTGGTTGCATGTGAAAATAAATAGGTAAACCTCTCTACTGTACTAGTCAGTTAAAATTTCTTTCACCTTTGATGATTTTCTTCTGAAACTGATTTCTACACAGGGCTGTAGGTTGTAGGGAAGTGGGTTGTAGTGAAGTAGGCTATCAACGAGACTAAAATAGAGGAATCTAGAATCTATAAGAATTATAATAATTACTAAGTCAATCTTCTCGCTCCAGAATTTGGATTAGAACATAATAAGAGAAATGGCAATTAGGCAAGAGAAGAAAGGAAAAATATGCTGTGTCACATAGCCACAGTGCTCATTAGAAATAGAAAATAGGAGAGTAATGTATCCTAATTGCCACCAGTCCAGGTCTAGTTAATGTCCAACTTAATAAACAATCACTTTGTTTCATTATTCTGTAATGTTTTAGTTTAACAAGATATATATGAGTCACTATGCTTAAAAAATAAAAGAGCACATGAAGCCTTCCTCTGGTTATCATTTTAAGTTTTCTTTTTTTTACAAATGTTTCTCTTGCCTAGAATATGCTTCCTTATTCATTCCAATTGGTATGTGTATCCCTCAGAAAAAAAATCTCAAACCTAATGAACTTACTGAGCCTTTACAGAATTTCCAAGGCAGGATTAAAGGATATTTTCCTTGGATTTTAACTACACTGTGTACAGAGCTTGATTATAACACTAACTGTGTTGTGCCAAGAGTGCCTAGAGTGGAGGACTCTGTTTTGTTTTCAGTTTTTGCCCATAACTAACATAACACTTGATATACATGAAATGTTAAATAAATATTGGTTGATACATGTCAAGATCAAATGTAGTCAGAACTAGAATATTATTTCTCTAGTAGAATGTTTTTAATTAAATAAGTTTTAAAAGCATGTACGTCTTAGGGCTGCTATAACAACACCACAGACTGGGTGGCTTATAAATAAGAAAATTTATTTTTAACAGTTACACATGCTGAAAGTCTGAGATCAGGATCCAGAATGATTGTGTTCTATTAAGGGCCCCCTTTGAAGTTAAAGAGTTCAATCTTCTCCTTGTATCTTCACATCAGAGAACGAGAGCAAGAGAGCTCCTTGAGATCTCTTTTATAAGGAATCTAAACCCATTCATGAGGGCTCCACTTTCATAACCTAATTATCTCCCAAAGATCCCACCTCCTAATACCCTCACACTGGGGGTTAGGATTTCAACAGATAAATTTGGGGGGACATGAGCATTCAGTCCATTGCAAAGTAATATGAGGAAAAATTTTTAAATCACAAATTTGTTTACTGAACTTTAATAAACTGTAGGTTAGAAAATGTTTATTATTTATTCTAAACACATTGTTTTGCCTTAGAAATCACATCAACTTCCAGCAAAACTTAGGTGAAATCAAATGTAAAAATGCTAAAATCCATATTAGATTTGACTGGAAACATTTTGAAATATAATATATTTAATCATCTGTAAAGATAACCTTAAAATGAGCAATCATGAAGGTATGAAATGAATAATTTTGACATCAATGTAACACTTAAGTCATCTAGGAGTGATATTAGTCTAGCCTCAACATCTTCACTGAGTAAGAAACATCACAGGAAAACATATGAAAATTTGAAAAATAAGGCTCTAATCCACTCAGAACTTTTGTGTCAGATACTCTTTATAGTTTAAACAGCCTCTTCTTATGCTATATATTCCTGCCTAGGCCACAATATTCACGTCCAGTCTGAGCTGTTCATTGGGCAATGTCTGATACATTCTACTCTCACTAAACCTCTCTCTTTAAATCACTGCACCACATACAGACATACAGTTTTAGGTGTGCCGATTTGATACTTTTTTGGTGGAATACTCTGTGGAGCCTATAGAATGTCATTTAAAAAAACTCTTATTAATATATTTTGTAAAATATCAAGAGCAAAAGGACATGCTAATGAAGTGCTGGTGCTATACTACTACTAAAAATACAGAGAAGGTTTAGAAGAGAGATTGAGGTGAAAGTCAGTCAATTATTGTGATATTGTATCTTTCCTTTTCAATTAGCATCAAAACATATACAAAAATTTAACTAGTAAAGAAAAGTAGCAATCTAGAGAAGGTGATATAATCTCTCACCTTTTTTAATGTGGACATACTAAATTTGTTAGTAGAAACCATTTCCCAATGAAAAACTTTCTTTCTGGTTTCAATTATTGTCTTGGCCAATTCAATACAAATTCAGTAGTATTTGTTGAACATAGTTTCTGAAATGTTCCTCAAAAGCAAAGGGAAAGTGGCAGGGTCATCGGGCTTTTGTCTCTTCCACTGCCCTTCTCTTTCGCCTGCATAAAGTACATGCAATTTTGGAATCTCCATAGAATCAAGAGACAACTTAAAAAGGGAGTCTATACACTGAATATGGCAGAGCAGGAAGATAGCAAGAGACTATATCTCGCTGATAATTTCTTAGAAGAGCTACAATAGTAGATTTCTAACTCCATCTTTTTTAACTTTGAAGAAAAATCAACCTGTAATATGTTTAAACCCCTATTTTCTGATCACCATGAATGTAATTCCTAATCAATTTAAAAAGTACACTTACTCTAACCTAGATAATGGAAAAAAACAGAACATTTGAATTTCTCCCCCTCCCCCCCTTATAACTTTCCTTGGATGGTGATACATTGTTAAATATCTTTGCTAAGGTCAACCTAGACGTCAGATTCATTGGATGAATATAGGAGAGAAAACAAAGCTCACCAGCAGGGCAGAGTCACACATTTGTCTTCAACTGGAATAGTTCTTGCAACAGTCTACAGAGCTGTCCAGGAATGATTCTCTTTGCCCCTTATATTAGTCCATTCTCACACTGCTATAAAGAATTTCCCTGAGACTGGATAATTTATAAATAAAAGAGGTTTAGTTGACTCACAGTTCCACATGTCTGGGGAGGCCTCAGGAAACTTACAATCATGGCAGAAGGTGAAGGGGAAGCAAACTTGGATCTTTTCACATGCCTGCAGGAGAGAGAGAAGAGTGTAACACAGAGCAGGGGAAACTGCCTTATAAAACCATCAGGTCTTGTGGGAACTCACTGACTATCACGAGAACAGAATGGGGGAAACCACCACCGGGATTCAATCACTTCCCACCAGGCCTCTCTCTCAACACCTGGGGATTACAATTCAAGATGAGATTTGGGTGGAGACCCAGAACCTAACCATATCACCCCTTCAAGTGATGGTCTCAGAAGCAATGAAATAAAATTTTTCAGGTGGGGCACAGGAATAGTATGAAGTCTTATGATCCTCAGGAGTGAATGTCTCTTGTGAAAATTCCATAGACAGTTTCCATATCCCTGAACAGGACATACCAGTGACAAAAATCACCAGATTCAGGGAAGCCCAAAAATATGTTCTACCCAGCATTTTTATTTTTCCTAGGCAGATGCAGACTCCCACATTTGGGCCATTTTTACAGTAACTCTATAGTGTAATAACATAGTTAACCTCTTATTTTTATCCAGTTTCCAGGAACAAAATATCTAAAGTAAATACTCAGAAAGAATATAAAAATGTTTTAATGTTTCACCCATAAGATGCTGTGGCAGAAAATGATAACCTGATTTTAAATTGAGGAGATCATTAAATACTAATATCAGGAGGCTTCCATTTATTCATTATATTCTGTAGATCCATGGAAAATTAAACTTTATGTCCTTAAAAGAGAAAAGAATACTGAATCACTCAATAAATACAAGTCTAACCTAGTACAGAACTTTCTTGGACTTCAAGATCTAGAATTTAACTAGTAAATACAATTTTCACATACAAATAATATCATTTTCACATACAAATTTACAAGTGTTTGATCTTAAGCCTCTGTCAACTACAACTGAACTAATTTACTTACTAAGCCAAATAAAAAGTTAACTTAAAAAAACCCTATATTTATTTCATAGATATTTTCTAAAGATGGAAAGACACATTCTGCCATATAGCTACTATTTGCTTCCACATCTGTTATCTGCTCGTCTCCCCTCAACTCCGTATCTCAAGAGACTGACCTGCTTGGATTGCGTCAAGGGCTCTGGCTTAGGACAGACCTCAGCTAACTATGGGACTTGGCAGGAGATCCAGCAGCAGGAGGAAAGTGAGGTAAGGGTATGTGTTTCTTTGGCTCCCTTCCTGAGGAGCAGCCATAGTATAATTGTGTGCCTTGATTGAAGGTCACTGATTCTCTCAGGGTGTTCCTTTGTATATAATTCTGCATTGATTTTCAGGAACCACCCCCACTTCTCATTCCTTCCACACTCAGGTTGTTACAGTTCCACCATTATAAATACAACGATGTGGAACTATCCCTAGCAGTTTCCCTATGCTGTGTCTATGTCTTGGTACCATAGCTCTTTTATTAAATCTTCATCTAATTTTTCTTTGTTGAAAGTGCCTGGTTCTTGCTTGAACCTTGGCCAATACACAGGATAATAGAAATCCTCTGCACAATTGCTTTCGTTCTTTACATGATAGTACTTTATTGTTGATGGGATCTTGTAAAAATCATCCTTTCTTAATTGATAAAGGAGAAAAACCCTCACCATATTTTACATGAGTTATCCCTCTAATAATAGGAGGTTTTTCCCTAGATAGTGGAAGATCATTTTCTACTCATTTCCTAGTTCAAATTATAATAACATCAAATTTCAAAATATGTCATCTGGCTTTCAGGGAAAAATAGACTATTGAGAAATCCTAAGAATCTAATTAAACGAAAGTAGTAAGTTCATTTGCTTTTTATTATAAATGAAAACATAAGTTTAATGAATAATTACATTTCCCAAATACTGAAGGATGAGATAGTGAAACTAAAATGATTGAATGTTTCAATATTCAATCATTTCAGGCTCCAGCTAATCTTTAATATAGCAAAAATACAAATACATGTTTACACCATGCAAATATATTAAATAGTATAAAATGCAATTATAGTGAATTACTGGAGTTTATTTCATTATTAAAATATATCAATTTTATTTTTGTCATGGAACTTTATTTTCTGTTCTATATTCTTAAAAATTCTCTAGCTTAAAATTTAACAAGGGTTTTTGTTTGCTTTTCAAGTTTTTAAAAAATATTGGCTTACTTTTTATGGCTTTCAATTATATGCTTAGATTTAAATGATTATTTTATTACCTCTGGTAGTAGCTATACATTTTTAGTTTTAATCAGTTTTTTTAATCTCTTTATATATTATTTTTGCTTGGGTTTCATTAATTCCTTTAATGAAAAAATTGAGTGCTTCGTAATAACAAAGGGCATTCTGGAAATAACAGAACACCACAAAGATACTCTTCGAAAAGAGCAACCCCAAGACACATAATCGTTAGATTCACCAAGGTTGAAATGAAGGAAACAATGTTAAGGGCAGCCAGAAAGAAAGGTCAGGTTACCCACAAAGGGAACCTCATCAGACTAATAGCAGATGTCTCTGCAGAAACCCTACAAGCCAGAAGACAGTGGGGGACAATATTCAACATTCTTAAAGAAAAGAATTTTTGACCCAGAATTTCATATCCAGCCAAACTAACCTTCATAAGCAAAGGAGACATAAAATCCTTTACAGACAAGCAAATGCTGAGAGATTTTGTCACCACCAGGACTGCCTTACAAGAGCTCTGGAAGGAAGCACTAAATATGGAAAGGAAACACTGGTACCAGCCACTGCAAATCATACCAAATTGTAAAGACCATTGACACTATGAAGAAACTGTATCAACTAACAGGCAAAATAACCAGCTAGCATCATAATGACAGGATCAAATTCAAGCATGACAATATTAACCTTAAATGTAAAGGGGCTAAAATCCCCAATTAACAGATGCAGACTGGCAAATTGGATAAAGAGTCAAGACCTATTGGTGTGCTGTATTCAGGAGACCTATCTCAAGAGGAAAGACAAACATAGGCTCAAAATAAAGGGATGGAGGAATATTTACCAACCAAACAGAAAGCCAAAAAAAAAAAAAAAAAAACAGGGGTTGCAATCCTAGTCTCTGATAAAACAGACTTTAAACCAACAAAGATCAGAGAAGACAATGAGAAGCATTACATAATGGTAAAGGGATCAATGCAACAAGAAAAGCTAACTATCCTAAATAAACATGCACCAATACAGGAGCACCCGAATTCATCAAACATGTTCTTAGAGACCTACAAAGAGACTTAGACTCCCACACAATAATAGTGGGAGACTTTAACACCCCACTGTCAATATTAGGCAGATCAGTGAGACAGAAATTTAATAAGGATATTCAGGCTTGAACTCAACTCTGGACCAAGCAGACCTAATAGACATCTACAGAACTCTCCACCCCAAATCAACAGAATATACATTCTTCTCAGCACCACATTGCACTTATTTTAAAACTGACCACATAATTGGAAGTAAAATACTCCTCAGCAAATGTAAAAGAACAGAAATCACAACAATCTGTCTCTCAGACCACAGTGCAATCAAATCAGAACTCAGGATTAAGAAACTCACTCAAAAGTGCACAATTACATGGAAACTGAACAACCTGCTCCTGAATGACTGCTGGGTACATAATGAAATGAAGGCAGAAATAAATAAGTTCTTTGAAACCAATGAGAACAAAGACACAACATACCAGAATCTCTGGGACACATTTAAAGCAGTGTTTAGAGGGAACTTTATAGCACTAAATGCCCACAGGAGAAAGCAGGAAAGATCTCAAACTGACATCCTAACATCACAATTGAAAGAACTAGAGAAGCAAGAGCAAATAAATTCAAAAGCTAGCAGAAGACAAGAAATAACCAAGATCAGAGCAGAAATGAAGGAGATAGAGACAGGAAAAACCTTTCAAAAATTAATGAATCCAGGACCTAGTGTTTTTAAAAGATTAACAAAATAGATAGACCACTAGCCAGAGTAATAAAGAAGAAAAGAGAAGAATCAAACAGAAACAGTAAAAAATGATGAAAGGGATATCACCACTGATGCCACAGAAATACAAACTACCATCAGAGAATACTATAAACACAACTACACAAATGAACTGGAAAATCTAGAAGAAATGGATAAATTCCTGGACACATACACCCTCCCAAGACTAAACCAAAAAGAATTCGAATCCCTGAATAGACCAATAACACGTTCTGAAATTGAGGCAGTAATTAATATCCTACCAGCCAAAAAAAGCCCAGGACCAGATAGATTCACAGCCAAATTCTACCAGAGGTACAAAGAGGAGCTGGCACCATTCCTTCTGAAACTATTCCAAACAATAGAAAAAGAAAGACTACTCCATAACTCATTTTATGAGGCCAGCATGATCCTGATACCAAAACCAGGCAAAGACACAACAACAAAAAAGAAAATTTCAGGCCAATATCCCTGATGAACATTGATGTGAAAATCCTCAGTAGAATACTGGCAAACTGGATCCAGCAGCACATCAAAAAGCTTATCCACCACGATCAAGTTGGCTTCATCCCTGGGACACAAGGCTGGTTCAACATACACAAATCAATAAATGTAATCCATCACATAAAGAGAACCAATAACAAAAACCACATGATTATCTCAATAGTTGCAGAAAAGGTCTTTGATAAAATTCAACACCCCTTCATGCTAAAAACTCTCAATAAACTAGATATTGATGGAACATATCTCAAAATAGTAAGAGCTATTTATGACAAATCCACAGCCAATATCATACTGAATGGGCAAAAGCTGGAAGCATTCCCTTTGAAAACCAGCACAAGACAAGGATGCCCTTTCTTACCACTCCTACTCAACATAGTATTGGAAATTCTTGCCAGGGCAATCAGGCAAGAGAAATAAATAAAGTGTATTCAAATAGGAAGAGATGAAGTTAAATTGTCTTTGTCTGCAGATGATATGATTGTATATTTAGAAAACCCCATTGTCTCAGCCCAAAATCTCCTTAAGCTGATAAGCAACTTCAGCAAAGTCTCAGGATACAAAATCGATGTGCAAAAATCACGAGCATTTCTATACACCAATAATAGACAAACAGAGAGCTAAATCATGAGTGAACTCCCATTCACAATTGCTACTAAGAGAAAAAAATACCTAGGAATACAATTTAGGATGTGAAGGACCTCTTCAAGGGGAACTACAATCCACTGTTCAAGGAAATAAGACAGGACACAAACAAATGGAAAAACATTCTATGCTCATGGATAGGAAGAATCAATATCGTGAAAATGGCCATACTGCCCAAAGTAATTTACAGATTTAATGCTATACCCATCAAGCTACCATTGACTTTCTTCACAGAATTAGAAAAAACTACTTTAAATTTCATATGGAACCAAAAAAGAGCCTGTATAGCCAAGACAATACTAAGCAAAAAAAAAAAAAAAAAAAAAAAAAAGCAAAGCTGGAGGCATCATGCTACCTGACTTCAAACTATAAACATATGCATAGACCAATGGAACAGAACGGAGGCCTGAGAAAGAATGCCACACATCTACAACCATCTGATCTTTGACAAACCTGACAAAAACAAGAAATGGGGAAAGGATCACCTATTGAATAAATGGTGTTGGGTAAACTGGCTAGCCATATATAGAAAACTGAAACTGGACCCCTTCCTTACACCTCATAAAAAAATTAACTGAAGATTGATTAAAGACTTAAATGTAAGACCTAAAATCATAAACACCCTAAAAGAAAACCTAGGCAATACCATTCAGGACACAGGCATGGACAAAGACTTTATGACTAAAACACCAAAAGTAATGGCAACAAAAGCCAAAATTGACAAATGGAATCTAATTAAACTAAAGAGATTCTGCATAGCAAAAGAAACTATCATCAGAGTGAACAGGTAACCTTACAGAATGGGAGCAAATTTTGCAGTCAATCCATCTGACAAAGGGCTAGCATCCAGAATCTACAAGGAACTTAAACAAATTTACAAGAAAAAAACAACGCCTTCAAAAAGTGGGAGAAGAATATGAACAGTATGAACAGACACTTCTCAAAAGAAGACATTTATACGGGCAGTAAACATATTAAAAAAAGCTCATCATCACTGGTCATTAGAGAAATGCAAATCAAAACCACAATGAGATACCATCTCGTGCCAGTTAGAATGGTGATCATTAAAAAGTCAGGAAACAACAGATGCTGGAGAGGATGTGGAGAAATAGGAACACTTTTACATGTTGGTGGGAGTGTAAATTAGTTCAACCATTGTGGAAGACAGTAGGGCTATTCCTCAAGGATCTAGAACCAGAAATACCATTTGACCCAGCCATCCCATTACTGGGTATATACCCAAAGGATTGTAAATCATTCTACTATAAAGACACATGCACATGTATGTTTATTGCAGCACCATTCATGATAGCAAAGACTTGGAACCAACTTAAATGCCCATCAATGATAGACTGGATAAAGAAAATGTGGCACATATACACCATGGAATACTATGCAGCCATAACAAAGGATGAGTTCTTTTGAGTAGTGTCTGTTCATATGCTTCGTCCACTTTTTGATGGGGTTGTTTGCTTTTTTCTTGTAAATTTGTTTAAGTTCTTTGTAGATTCTGGATACTAGCCCTTTGTCAGATGGGTAGATTGCAAAAATTTTCTCCCATTCTGTAGGTTGTCTGTTCACTCTGATGGTAGTTTCTTTTGCCGTGCAGAAGCTCTTTAGTTTAATTAGATCCCGTTTGTCTATTTTGACTTTTGTTGCCATTGCTTTTGGTGTTTTAGTCATGAACTCCTCGTCCATGCCTATGTCCTGAATGGTATTCCCTAGGTTTTCTTCTACGGTTTTTATGGGTTTTGGTCTAACATTTAAGTCTTTAATCCATCTTGAATTAATTTTTGTGTAAGTTGTAAGGAAGGGGTCCAGTTTCAGCTTTCTACATATGGCTAGCCAGTTTTCCCAGCACCATTTATTAAATGGGGAATCCTTTCCCCATTTCTTGTTTTTATCAGCTTTGTCAAAGATCAGATGGTTACTGTGGCCTGTAACAAAGACTTGGAACCAACCCAAATGTCCATCAATGATAGACTGGATTAAGAAAATGTGGCACATATACACCATGGAATACTATGCAGCCATTAAAAAGGATGAGTTCATGTCCATTACAGGGACATGGATGAAGCTGGAAACCATCATTCTCAGCAAACTGTCACAAGGACAGAAAACCAAACACCATGTGTTCTCACTCATAGATGGGAATTGAACAATGAGAACACTTGGACACAGGGCAGGGAACATCACAACTGGGGCCTGTTGGGAGGTGGGGGGCTGTGGGAGTGATAGCATTAGGAGAAATACCTAATGTAAATGACGAGTTGATGGGTGCAGCAAACCAACATGACACAGGTATACCTATGTAACAAACCTGCATGTTGTATGCATGTACCCTAGAACTTAAAGTATAATAATGATTAAAAAAAAGAAAGAAATGAGGGAGAAATAAACCCTTATATTCTTGAGCCACTAAGATTTTGAGGGGCTTTGTTGTTGTTTTTAACACCAGTTAATCTACCCTGAAAATATAGCAATGCTAAAAATAAAAATAAATGAAATAAAATAAAAATAATAACCATGGCTTATTTTCTATACTTTATTTTATAGTTTGTAACACAGTATGAGAATAGTAGATGAAGTTACTTGATACAATGGATGTGATTATTTAATTTAATTTACCACATTCTAATATTTATAATGCACTTGACGGTCATTTTCTGAATTCACACTTGATTTGCTTTAACTTTTATTCTAACCTTACCTGATGCTAACAGTGAATCCCCATTCACAGCCATTTATTGTTTGTTTGTTTGTTTGTTTTGAAACAGAGTTTCTCTCTGTGGTCCAGGCTGGAGTGCAATGGCACAACCATAGCTCATGGCAGCCTCAAACTCCTGGGTTCAAAGGATCCTCCCACTCCCTGTCCCAGCCTCCTAGGCAGAGAGGGCTACCAGCAGAGGACACTACAACCAGCCAGGAAGCTAATTTTTTTTTTTTTTTTTGGTGTGTGTGTGCGTGTGTGTGTGTGTGTGTGAAAGAAGAATTTTCACCATGTTGCCTAGTCTAATCTTGAACTCTTGGCCTCAAACAATTCTCCCACCATGGCCTCCAACAATGTTGGGATTACAGACATGAGCCACTGTGCCTGGCTACAGCCTTGTTTTGTAAACATTTCTTCACCACTATTTTTTTAAATTTCTTTGATCTTTTTCCATTCACTTGCTGTAACCATTCTCTGTTGGTTTTGAAAAAAAATTCATCAAAGAAGCCATTAATTCTATCTATTGATTATTCTTTCCTTTATATTTTTATTCATTTTTGTTTGTGTGTTTTCCACTTCCTGTTCTTCTTTTAATATAGTATACATTGCTTATTCTATTTCATTTTCATTTTAATATTTTCATTATACTAAGAATCATGATTTCTCAGTTCTTATAGTGGGAATTGACAGAAAAATGACCACATAAGCAACAGCAAATGAATTACTAGTTTCTCATTTATGTAAATATTACCAGAAAGTAAATTGGCTCTACTGTAACATTGAAGCTATTTAATCAGTTTTTAACAGGTGCTATGGACTGAACTGTGTCTCTCTAAAATTTATATGTTGAATCCCTAACCTCCAATGTGACTGCATTCAGAGACAATTTTTTTAGGAGGTAGTTAAGGTTAAATAAGCTCATGAGATTGGGACCCTAATTCCATATGACTGGTAGCCTTATTTATAAAAGAGGAAGAAAAGGAGATCTCTTTCTCTCTGCCTTGTGAGGACACAGGAAACAAGAGGTGGATTGCAAGCCAGGAAACAGCCCTCACCAGGAACAGAATCATCAGGCACCTTGAGCTTATTTTTCCCAGCCTCCAGAATTGTGGAAAAAGAAATCTGTGGTTTAAGCCACCCAGTCTATGGTATTTGTTATGGCGACTTGAGCTGACTATCGCAATACATATATAAAGAATATGGAAAAATAAATAAATATTTAAATGTGGTTTAAGTGAATAATAGACAATATAAAGCATTCATGAAGGCTTATAATTTTAATTTCTGAAATGTTTCATTAGAGAAAGATTTGTTTCTCATACATCGTTAACAAAAAACTAAAGGCTAGGTGTCACTGAAATTTCATGTGAAAAGAACTACTTTAGAGACACAGTTGATTTTATTTGAATAGGGGTCCAAAGGCAGCATCATTTTCAGAGTGAAAACAGCTGCTATTAGACGTTGATTGGTCATCTTGATTGAAATGGGATGTTGTCCAACAAAATATTAAGTTTTGTTATGTGCACTCTTTTTTTTTTTTTTTTTGAGACGGAGTCTTGCTCGTCGCCCAGGCTGGAGTGCAGTGGCACGATCTTGGCTCACTGCAACCTCCCTCTCCCAGTACAAGTGATTCTCCTGCCTCAGCCTCCCAAGTAGCTGGGATTACAGGCACCCACACCACGCCTGGCTAATTTTTGTATTTTCAGTAGAGACAGGGTTTCACCATGTTGGCCAGGCTTCCTGCTCTCTTGATCCACCCGCCTTGTCTTACAAAGTGCTGGGATTACAGGTGTGAGCCTCCGCGTCCGGCCTGTGCGCTATTTTTAAAAACATATAAATCTGAGTAAAAATGAATCTATATATATTTGCTTTCAAGAGTAACTAAATGCTATAGGACTATTTATGATATATTTTGTGAAAGCCATTAACAGCAAATTGGATAAAATAAGTTTTCATTAACTAAGTTTCCACAAGGAGAAAGGTAAATATTAAGTGGTCACTTTACCAAGAGACTAAAAACACGGGCGATACCCCGGTCTGTAGCTGTTGTTTTTGACTCAGGCAGTGCTAAACTGCCATCTGGAGACTATTTAATCAAGATGCACCGTGAATGCCCCCTCCCCCTCTTTTTAACCTTTGTGGCTTAATTGTTATCTTTATTTTTTAATTGTATAAAAAGTATAACAAAATAATTTTTAAATTAATACAAAAATATAAACAAATCTACTGTCCATCTTGTGATGACATTTCATTTCACTGTCAATGTGATAGACTAATACATAATTCACTAGAGAATGCCATTCAATTAGCTAGAACAATGGTTCATGATGTAATTTTTCTCATTGTTGAATACTTTAAATTTCTATTTTAAAATATAGAAGTTACTCTTTTACTAATGAATTATTTTCTAATGAATACAATTCTTTATAAATTATTTTTCTATGAATAATATTCAATTCCATTTTTAAAATTTTATTCAATTAATCAATATTTATCCAGCATAATCAAATAGATAATTCCTAATGTCAAGATGCTTATAATCTATTGACAATAGACTATGGATCAATATATGCTTTGTAAAAGGCAAGCAGTTGCCTTTTAATTGTTTATAAACTTTTTTTGTCTGAAATATGTTTTCAATTATAACCCAGTTAAATTGATCTACCTTTTTCATCACGCTTGTGAATTTGGTATCTGATTTAGCATATCTTTCAATATACTGACATATTAGAGATATAATCTACTCCAAAATTAGAAATGAAAAACTAATTTATTACAAAATGTTACAAAAGTAGAATTTTCTAGAGTCACCAGGAAGGTTAGAAAATAAAGTTCTAAGATGTTCCTAGCATTTTCGCGTTCCATCTACATGTCGTGGCTTTACCTGATTTCGATGGCTGCAATTCTCTTTGACCTTGGGAGCCAAAATGCATCACTTTATCCACCATCATTTCTCCTTACTTTTGCCAGTGCTGTGAGAAAGTGAAGCTGTATAGGTAGGGTCATAAATTTTAATCTTTTTTGTGTCTCATGATAATTTTCCACTCTTAGGTTCTAAAAGCTCCAAAGCAGAGTGCAGAGTGACAGAGATGGTTCTCAGAAATATCGAGAATGGGTGAAGTTTATAAGGAAAAAGAGGCACTTAAATGTTTTCCTTTATTTTCTGGAACTCAAAATATATGTTGACTGTTTCAGAGAATATTTTCCACCTGAAACTTTGAAGATGTTCTCTCTGAGTTTCTGCTGTAATGAGCCTTAATAGAGCATTACAGTCAATTTTTATATGTTCGGTGGATTCTGTGGCTGGAAGAAGAGAAAATCGTTGAGGTTTAATTGATTATCTTCAAATTCAACTGGAAAATAATTTCCTTGCTCAGAAGTAATATCATGTGGGAAACAGTAATGATGAACAAAATTCTCAGAAAATCATGTAAGCATATGTATAGGCAAATAAAAATGTAAATAAAGGTTAAGTGTCTACTTCAGTTACAAATATTTGATGGTTCCATAATGAAAAGTTGTCAAGTGTAACCAGCACTCAAGCAATTGGTTAGCTAGTTCTCTTGGAGTATGGTACTATATTGGAGAGCAGGATTGGCTGTTGCAGCTAGTCAAAAGGAACAGCAGCAGAACAGTAGTTTGGCAAGTTTTGCCTGTTGAATTCATTCACAGCCTCTTTTTGTTTCATGATCCCATTTGGAAAGCACTGGTGGATATTTGAGACAATACATTCGCTGACACACACAGGGTAAACTATCTTGTCAATTCGATTATAAAGAGCAATATGAACAGTATGTTTCTTTGAATAATATTTAAATACTCTTATACTCTGAAGTTACTCCACAATTACAAGGGATATATCTTCATATCTCTTCCCTAGATATTGACATCTCCCATTCTTTTCCTGCTCCCAAATCTCTAACTGTGAGGGAGACATTTATTCGACTTCCTAAAATCAGGGAGACTGCATTTGTACTTCAGTATGATGAGCTTTGTCTCAATAAATGTGAAGGAAAAAGAATTGTGCTTTACATCCTGGCTCAGCCCATAATATATTTGATAACATCCATTCATTACCTCCCCCACCCTACTTTTCTCCTAGACCTGAAGTATTTTGCACTAACCTCTGCCAAACACACGAAATGCTTTGATTTCAGTGAGGGATTCAAGGTCAGGGTGGCAGTAAAGCCACTAGATTGAAGGAGTGCTACTTGGGGCAGAGCTGCCCAGGGGCAATGCCTGTTTATGAAGACTCACATTGGGCTAGCATAAGAAGAAATAAACACACATTGTGTTGAATGAGGGATTTTGTAGGCTTTTCTTTTTCTTACAGATGTTAAACTATCCTTAATAGTAGACTAAACAACCAGTCAAACCATTAGCCCTGCCCATGGATGAATCTAGATGTATTTTGCAGACTATTTGTCTTTCCAATTAAATTGGACAGCACTATAGTGCAGACAGTGCTACAATGTCACAGCAGACAATTACATTGTCACAGCATAATGTGCAAGCTCAAAAATGTTTCTTCTTTAATCAGCTAGCCATAGGAATACCCCACAAGTCTTCATGGTATGTGTGCATGTAAATGTAAAAGGGTGTACTCATTATCCTGGTGGAACTGCCAGGCCTCCTCACATATTCCATTTGCATTTGATGATAAAGAGCACTAGAAATATTCCATTTCATAAACAGGTAAATGAAATAGCGTATCAGAGACAATTCATGTTGGTCATTTGTTGTTCTTGATATGTTCTTCATTCTCTGTCAAGGCCATATTTCATGTCACAGCTATTTCTAAAAAATTATACCTTTACTTGCTTAAAAAGACTAGAGTCTCTATGACAGTTGTCTTATAAAGACTTGCCTCAACCTCTATCAGCTTTCTCATCAGCTACATACTCTTCTAGTATCATTGAGTCTCTGGGTGATAAACTTGCACTGCAGCCCAGATCCACTGTAGAGATATTTTTTTCTAGGCATAACTAAGAGTTAACAGAATTTTAATCACCTGTGCGGCAGGTTAAAATGGTTTATATAACTATCACCTATGAGGATGAATACTGGAAAGCATGGATACTTGGGGTCAGCTACCAGACTAGTTATCAGACTACCTACCCTTGTTGAGAATACTATTTCATCTTGAGTTTGACATGATTCTTGTCCTCCAGTGGTATGTTGGAAGTCTGACTTTAGTTAGAAATATACAGATGAGAGGTAGAATTACAAACAGAAATATAATTGAACAGGTAAATCAGACATCAATTTTTAGGGCAGAAAAACTGTTCTGAATTACATGTAATGGTGTATACATGACAGTTTGGATTTGTCAAAACTTCTGTAACTTTGCAGGACAAATAGTGAAGCTTAATGAATGCAGATTAAATAAAAATCATTTAAGAGATCTGAAAATTCCAAAGTGGAATGAGACTGATCTTATTGTTTCACCTAAGATTAAATAGCCTCACCAAAGGAGGTGTGGTAGAGAAAGAGCTGACCTAACTAATTTTGGAAATGAGTAAAGACTGTAACACTAAAGGCAAAAGGAACTAAATACAAACACTCTTTTAGTTGATAAAGTTATTTCTCACAGTGTAAGACTTAACAATTCTGAAATATATGCATACTGAAATTAAACAATTCATAAATGAAAGACAAATAGTGGAAGCCAGGTTTCTCAATGTTAGAGTAAGAGGATTCAGATAAGCAATTAATAAAAGAAAGGAATGATCTATGTGGTAATAAATTTGAGTCAGACCTGTCTCAAGCTCTGCAGTAGGAGGGTGCTTTCTAGCTGAGTCAACTCCATTTAAGCAGGCTTCCCAGAAGTCTGACATAATCTTTTTAATTCTATCTCAGAGGTATGAATTAGTATGTATGACTGTCCTTAGCTGAAAGAAAGGTTTTCATAGAATTTTAGCTATAAACTTTACCATCCACAAATAAATTTGGGGTTCTTTTATTGAAGAAGAAAGCTATAATTTATATTGAGTGATAACAAATACTCTTTGCCAAATCATACAAAAAATACATGTTAAATTTTAAATAAATTTTAAATAGCTTAAATATATAACAATTAAATAATAAAGAACAAAGTGTAGATAAATATAGACTACTATTTTTCTAACTTAGGATTGATCAAATTTTTTTATGTGTAAAAATAAGGATGTTGATCAAGGGATACAAAATTTCAGTTAGATAGGAGAAATTTTAAAATATAAAAACTAACACAAAACAAAGACATAAACATGATTACATAAAATTTCAAGTTTATTCATAGCAAAAATGTTAAAAATTGATAATAACCGCAAATTAGAAAATAATTGAAATATATATAAAAGACAGTGTGCTATTTTAGACAATATGTTAAAGACTTTAGGGATCACTAAGAAAAAAGTATCAAGGGATCTAGCCTGTTAGACTTAGTTCCTGAACCTGACATCACAGAACTCATTAGATTCATTCTGAAAAATGTCATAGTGTTCAGAATTACCTAATGAATGCCAAACTTCTCACTTATAGTGGTTCCTTTTTTGTTATATCACAGTTCATTCATTCATTCATTCATTTATTCAATAAGAATGTATCGAATGCCTGTTATTTGGTTTGGAAAGATGCGTAGAATAGGGAAGGGAGTGTTGAGACAATAAAATAAATGAAAATGGTTTAAGAAATCCTAGTAATATGAAGTCAAATTTTCTCCCACTTTTGAAAAACACAAAAAAAGCACTGACGAAGAACTGAGATCTAGGATAACAAATTTTCCCTACCTGTCATATTCTACTAACTATAGTCATACTATATTGATGTTCTTTAATTATTTCATATATTTAAGTTCTTTTTCTTATCCAGATTTCTTAACTTTTACTCTTCAAAGTCAAGGCCTCTAATCTCTTTTGTTCACTTATGAAAAGAAGAACCAGCTAAAAACCAATACTTTCTTAAAGTAGGTATTTTTCCTTTCTAATTACAGTTTTATAATGGGTGTATCTGGAGTAAGATCAATGACCAAAATTAAATCCTATAAGTAAAAGCTTCATTTATAAACTTTATTTTCTTTTGTTAAAAAAATTCTCTTCAGAAAATGTTGCTATACTATTAAGTTCTTATATGAGGGTCCTCAGTCAAAAACCCAGTCACAGAATAAGATGTCTTTTACATTTTGGTAAAACTTGAATAATGTTATTTTTGAAATAAGAATGGTATATTAATCAATATATTTCCTTTATATTTAAATAATTATATTTGTCAATGATATGATAGAAAAATAATGGATCAATATACATTATGTAGTATAAATAGTCTTTGAGAATAATCATATGTTTCCCAATAAAAACATATAAAGATTTGTCCCCCTGCTAAAGTGCTTTGCAAAATAATGTCAATCTTCAGTTGAAGGGAAAACTGACAAAGTACTTGGGATTAGCTATGTCCTATAATCAGGGAAGTAAGGGTATTACCATTAAGCAAGCAACTAAAAGGTGTTTCATTTTTCTAGAACTATTTAAATATAGCAGTTACCATGTAAAAAGTTAATTTTACTTTGTGAGTTGAAAGAGTACAAACACTAAGTCAGAAAACTGCTTTAGTCAAAAGCAGCCTGAAATAAGAAAGCCATCAATAGAAACAAAACAAGGGATTCACATGCCTGATTCCTAATTTGTCTTATTTTCTCTTTCACTTTTGCCATCCTTCAAATCACAGATACAACACACATACAAAGAATAGTTACATAATGCATATATTAATGACTATACTAATAAATAAATGAGCTAAACTTTATAATCATTGGGGAAAAAACAATCTACTATATTTAGCCACTTAAGAATTGTGTTGCCACTGAGTTTCTATTTCAAAATATAAAGTAATACAATTAGCCTAACACCTAAAACTGCAGGCATATTTTGAGTGTTTGTTCTTTAGATTCCCTTTTAAGATGTTAAAAAGGAACTGTGCAACAAAATATTATCTGAATATATATTATCAGCACTAAATATGATACAGTTGTCATTCAATCCCCAGTTTGCATATGCATAGTAGAAATGTTGTGAAAGCTAGCTAAAGGAATGGAAATAGACTGGTCATAATTCTTAATTTAAGACTAATTCATGATAAAAATCTAGAACACACACAAAAAAGGATAATAATTGTAAAAACCTGCAAAAAAAAAATTAGAAAAATCTGCAATTAAAAAACGGACACCAAGATAAGTCTATAAGTCATGACATTTTTGCTGATTAGGTTCTGCCCTGTCTTTCTCATGCATGTAGTTCACTGCGCAGTGCATATGTCCCACTGACCAGCCCGATTGCGGTCATATGGAGTGTCTCCATCTGAGATAGTTGTTCTGGGACTCTGCTTTTTACCGTAACTGAAAAAGGGAAGGTCTAAAATGCGATTTTTAGCTTCTTGTTAAAACTCAGACTTACTTACTTATTACTTTCCTTTAATGTAGTCCTAAGGAGGAAAAGGTTTTTAGCGGACAAGATGAAAGACATTTCAAAGGGTAGTTTTCCAGTTAAAAGTCAAGTGTACTTAGGTAAAATTCTCACCTCAGGCTTGTTTTCTGCTTAGAAGCTGGAAGAATGAGGCCATTCAGGGATATTATCCCCTTTTCAAAGAAAGGTGTGTGGCCATGTCTCTCATTTTTCATTTTTCATATTCTCTGTCTCTCTTTGCTTCTGACACACACACACACACACATACACCCCTCCTTTATTCCATTGAGGTAAATGTTCCTAGGGCTTCCTCCTACTTTAGATGAAATGCATTCCCAGATCTGCATACCCTATTCTATTGAGCAGAAACCAGGAAAAGAATTGTGATTAAAAAAAAAAAAAAAAGCCATTGAAGCCTATCTAATCGCAGCACATAGTGGAATTATCTGGTATAGACAAAGTAAAGCTTTCTTTGAACTTTGAGGTCAAAGACCCAGCCAATATTTAATTTTTTTAAATATTTTCTTGGGCATTATTCTAAGTGTATGCGTCCAGGAGACCTTGAGATATAGAAAGCTGATTAACAGCAGGATCTAGGCATCCCAGGCTTCCATAATTACAGGTTCCATGTCTCACATTTGACATAGTTCAAGCAGGACTACTAATATATCTGAATTTAAAAAGGCCATTAGGACAATGATTCTCAATTCAGATGACAATATCTTCAGGAGAAACTTTTTCAAACACTTCTCAAATCTTAAGAATTTCATAGGCATTTATTCACAATGTTGCTTCCTTCCCTATCATTGTTTGTCTTAACTGTGTTTAACAGATTTTTCTGTGGGAAATGTGATGCTTGGCTCCCGAAAAATAGTTAAAACTCACTCCTGACCTGGCGCAGTAGCTCACGCCTGTAATCCCAGCACTTTGGGAGGCCAAGGTGGGCGGATCACGAGGTCAGGAGATCGAGACCATCCTGGCTAACACAGTGAAACCCCGTCCCTACTAAATATACAAAAAATTAGCTGGGCGTGGTGGCCGGTGCCTGTAGTCCCAGGTACTCGGGAGGCTGAGGCAAGAGAATGACATGAACCCAGGAGGCGGAGCTTGCAGTGAGCCGACATCGCGCCACTGCACTCCAGCCTGGAAAACAGAGCGAGACTCCTTCTCAAAAAAAAAAAAAAATCACTCTTTTAGGTTTTACAGTTCCACCACTATCAAACCTAGCGGGATATTTATTAATTTAACAAACATATATTTAGTACTACAGTACTATTTCCCTGACACTGCTCTAATGACTTTATAGTATTAATTCATTTAATTTTATAATAATCATAAACAAGTATTATTTGTCATGTTGTGAGGAAACTGAGGCATAAGAGGTTTTTTACTCAAGGCTGCAAAGCTTGTACATGTTTGAACTATATTTTAACTTAGTTTGAATATTTGTGTCTATGTTCTTACCATAAAACTTTGCAATATTCTGAGTGAATGCGCTATGAAGCTTCTATCAGTAACAGTGGGACAGCACAGCATTGCCTTAGATCCTCAAAGTGAAACACAATAGCCACTAGCAACATGTGGCTATCTAAAATTAAATGTGTGTTGATAAAAATAATATGAAACTAGAAATTTCTTCCTCCATCACACTAGCCACATTTCAAGTTTCAATAAGTTACATGTTACCAATGGTTATCATGTGGGAAAGCACACATAAAGAATATTTTTATTATCACAACGTTGAGTACCTCACAACTTAGTTTATCAGCATTTGTGCTGAAAAAGTCTCGAACCAAAGGCAGTCTTTCTGCACTAGAAAGAAGGCTCCTTGGCTAACGCTTCTCAAATTGTAATGTGCATTTAAGTCATGTGAAAATCTTGTTTAGATTCAGATTCTGATTCAGTTATGTCCAGGATGGTGCGTGAGATTTTCCGTTTAAAAAAAAAAAGCTTCAAGTTTTTGCTAATGCTGGTTATCTATAGACAACACTTGGACTTGCAAGATGATGGTCAGAACCTGATTATGGCCTGTAAAAGATTTCTTTTTTCAAGTTTAAGGATCATGTTCCTTGGTGACCCCAGGTTGCAGGAATATCATTGCCTCTGGAGGTCAGAGCTAATTTGGGAGAAAAAAGTATTTTCAGCATCACCTCCAGTTGCCATAAATCCAGAAACAATGTTAGTAATATTTTAGGCCAAGGTAATAGGCCCTAAAAACAGGGAGAGATGGATTGCTCCATCCTCGTACACTGGGACTGTGCAATGATAGGAGTCATAGTTTTTGCTCTATGAGCTCAAGATTTCTTAGTTTCTTTTATTCTCAGTCAGGACTTAGGAACTAGCAAATATAAATCAATGTTGCTACAGTAGGGAAATGAAAAATGACAGAATGGGGTTTTACTTTTCTACCTTTAGAGAAGCATAACCAAAGCCCAGTTAATTTGTAATCTGATGAAAGGTGAGTTTTTGTGAGGAGCTTGGAGGTAGAATGTTGTGCAATCTGATTTGGGATTAAAACCCAGTTGTTGCTCTTCTCACTATTTCCTCACAGAATACCATGCCCTCTGTCTTAGTTCAGAATGCTACATGGACTATCATATACTTGGTGCATTATAAACAACAGAAATCTATTTCTTACAGTTATGAAGGCTGGAAGTCTGGGATTAGTAGGCCAGTGTAGTCCGGTTCTGTTGAGAGCCCTTCTCTGGGTTGCAGAGGGCCGACTTCCTGATGCATCTTCATGTGACAGGAAGAGAGCTAGGGAGCTCATTTTTATAACGGCACTAATCCTATTCATGAAAACACTACCCCCATTACCTAATCTTCTTCCAAGGGTCCCACTTCCTAATACCATCACATTGAGGGTTAGCATTTCAACATGAATTTTGGGAGGACACATTCAGTTAATCATTCTCTCACAGGCCTAAGACCCAGCCAATATTAAGTTTTTATTTTCTTCCTGGGCATGATTCTAAGTGCATGCATCCAGGAGACCTTGAGATATAGAAAGCTGATTAACAGCAGGATCCAGTTGTCCCTGGTTGCCATAATTACAGGCAATAATTATAGATTTTCTTTATCTGTGCTTTTCAATATGGTAGCCATCGGTGACATGTAGCTTAGCGAAAACTTGAAATGTGGCTAGTGTGACAGAGGAAGGAATTTCTGGTTTCATATTATTTTAATCAATACTCATTTAATTTTAGATAGCCACATGTTGCTAGTGGCTATTGTATTGGTCTTTGAGCATCTGAGGCAATGCTGTGCTGTCCCACTGTTACTGATAGAAACTTCGTAGTGCATTCATTCAGTACACTGCACACAAAGTTTGGTAAGAGCACAGACACAAAGGTTCAAACTGAGTTCAAATACAGCTCAATCAAGAAGGAAGGTCTCTCATCAGGAGTCAGATTCAGATATTCCTATGTCCCCTGGCCAAAAACTTTGCCAATGTTAGTCATTATCTCTAATAATTATTGGTTAAGAATATAGGAGATTTATTGCATATAGAATATGGAAGATGTATTGTTTATATACACACATGTGCATTCGTATAAAATGTTGGTAACATTGTTTTTGTAGAAAATATTAATTTCTTTTCAAGTAAAAGCATCCTTTATCTCAGGAAATGTGCTAATTACATAGATGCAATGTGTGTATTTTAAGATATATATATAGAGAGAGAGAGAGAAGGAGGGAAAGAGAGAAAGAGGAATTAATTGTGATAGCCTAAATTTGAGTTCTGAGTAGGTTTATGAAAGTCTACATTCGAAGTATAAAAAAAGGCACAAAAGTCACCCCGAAATCCTCTAATTTTCTCATTCATGCAGTAAAATTAGGAAGTAATTTGCATATTTTAGTGGCCTACAACAGTGCTAAGGTCCTTATTATTATTACCTTAAGCTGAAGAATATTATATTCCAATTACACATTTTTCCCATAAAGGGAATTTTGATCTTGCAGGTAAAAATAATTGCGGTGAGGTGACAAATTTTTTTGGAAAAAATCAGATAATCATTCCTAGCATCACCATCTATTGCTCAGGGCCTAATGCATACTTTTCAGTATGACCATATATCTTAATGGCTTCAACAACAAACTTTATTTTTCTCTTGCAGTTCTGTTTACCAAATGTTGTTCAGCTGTGCCTAACAGATTCAGTTGATATTGACTGAGTTTCCGGACTTCACTCTAGGCTAAAGTTTAGTTTAAGTCAACTTAATTTCTTTCTGCATTCTGAGATCAATAGCTACTTGGGCATGCTCTTATCATGGTGGGAGATGCGATTGCAAGAGCTCAAACCGACCCACACAAGCATATCTGTAACCTCTATTCATACAGTAGTCACAAAGAGTAAATCACATACGTAAAGATGGCATCATTTCAGTGAGAAAGTACCCTCTTCCAGTGGCAGGTGGGGAAGAAGGAAATTTGCTGAATATTAATACATTCTACGACATTTACTGGTTGTCACATCTTCTAAGGGTTGAAGCCACATACTCCTGCCAAACCAAAGGTCAAAAACTGTGAAGAATCTGATGTATGTAAGCAAGTAACTTAGCCTGCTACAATTTAACAGAAGCTAGAAGACTACACCAGACTCCTGGATCAGAGGCAAAAGGCTTCATTACTTACAACATAGCAAGCAGAATTATCTTCATGTTCTCATATGTTCCACATCTGCTGCACAAATGGTGAGTTTATGTTGCAACTGAAGAACCTGAAGCTTCAGAAACCCACAGTTTTTTTAAAATTATACTTTAAGTTCTGGGGTACTTGTGCAGATCTTGCAGGCTTGTTACATATGTATACATGTGCCATGGTGGTTTGCTGCACTTATCAACCCATCATCTACATTAGGTATTTCTCCTAATGCTATCCCTTTCCCAGCCCCCCACCTCCCGACAGGCCCGGTGTGTAATGTTCCCCCCTGCCCCCACATGTCCATGTGTTCTTGTTGTTCAACTCCCACTTATGAGTGAGAACATGCAGTGTTTGGTTTTCTGTTCCTGTGTTAGTTTGCTGAGAATGATGGTTTCCAGCTTCATCCATGTCCCTGCAAAGGACATGAACTCATCCTTTTTTATGGCTGCACAGTATTCCATGGTGTGTATGTGCCACATTTTCTTTATTCAGTCTATCATTGATGGGCATTTGGGTTGGTTCCAAGTCTTTGCTATTGTGAACAGTGCCACAATAAACATATGTGTGCATGTGTCTTTGTAGTAGAATGATTTATAATCCTTTGATTATATACCCAGTAATGGGACTGCTGGGTCAAATGGTATTTCCAGTTCTAGATCCCTGAGGAATCACCACACATTGTCTTCCACAATTGTTGAAATAATTTAACTCCCACCAACAGTGTAAAAGCATTCCTATTTCTCCACATCCTCTCCAGCATCTGTTGCAGAAACCCCCAGTTTTTTAAGGCAGCGGTCACTAATGTTTTTGACACCAGGGACCAGTTTCATGGAAGACAATTTTTCCACAGACTGGAAGCTGAGAGAGAGGGATATTTTCAGAATAAAACTGTTCCACCTCAGATCGTCAGGCATTAGTTAGATTCTCATAAGGAGCATGCAAACTAGGTCCCTCACATACACAGTTCACAATAGGGTTTGCACTCCTATGAGAATCTAATGCTGCCCTAATCTGACAGGAGGCACAGCTCAGGCAGCAGTTCTAACTGGCCTGCTGCTCACCTCCTGCTGTGTGACCTGGTTCCTAACAGGCCACAAATCAATACTGGTCCACAGCCTGTAGGTTGGGGACCCCTGTTTTAAGGGAACTACTAGCAAACCTGACTAAATTTTGCCTGACAGGGAGACATTATCCTCTTCTAGTCAGGAAACAAATGTATGACCTGTTCCAAAGGCAAGCACTATATTTATCCTTCAAAAGTGTATGCTGTGTGAATATGTTTGAGAAGATATTCCAGAACAAAAATTGATACAAGACATGCACTGGAGATTTTGTGCATGTCATTACACAATGTCATAAACATTGCCATACCCTTCAAAAATGACATGGAGATTTTTCTCTCAATAATGAGGAAATTGAAAGGATTTGTATATGTAGGCCTTATATACATGTCCTTAGAAATATCTGTCAATTTGTTGTCATAGTAATGATATATAACATTGATTGTGAATTACCTAATGGCACTCATGACTGAAAACACTTTTCATTAAGTTAGTGCTCATAATAAACCTATGAAATAGATACGTTATTGTCAATAACAAAAGTGAGTCACCAAACAACAATTCTGAAAAGTAGCACAGCTTAAAAGTGATGGTATTGGGATATGAACTTAAGGTGTCTGGCTCCAGAGTCAGTCATTTGAAACTGCTTTTAATAACAACACTTTTGACACTAAATGTTTGTTATTTTATCTCAGACCAACCATTTCTCCAACCATCTGGACACCAACTAGTTCCCCTAAAATTCAATTCACTTCTGACACTAACCAAAAGTTAGTCGAGACCCCACAGGTCAAGGGCTCAATGTATAAGACTGCCTCCACTGCCGACATCGATCTCTACTCCTGTGCCTCCCGTACTTCTAACTGACCAGCTATAAATTGAAAGTTATCACAGCTCCCTCCCAGGAAGCTCTCTGAATCCTGAATTGTATGGAAGTTTCATTACGTGGGCATGAATGATGAAGTCAGTGGCCATTGATGGTTGACTCAACCTCCCATCCTTCTTCCCTCCCTGGAGATCAGAGAGTGGAGGCAAAGTTTCAACTGTTTAATCATGTTTTGGTCTTTCTGGTGACCAGCCCCCATTCAGAAGCTATCTCAGGCCCACCAAGAGTGGCCTCATGTAAAAAAAAAAAAAAAAGACACCCCTGTCACCCAGGAAATTTCAAAGGTTTTCAGCTCTGTGTCAGGAACAGAGGACAAAGACCAAATTTGCATTTCTTTTTATCAAAGTCTTTATGCTTTAAAGACAAAGCTACTTATCCTTGCCTTCTCTAGAGTATGTTTCCTTTGAACATTTGTACAATCAGCAATGGCTCCCTTAAAACCATGGTTGATTGATATTTATGAAAATTTGCTCTTCAGTCTTGACAGCAAATGACACCCATGTTCAAAAAAAGTCTTCCCAAAAGTTCAATTTGTACTTCTAATATTTCCATTGAAACACAAAGTATGCTTCTCAGAGGATACTTTTACAGAAGTAAGGAAAAATATAAAACATTCTACCAATAACAACAAACAGGGCAGGTAATATTAGAGGAACTTTTTATAATTCTTCCTCTGCCAAAATGTCAGTAGGAGTGACCATCTTCCCATGACACAACTTTTATAAAACAACTGCCACACACCATGTCATAGAATTCTTCATTGAGTGACAATTATGTTACTCTGATGTCATTATACTTACACTAGCACCACTCAACTTTACTATAAGCTTTTAAATCAATGAGAAATAACTGAGAGCTAATTTTAATTGTTTGCACACAGCAAACATTAAAGAAATTACTTTAAATCAGGAATCATACCTTATTTCTCACGTACTTTTTCCTCATATCATATTTAGCCTTAGAAAAGAAAGATTTTTATGTTCCATATTTGGTCCTTACAGTTGTCAACACAGTGGCTAAAGATTGACTTTTTTCCATTCTTGTGTATACACAATTTATTTCCACTTTTCTGCTATAAACTCCAAAAATGGATTTATGCACTCAAATATTTGTAATGGGGCACAAAAATATATAGTACTATGTTATCAGAGACCTTAAAAAAAGACAAATAGGACTTGAGCAGTATGAGAGAGATACGCACCTTAGAAAGATATGTAAATTAGAGCTATGGCTCTCCTCTTAAATATATACAAAATAATTTGTGTACCACAGAAAAATAGTGGACCTTCGTTACTTACCTAAAAAAAATATATTGCTTGTCTGAAGAGGAGGATGAAATGAAATGTGTGTTGTTTGATCCATGAAGCTCAGTTCCTTTGAGACCACACCTAATCAAGTAAAAATGTTGGGCAATTCATAAAATAGAATTAACAATTTTTATGGAATTTGTCTGCAAAATACTATGTTTCATTATATGTTAGTTATGTTCTTCAGTGTTTTTTTTCCAATTCATCTTACTTAAAGCATCGTTCCCAAATTTCTGACTTCTAATTGAAAAAATTCCAATACTATGTTTTTCCTATAGAATGACTTCTCAGAGAAATTATCTCCTTTCTCCTTCTACCATACTCTTTTGAGACTAAAACATTACAGCGCCCTTCAAAATATTATATTTAGATTGAATGAATAGTAATCTCATTTTTCCATAGCTTTGGTTTATCATATGTATGAGTAACAGTTGATCAGTTTGGAAGCCAATGGCAGATTTTTCAATTTTGTAATGACACATTTAATATACAACATACGTTTATGTGTATCTGCTACATCTTAAGTAATGTGTTTAGTTATGCTGAAAACAAAAAGGTAACATTAACCAAAAATGCTCTAAACTAAAAATTTTGAACAATTGGCTTTTTTAAATTAATAAAATTAATAAAGTGGTAAATTGAGTGGAATTGCCTCAATAATCAATACAGAGTTTATTAAAGATAAACAAAGTTATATAATTCCATCAGGAACTTGGAGAGTTTTTATTTGCAGAAGTCAAGGAAAGAAAGTGTTTCATGAAGGAAGAACATTATTTTTAACTATTTTTAGATGCTTTTCTTAAGGGAAGCGTTCATAAGGAGTTATAAACGTGTGAACAATTTAGCAATTAATATACTACTTTAAAATTATTTTTATATGCTCTTATTGGGAAGAAAATCTTTCCTGTATTTACAATTATCAAATGTTGCATATTTCTAAACAAATGAGGATATTACTGGGTTTTTTTTTTCTGGCCATATGAATAATTTTGGCACTGTGTATTCACATAAGTTGAAGCACCTACTTTTGCCCATATTATCAGATAATTTTTGTGAGGACAAAGATTTAAAAATACCAAGAAGAGGTTAAAATCAGCACAATATTATTGTCCTTACTGTTAGAACTCTTCTGTACATACTATTATGTGCTAACATACCAGTCAGAGAAATAGCCTTGTGCACAGAAAGTTCATGTTCTAAGTATTACAGTATAGAATTAATCAGTCAGCGGATCGATCATAAGAAGAATAAACCTGCAAGAAGCTATACAGTACTTCCATCCTAAATCTACTTTTCCTTTTAAAGCAACTGAACTTGGCCTCCAGTCACCAAGAAAAGAACTAAATTTATTTCTATACAATAAAAAGATGAAAATACTGTCTACAAAATAAAAGATATGTTCACAAAACAGGGTATGCTGCACTGTATTTGAATTTATATCTAATAAACTATCAGGAAGTTTCTTTTAAAAATTACACTATAATAGAGGAAGGAAATAGTGCATCCTAATCATCAAGGTAAATTTAACTTTCACAGTATATGAATAAAGAATTATTTCATAAAACAGTAAGTGTGCAGATGAAACTCAGTAAATATTTAAAATCACTACTAATATTCACACTAAAAGTTGTATTGTGGCTTACACAATCTTCAGAAGAATGTTTATAAATCAATGTAAAATAAAATAAAGAACAAACAGCAAAATACAGAGTATAACAACTACATATTTATTTTTTCCTAAATATCTTTTATATATCCATAAATATGTCTGCTCAAAAAATCTGAAGATATATTCACTTAATATATATTTTAATTGATGCATACACTATGAAAAACACGGAGGTTAAATGTTCAACTGATTGGTTCTCACAATTGTATACACTTCACATCTATCAATGGAAACAAAGAAATTATGCCAGTCCTCCCAGATAGTTCCTTTATGCCTCTTCCTAGTTAAGCCCCAACCCCCTCACAACAGCAACAACTAGTTGATTTCAATCCTCGTAAATTAGTTTTGCCTGTCTTAGAATTCGTGTAAATGGAATCATACAGTATACTCTCCTTTCTGATTCATTTTATTTTACTCAACATAAACTTTTTGAGATTAAATCTTGTTATTTTGAGTATTAGGAATGTATTTCTTTTTATGTTAGATAAAAGTTATCTTATGAACACACTGAAATGTGCTCATACATTCTTCCTTTGATGAAGATAAGTACTTTTTCTAGCTTTAGGCTACTTTGAACATGGAGTATAAGTTTTCATGTAGGTATATGTTTTATTTCCTCTCGAGTAAATAGGTAGGAGTAGGATTGTTGAGTAAAAACGTAGGCCTTAATGTTGAACTTCATTAAAACCTATGAATTCATTTTCTGAAAACTTGTGCCATTTTATCCTTCCATCATCAATATTTTATTGGTTTTTGTTCCATAGTCTCATCAATATTTTGTTTAGTTTGTGTTTTTTGTTTGTTTTAGGTATTCTATTGAATGTATAGTAGTATCTAAATGTGCTTTTGAATTGGGTTCTTTAATGGCTAATTTTTGAAGCACGTCTTAATAAAGGGACCACTCAAATATTTAAACACTTACAAACTGAATTGTTTGCGAAATAGAGTTATTTATATATTCCAAATGCATATCTTCTTTCATTGAGGTACATGGCAAATAATTATTTCTAGCCTATGTTTTGCTTATTTATTTTGTAAATTTTGTTATTTGGTGAGCTGAGGTTTATTTATATTTATTATAGCTCAATTTATATATATTTTTCTTTTATGGTTATTGCTTCCTAGGTCCTGCCAAAATATTTTTTAACTTCAATTTTACAAAGTAATTTTCTTATGTTTTCTTCTAGAAATGTTGAGTCTCTATCACATTGAAATTTCTGGTCAATTAATAATTAATTTTGTGTATAGAGTGAGGCAGGTAAAAGGTGTTTTATTTTTCACATATTTATCTAACTATTTCAACATCATTTGCTGAAGTGGAATCCCTTTACCATTTAATTGACTTTATGTCTTAAAAAAATTAATTGATCTAATGTGTATGTTCCTGGAATACCAGTTTTTTGTTTCTTTACATTATTTGTATATTATTATGTCAATAGCACTGTGTTCTGACAAAAATGCTTTGAAATGTAAGGTAGTGTAAATATTTCAACTTTGCTTTTCTTTTTCTCAAAATATTTTGTATTATTCTATGTCTTTTGCCTTTCATATAAATTTTAGTATATTCCTGTCCATTTTTACTTTTTAAAACCACTTGAATTAAGGTTGTGATTGTACTAAATATATAGTTCAGTTTGGTAAAAATTGACATCCTAGTAATATCATTTTTTAATATCTACTGATTTTAGGATATCTATTTACTTAATCTTTAACATCTTTGAGTAATGTTTTATCATTTTCCATAAAGTAATTTTTCATACTTTGGATTAGATATTTTTCCTAGGTACTAGATTTTGTCTTGGTGATATTGTAACTAGTATAAATTAAAATACTGTGTTTTTCAATTGTTAATTGATACTATGTAGAAATTTATTTTATTTTTCTATTTCAAAACTGTTATGTCTTTCTACCTTGCTGAACTGGTGTATAAATTCAAGTAATGTTAGGTGGAATCGACAGGATTTTCTACTTATAAAATCCTATTATCTGTGAATAAAAGCAGCTATTCTCTATTCTTCTGCTTTTTAAAAACAATGTCATTATGATATAATTTAATATCACAATGTTCACTCATTTAAGTGCATAAAAGTTTTTAGAATATTTATACAATTGTGCAACCATCACCATAATATAATTTTAACACAAATCTCTTTAAAATTATATGCCTTTTATATATTTTTATTACACTATTGCACTAAGATTTATGGTAAAACACTTATTAGAAGTAGTGAGAACAGACATCCTTGATTTGTACCTGATAATAGGAAAAAAGAGTTTAATCTCTACTATTAAGTATACTATGGGCTGTAGTATTTATTTTTAATATTTTATAAGGTTTTTCATGTATGTATTTTGAGACTTTACATTTCAATAATCTTAAACCTTATCTTTTTAAAACTTTTAAAAATTACTTACCAACTTTAAGAAGAAACTCATTTTGCTCATCTTTTTTAAGATGGGGCTATAATTTTATCATTGACTATAAAAACACAAAAAACAAAACTGCATACAATTATAAACTAAACTTCGTATACAAATTTTTATACCAATGTATGCATAGAAATATATTTAAATAATGTATGATGAAAAGGTAATATTACAGATGGGCCAATAATGGAAAACAAGGGTTCCTTGTCTCTCATAGCACCTAGTTTATAAATTTACAAAAATTGTTTTTAATTATTAAAGAGTACAGTATTTTACTTAATTTGCATCCCTAAACTTTATGTTTATATCACTATGTCTGATCAGCTTTAGGCATTTTCAATTAATTCCCTGATATCTGAGGGTTGGTCAAAAACCATCTCTTTCTTTCATCTTAATAGTATTGTTATGACTTTTAAGTTATTTCATGTTTTTTCTGTAATTACAAAATATTGAATATTTGGTTTTTTATTATTTCTTGAAAGTATATCTGGTCAACTTACTTTGTAAGGTTAATATTTACCTTTTATTTGCTGCCTCCCTTCTCAACTGCAAATGCAGTTATTCCTATTTTTACTTTTACACGGTCAAGTATTTGTTACATCTTTATAAATATCACTAATTTCACAAACATGTAGTGTGCTATGATTGCATTTTTTTCTGATATTTTTTCTGATATTTTGTGTTTCCTGAAATTTTAAATTCTCATTTTAAAAAATTAGAATTAACATATTTATCATCTTCTTAAGTCAGCCTATACTTTCAATGATGATATAAACATCTCTGTACCTCTCTTACTTCTTGATTCTTGTTTCATGGTACACTAAATACTGTTTCTAGCAGAAGCAATTATTTTTGTAATTCATACATATTTCTTATGGATTCCTTTCCCATATTTTGCACCTTCTTCTTCCTTGGTTTACCCTTACATTTTACAAAGAACATCTTTGTGATGGTTAATTTTATGTGTCAACTTGACTGGGAGACAGAGTGTCAGATATTTGGTTATACATTATATCTGAATAGTCTAAGATGTGTTTCTGAAATAGATTAACATTTGAATCAGTAGACTCAGTAGAAAAGATGGCCCTCTCCAATGTGGATTGGCATTATCCAATCCACTGAGGCCCTGAACAGAGCTAAAATGCGGATGAAATGAGAATTCTCTCTTTACCTGAGTTCTTAAGCTGGGACATCAGTCTTCTGTTTTGCACTGGAACTTACACCACTGGTGTTCCTAGTTCTCAGATCTTCAGAGACAGACTGGAACTACACCACCAGCTTTCCAGGGTCTTCAGCTTGCTGGCAGATTGAGGAACTTTTCAGCCTCCATAGTTACGTGAGCCAATTCGTTACAATAAAATTGTGTGTGTGTATGTGTGTGTGTGTGTGTCTGTGTGTGTGTGTATGTCTGTATATGAGACCTATTGGTTATGTTTCTCTAGAGAACTGCAACTAATGCCATCCTTAAGAAATTTTCTAATAGTGTGTGGGTGTGTAGGGGGTAAAATTTCTGAGACCTTTCATGTCTGAAAATGTAATTCATTTTTCCTTACATTTGATTAATAGCTTAGTTGAGTAAAAACCAAAATTAATTTCCTTCAGCCTATTGAATTCATTACATAATTGCATACGAAGTTCCTGAAGATCATTCCTTTTATATTGTCCTTTTTATTTTTTATCTTTTGATACTTTTGGTATTTATTATCGATGTTCTAAAAAGGTACAATGTGTCAATATGCAGGTATAATTTAATTCATTGGGCTAGGTATTTACTGAGTTCATTATAGTCTGATACTCCCATCTTTCCATTTTAGGAATTGCTTTTACTATGTTTGAAAATATCATCACCTTGACATCTGTTCATTTCTACCTAGAAACCATACAAGTCAAAAGTTAGACTTCTTAAACTATATCTTCATGTTTCCTATCTTTGGTTTCATATATTTCTCCCTGTTCTTCCCTCCTTTTAGAGATATTTCATCAACATTAACAATATATTTTACTAGAATTTTAATTTAAAAGAAAATATGTTTATAGATTTATTATTTGTTTTTAATCTATTCTTTACTCATTTACAGATATGATGGTTTCATTACCTACAAGAATATCTTAAGGTTTCTTTATTTTTTAGATTTTCTGTAGATGTTTTAGTGTATTTTAAATTATGTGCTTTATATTCCAAGCATTCATCAAATACCTTGTGATTCTGCTCATAATTAAGAATGAGTTAGTAAAGATGGTGCAAACGTGTTTTTATAAGGCTGGCCAAGAGATCTTCATTTATAATATTTCTATATTATTATTTATGAACTTGGTAGAAATAATATCTTGCCATTATGGACATGAATTATTAATTTTTAAATGGTCAGTTTTCCTTCTATAAGATAAAACAGATAGTAATAAGGATATAAATAAAGAATTTTATGACCATGTTTTCCACAGTCTGCTATTTACATTTTTATTCAAAAATACTAATAAATATTAATGCATACCCAGTCTACATACATGGCTACTGTTAGAGTTTTTAATTATTCACATATACTCTACTTCTGTGGACTCTATATCTCTAAATGCTTAATGTCTTGAGTGCTGCTGCTGTCAGTATACTTCAATGTTTAAAAATGAATTTACATTAAAATGTGATAAAATGTCTGGAACAAAACCTATCTGGTCTAGTCACTAATTTCTAAAAATTTCTAAGTAACAATGACTTTAAAATTACTGAATATTGTTTGTATGCCAGATATGCTTAGTGTTTTATATTGGTTATCTCAGTGTATTTTTTTTGTACTAGAACTGAAGTTAGGAAGTATTATTTTCACTTAATATGCAAAAACTGAATCTTAGGCAGATTATAAAACATGTTCCAGATTATCAAGCAGATGAAAACATCAAAGCAAATTTGGAACACAAGATACCAGTTTCTGCAATTCCTGCTCAAAATAGAATACCACACTATATTAAAATGTATTAAATTCAAGAAACAACTTTTAAATTAACTTATAATTAGTTTTTGATAAAATTATATATGTCATGTGAACTGATAAGGGTATGTAATTCTTAATTTATATGCAATAAAATGTATTTTTAAATGACAAATAGAAAAAATATAAAGCATATTTATTAGTTTTTAATCTTCTCGTTGAAAGTATAATTTTGCATTTAATTATTTTGATTATGAACTCTGTTGACAATCTTTCTGTCATTTATCCATTTTCAAACACATACCAATGAACAACATAAATATAAAGCAATCAAAACATTTTATTTAAAAACAAGAAAGCTATACAGTTACCAAACATGGACTAAATACGTGTTTCTATTACTGAGAAAAAAAAATAATGTGAGATTAAAGTAGTCATAAAAAGAATAGGAATATATTCACAAACTTACATAGAAAAGCCATCAGTTTTTGTTCATTAAAATAATAGTAATAAATTTTGAAAAAGCATTATTAAAAATTTTTTACTCAATCTTGTGCTGAAAACATTCACATTCATAATATCTACTTTTCCATGGAATTGTAAATATATGTATGGAAAAATAAAGCAATGGATCAGTTTAGGAACTGGATGCAGAACACAGTCTTATTGGCATTTTTGATTGCATAACTCCTAGAAGGTTGCTTTAGAGAAGAAAGTTTTCTGCCAGTGATATGTCATGCAGAAAAAGGAAGCTCCCACTGTAAAATGCTCATCCTTTTCTGCATTCATTATATCCTGAGATTGTTGAATTTTTCAGGGTTTAATTTTCCTATTTCCACTCAAACTATGCTCTTTTTGGTCTTGCAGCCACATTAGCAGGCCCAGCTTCACACTCTTCATGCTGGCAGGGAGGTTGAAAATATTGTTGCTAAGCAACTGGATGCGGCACATTGGAACTCTGTTTTTTTCTGATGAAAGTGACAGGAGAAAGATAGCGACATCAATAGCTTTCTGATTTTTTTTTTAACTTAACAGCCGCAGTGAAAAGAGAAGATGATAGGGACAAAGAAAGAAAAAATCAGAGAGAAGATCTGGATATAAAGAAAAGAACTGTGAAAGGGATCCTAAGAGAAGATTTGATTCACATAAATTGATGGAAAAATATTAGAAACAAATCCAAAACATTAATGAGAATCGTGTATGTAGAAACTTTATTTTTTATATAAATTGTATGCGCTACCAAGGAAGAAAACTAAAAATGAAATACAAAGTCTTGATCTTGAAATTGAATGAATTAGTAAATTGAAACTGTTCTAACCTTTTCAGATCCCATCTTTTTTCTCTTATATTATCCTTCCAGATATAATTTCTATCTCAGAATCAGAAAACATATCTGCAGTGAAAATTTTTGGCCTTTAAAATTTACCAGTTAGTACTAAATGAGACCCTAAAGGAATAATGAAAAGGTAATAGGGATAGATAGCTTTGAATCTCTCCAAAGAATTGAAAATCTGCACTCTTACTCAGCTTAATGAAGAGACCATCTAAGCAATACTGTATCAGAAGAAAGAAAAGAGAAGCCTTTGAATGGTTTTGAATAAAATTGGACATGTACTGAACTGCAGAAAATGCAGACATGATAGTGACAATAGATAGATGGCTTTTCTTTCATTTCAACTCGAATGGTTGTAATTTTAAGCCAAAGTTACAAAAAATTGGTGTAAATATCACTAACAGAGAGATAGTAAGAAAATAAAGAGCTACAAATGTATTCATTTACGATGTCTCAGATATTTTTGATTCCAGGTTTAAAATTATGTGTCATTTAACGTCATCTTCAGTTTACTCCTCTGTAAAATGGCAAGAGCATTTAATTTTTAGGGTTTGAGGTTTAGATGAAATAACTTATTAAACATCTACCATATCCCCTGTTTTTCCCTCCGCCAAGAAATATAGTATATTCACTATATATATATCATATAAAGTAAAATACTGGCTATGAAACATGCCCAGTTTTATTACTTTTGAACCTCAGTATTGTTATACACCTAACACTGATGGCTGAGCTAAGCAACTAAGAGGTACTATTGATTGATAATCTCAAGCTATAATTTTTCAATGAAAAAGGTTTTTCCTCTTTCTCCTTTGGAGAAAAAATAGAGAAGATAGGAGGCTGAGCTAAAATTTTCATTTATGAAATACTATATTTGCCAACTCCTCTGCTTTTAAATGTCTGGATTGTACAGGTGGTTTGGGGACTTCATTTATTTTGATTAGTCTAGCTTTATCCTGAAATGGTTATTGGTCCATGTGTATGATAAGGTAAAAGAAAATTAGAATCCTAAGAAAGAAAATAACAAACCACTGATTCCATTCCGATTATCTTTGTGGCTTGTGTTAGCATTGATTGTTTCTTGCCATGATATTGTATGTTCCTGGGACTCCACTGCAACCACTAAATAAAGAGTGAACGGAATTAGGATAATCTGATTCTGGAAGCCAGATACTTTGATTGATGGCTTGTCATACTATTATAAATAAGCAATTTGCCAAACTCTTCTAGTTACAGATTAGAAATATACAATGATCAAAAAGAGAATAGAAATGGGGCTGGTACATGTGGATAAAATAAAACTAGCAGAGTGTGAATCATTTAACATTATTTCTGAAATTATTTATAATTATACAATTCAGTATGCTAACAATTTAGAAATAAGCTTTTAAAAATATTTACTATAACTACAAAAAGAAATCTTGGGCATAGACTCTGTTTTCAGCAGGCTATTATTTTCTGCTTTCTAAATCTGTTTTGTTTCAATTTGTTTTACTTTATGTCGGTAGCTTGTTGATTCTCCCTCCAGCCCCCAAATCCAAGAGCAATGTTTTTTTCATTCATTTAAACACCATTGTGTTTAAACTCATTTAATTATCTTATTCCCTCTAGAAATAGTTACTATCATTAGTAACTACTGATAGATAAGTTGTTAGATAGATAGTTGATATATAAGTTAGATGGATAGATGTTAGATAGATAGTTAGATAGAGAGTTGATAGATAAGTAACTGAGAAAGTAACTCCTCCAAAGTCTCAGTAAAAGGAAAAAAGCCACTTCAAGCATCTGTCTGCCCACCTTCTGCCCAAACACGTTTTTCACCATGCTAAATATCAAGTTAAGGAGGTGCCATAACTTGCATTTTGTGAATATCACACAATTCTTTTTGAATTCTCAATGATGTTTATGTTTGACTTCTATTCATTTCGACTTAATAAAATATTCAAGGGGTTGGGTTAGAATTTTAGCAATACCAATATCAGCTATTTATTTTTTTTAAGTAACTGCTCTATTCTGTTAATTAAGGTTAATATAAGGTCACTTAGTGATAAGGTAAAAAGTGAGAGTGCCTGGCTCTGTACTTGGAACATAGTATGCACTCTATTTTATTCCTGTTTTCCTAAGATACAGTGAATAAAGGGTTTCTTTGCATAAGTTGTTCAAATCTTTGGGATGATGAAGAGGAATGTGCATTAGCATGAGTCCCTAATTTTGAGTAACTGCGTAGTTTGCAAAGGACAATAAAGTTAAATACAAATAAGTAAAAGAGAGTGCTATCAAGTTATAACTCTTAAAAGTATGGAAAACTGAGAATAGAGATCTGGGAGGATGGTGGAAAATGATGAAGGGAGGTCTTTATGGAAGAAGCCAAAATGAATTGAAATTTTATAGCTGAGTATTTACTACCGAAATTCCTTTCATAAATGCTTGCTTGCCTTTCTTCCCTCCCTGATTTCTTACTTCTTTTCCTTCTTTGCTTTGCCTTTCTTTCCATCCACTTATCCTTTGGGTTTCTGGTATATCACATTATGTCAGATACATTCTTAGGTGACCCCAATATGTTATAAACTATGTGATCCCCTCTTCTGAGTACAGCTGGTACCTGTGACTTCCTTCTGGCCAATAGGATAGAGTAGAGGTGAAGAAAGTTTGAAAATTTCATTAAGGTTTCATATCAGTTGATTTTAAGATAAAAAAGGAAAAAAAAAAAGAGGAAGAATTGTCCTGGTTGAGCCTGTCTTAATTGAGGGAAAAATCCTTATAAAGGACTCCTACCTGAGGGCAGAGACTTTCTCAGTTGCTACGTTTGAAGAAACAAGCAACCATGTATTCTACAGACAACATGAGGGAGCTTGGAAGAGTAGCTTTTCCCAGGTGAACCTTAATGAGAATGTACCTTGCCTGACGCGCTATTACAGCACAACGATCCAGTTAAGCTGTGCCAGGATTTGTGACCCGCAGATCTGTGAGACAATAAACTGGTATTTTAAGCTGCTAAATTTGGGATGCTCTGTTACATAGTTACAGAAATTAATATACTTTTAAACAAACCATAGTCTTATCTATGCAACGTACTTCATCTCTCAAACAAATCATTCTTGAACTTTCTGCCTTTCCTCCACCCTCTCTCTCCTCCTCCTCACTCCCCTTCTTTCCCACTCTCATATACACACAAGCAAACAAGAAAAAACACAGATGTCTTAAGTCACATTGGAAACCACATAAATAAGCACTTACTTTAAAATAATCAAACGCTATTTATTTTTATTCCTAAGCTTCAAATTTGTATTACATTTACATTGTTACCTAAAAATCTAACTCACATTTTAGCACTATTTATCTATGTTCATTTTATACCTGGGGAAGAGTTAGAGTTCAAAAATCAAAATTCTCCTGAATCTTAATATTCGAATCATTTTTGAACCTAGCATACACCCCACACAAAGAAAATGTACTTTATCATAATTGGACATGTAATTACTTGCCAAATTAAAAATACATATTTTGTTTATTCTAATTAAAAATAGTGACCAATAAAGGACCATTTGTACCTTTAGTAAAGGCTGAAAGAAGTTTCACAATATAAGTATTTGTTATTCTTTCAGCGTCCTTTTTTAAAGTCGTTTGGTCTCCTTTTCACTCAAGGAGTCCTGGGACTGTGAACTGACTCAAGTCTGAGACTGCACTGGGGCTGTGAGTATTCTGTGTGATTCAGTCAGATTTCTGTTCACTAGGCCTAGAGTTTTCCTGCTTAAACAGATCAATTTGGACTCTGATAGGCTGCCCAACTATTTCAGTTCTAGGAACTCTATTGTCAGCTAGCCAAAGCCAACCACCTCTGAAAGTAAGATTATTCTAAATGCTGCTTTGCTTTGTGAAAGTAAAAGAAGACCAAACAAACGAGAAAAACAAAGCCTGTTTACTCAGAACTTGCTGCAGCAAGAGAGCCACCAACTGTCACTTCCATTTTGGCAGAGATGCAAATACAGGCAGAAGAGTGGAAAAGCTTTATAGTTGCAGAAAGGGAAGACTTCAGATATGCCCTGGTTGGAGGCTATTGGCATGAGGATGCTATAGGGCTAACTAGAAGTGTGGTATCCTATGGGATTGGTTACGGGTGCATAATTGGTTTTCTCTGGTTGGTCCTAAGTTGGAAGCAGGAACAAAAATTAGGGAAGCTGTCAGTTATTGATCAATTCTTGAACATTTTCAGGTTCATTGCTCAAGAATGTATTGTTTAGTTTCCTGGATTATCATTAGCGATAATGAGCTGGCTTCCTGAAAGTCTGATTTACAGCAGGTTGCTTCTTGGGCTGCCTATTACAGATAAGGGGCTGGTTTCCTGGGCAGCTTGCTACAGGTTTTAGATCAGAGTTCTGTTTTTGTATATGATCTGGCCATAGTCCATTTGTATGTTCAGTCTCTTAGCATCATTGTGCCTTATGTTATCTAAGCTCTCTTTTCCTTGATGATTAATTGTTGCCAGTTTGTCTCTGATACTCCAGAATTCCACCATTCCCGTTTTATTTGGGAATCTCAGTGTAATAGCAGATCCCACTGTAATTCTGGGCCTACAAAAAAAGTCACCGCAGAGCTGTTCTAGATTGCTCCGGATGCCTTCATAAATTTCTCACAGCCTTGGTGAAATGAATGCTCTCTAGACCTTCCCAAGGGACATAGTGAGGGGGTATGTTTAGGTCTTCCATGATAAATCCACTCCAGCGTTCCAATCTCCCTATTTCTTTGGATGACTTCCTGAATACCTTCTGAAATTTTAATTTCAACTGTTGCAGGTCAATCTTGAGTGGAGAATTCCATCAACCAGACAAGCAAACTGCTAGAACCATTACCAGCATGGCCACTCTATCCAGAATCTATGCTCATGATCCAATAAATGTATTCTGATTCATCTTATGTTCTTTATACTTTGTTCGCATATCCCCTGGTTTTTGTCACTATAAATTGGCAAAATTATGCAACTCTCTTGTTATATAGCACATCTTCCCAAAGGGCCCATTTTGTCACTCTTCATGACCTGATGGGAATTGAGTCTATGTACAGATTTATAAGTAGGTCTAGAAGCAGGAAAATGTGGTGAAGATAGATTCGGAGGAGGAGTAGCAATTTCCTGTAAGGTAACTACCATTAATGAGACCATTATGGGTTCTTCAGACAAGCTGAGAGTACCCTCCATATGGAAGGGATGGAAGAGCTGCTTCTGCTACCAGAAGTTCAGTGGGACGAAAGAGTTCAAAGTCTAAGATCCATTGAATCAGTGCGTAAGACTGATGTTCCAATGTTCAAGATTTCATTCTTCCCTAATAAATGCTTTAGTTGCAACCAAAGATATGCTGCATGTTTGGGAATATAATTTGCATTATTATTCAGCCACCTGCAAGATTAGATTTTAGATTTTGTTTTCAGAAATCTCACCTTTGTGGCTACAGAAAATAAGTGTTTCTTTTAGAGCAGTCAAAGAGGCTTTTAGGTCCTTTATGTGGACTTTAAAGTGAGAACTTAGCATATTCTTTCCACATGCTCTCTGGTGCATTCATGATGAGACATGCTATAACCCTATATTTGCAAGCATATTCTATAGCAACACATGCTTTGTTACAAAAAAAAAAAATTACCTTCTGTAGGCACTTGCACTATCTACAGTGGGTAATTCACATAACCGTCCTGCCACTGCATGTCATGGACTACCATTAATCACCTTCATCACTGGAAAGAAAGATTTAATACTTTTAAATCTAAACAGATCACTTCCAGAAAATGCAAAATGAATTCAGAGAACGTGTTGCTAAGATTCAGTTCTGTCAGCATCACTCTCAATATCAAATTGTGTATAACTTAGAGTCCAACAAAAGAAGCAAAACCATTCTTATATGTTAGGTGAGAAATGTATTGCAGGGATTTAACATTATGCAATTGTGTCATCTGGTTAAACAAACTCGTTAAGGCTGTTGTTTTTGTGTGTAAAGCTGAAGTTGAAAGGACAGGAAATGAGGTTGTGAAGAAGAGGGAAGCAAAGACCAGGTTAATCCCATAAACATGTGGGATCTACGGCATGAGCAGGCTTGAATCCACAGTGAGAGACTAGAAATTCCTATCAGTTCTTACCATTTCTGATTTTGTTGGGTGTCCTGAAAGAGAAGTTGGCATCTGTCTTTACAGCACTAAACACACATCTGGTCGAAGAGTTAAAGTAGCTGAAAGAGGTGAAACAATTGTTGGCCCAAAGTTTCAAAACCCACACTATCCAATATGCTAATCACTAGTCACATGTGGCTATTGAGGACTTAAAATGTAGCCAGTCTGAATTAAGACACATTGTAAGTATAAAATGCACACTGGATTTCAAAACCTTAGGACAAAAACAATAACAAAAAAGAATGTAAAATATTTCATTAGTAATTTTTAATAATGAGTGTATGTTAAACTGATAGATTAGATATTATTGGTTGAATAAAGTGTATAATATTAATTTCATCTCTATTTTAGTATTTTTAAATGTTTATATGAGAAAAAACTGACATGTATTTGACTTCTGTTTTATTTATACTGAACAGCATAATTCTAGACTTTAAAGGTGAAATTTCTATTATCTATAAAATGAATTCTAGTGAATTTCTTGTGAATGAATCACCATACCCAAGTTCTAACAGTTTTTAGTGGTACTTCTTCAAGAAATTTCCTTTAAAAGGTTTATTTAGTATTGAGTTGAAATTAATATTTATATATTTTCACAAATTCTATACGGCATTTTTTTTTTGCTCATTTCATTTTAACATTGGCCAATTATACAAATATGTCATGGAGTTATTTATAGAGCACTTATTAATGCAGATAATGTTTATTATTTTATTCATGTTAGACTGTCCTAGAAATTGCTATCTTTAAAATTTTATTATGACCTTGCTTCAAGATCCCCAAGGTATGGTGTTATATCTAGAGTTTCAATATAAAGCTATTAAGGTATAAATTTCATTCCTTGTCATTCAAATATTTCTTTTAATTTGACTCAAAATTTATGACTTTCAAATTTGATCAGATGGCTGAAATCATTTCTTATCCTCCACTGAACTTAATATGGAATTGAATGAATTTCTCTTTCTTTCTCAGGCAGATTGGTTTATAACCCAATACCAAAGCTCTTCAAATTTAAATTTTGCCCAGAAAATAGTCTTAGGTAAAGAGGGAATAATGTAAAAAGTATCATACGTATGTAGTGAAAACATTGAGTGTTTTAAAATTATTCTAGTACTGGATAGAGATGAAAATATAAACAAATAATCTTGACCAGTAATAAGGTAATTATTCTGGAAAACAAAATGATTGCTGAGTTTTACTTTTGTGTAATTTTTTTTTGCTTTTCTAATTACCTTTACATATTTTCAAAAAATAATTCACTTTAAAAACAGCATTACAAAAGGAGATAGGCATAATAATCAACAACAAACAATAATATTTACATAAGACAGGCATTCTTCAAAAGAGTGTATATGTATCACTCATTTAATCCCCATAGCAATTTTAGATGTTATTGTTATCTCTATTTTACAGATGAAGGAATTAATGAGCAGGAAAGAAAAATAATTTGCTAGAACTTCCCTCGCTGTAAGTGGCGGAGCTAGGTTTGAACTAGGCAATTTAACCTCATTGACCATGTTCTTAACTCCAATAATTGAATAGAGAATGCTAGGTGACTTACTACAAACCTTATGACTTTAGATGTGACCAGGACAATTCAGGTTATCTGATTTCTAGTTTGTTATTCTTTCTATTACTCAGAAAATCTACAGTGAGGCAGTATAAAAGGAAGAACAAAGAAACGGGAAGGAGGAAACAAGGAAGAAACAAAACCATAAAGTATCTGAAGAGTACAATATGATTACTATGCAAGTGTTTTAAATTTTTAATTTTTCAACTTTACTACTTCTTAAATTCTTCATATGAATTCTCTCCCACACCTTTAAACTGACTGAAACTTGATAAATTCCTGCTTGCATTGCAGTAGTCTCACATTCCCTAAAACTGTGCTTTTATTTAAACCTAGTAATTATACTATGAACCAATCTAATCAATCCTAAACTAAATCAAACAATCCTATTATATGGTTAGGTTGAATTTTACATTTTATACAGTATGTTGAGAAGATGTGCTTTGACATTACATTTGCAACTTCATATCTGTATGGTGCTGTAGAATGGTCCCATAAAAAGAGCAGAATGATGACTGGAAATTACATTTCTAAAACATTAGCTGGAAATATGTCAAATCTATCCAAACTTTTCTATATACTTAAATTGATCACATTTAAAACCACAGTAATTATGTGTGTGTATGAATATGTATTTGTGTGTATGGATATTAACAGGCTCCTTCTAAAATGTATTTGGTAATGAAATGGACCAAGAGCTCAGATAACCCCAGATTATCTTGATAAAGATGAACAACGTTAATAGATTTAAATTATGTGATAATTAAGAATTTTTATATGGCTAAAGCAATACAGATAGGGTATGTTTGGGCTAAAGGTTGTGCAAATAGACCAATGAGACAGATTAGAGTCCAGAAATAGACCCACATGCATATAGTAATGTCACTTTTGGGAAAGGCAACCCTGCAATGAAACGATGGTCTTTTTAATAAATATGTTGGGTCAATTAACTATTCATATAGGAAATAAAATAAGCCTTAGATCTTAATTCACTTTATAAACAAAAATTAATTTCAGGTAAATTTTAGGCACACATTTAAAAATAATAGTAAACTTCTAAGAGAATATCTTAAATACCTTAGAAAAAGCAAAGATTTCTTAAACTGGACATAAAACCATTAACCATAGAGCACAAACAAGATGAATTATTCAGAGTTAAATTGTCCATAAGCTATATATATGAAATATAGTTTCTCAAGACTAGTCAAGCGTATATAAAATGTCATAAAATGAATTTTTTAAAAGTTAATGCTACTATATTTTAAAAAGTAACAAAAGCCTTGTAAAGGTAATTTACAAAAGATAATACCCAAAGGCATTGTGCATTCTCCCAATGCCTTTTTCATAAACACATGAAAGATTAACTCATCAGGAAAGTGTAAAGCCATTAAATGATATCACCATGCATCCAACAGAAATACTAACAACAACAACAGTATTGACAATTGTTGTTGAAGATGTGGAGAAACTAGCATTCTCATATGATGCTGGTGGGAATATAAACTGATACAACTTTGGAAAACTCTTTGGAAATGTATACTATATCTGAAAATGTGTATATTCTATTACACAACAATTCTATATCTAGTACATATTCAGGAGAAATGTGTACAGGTATATGTCACTTAATAACAGGGATATGTTCTGAGAAATGCATCATTAGGCGATTTTGTCATTGTGTGGACATCATAAGGTGTACTTACACAAACCTAGACGCATAGCTTACTACACAATTAGTCTATAAGGCATATGAATACTGTAGGCAATTGTAACACAATAATATTTGTGTATCTAAACATACTAAATATAGAAAAGGTATAGTCAAAATGGCATTATAATCTTTTGGGACCACTTTTGTATATGCTATCCATAATTGATCAAAATTTCCTTATGCAATGCGTGGCTGTATTTATATTTGTACGTGAAAATAGATATATAGAAATGTTTATATCAGTAATATTTGTAAAAGCCCCCAAACCAGGAAAAACAAACTACTATTACATTTAACAATTGAGAAGAATCTCACAAATAAGATGAGCAAAATAAGCCCATTGCAAAATAATATATACTGATGATTTCATTTATATAAATCTCAAAAGAAAGCAATAAATCCAGCAATGGAAGTCATAATACTGGTTATCTTTTAGGGATAATGATAAACATGAGGAAGTTATATGGGGTGCTGATAATGTTCCATTGTTTTGTCTGTGAGTGTGTGTGTTTTAAAAAGTATCCCTGGGCCAGGCCCGATGGCTGCAATCCCACCACTTTGGGAGGCTGAAGCGAGAGAATAACTTGAGGCCAGGAGTTGGAGACCAGTCAGGAAAATATGCTGAAACCCCATCTATACTAAAAATACAAAAATTAGCCAGGTGGTGGCATGCACCTGTAATCCCAGCTACTCGGGAGACTGAGGCAACAGAATCACTTGAGCCCTGGAGGTGAAGGCGGCAGTGAGCCTAGATCATGCACTGCACTCCAGCCTGGGTGACAGAGCAAGGCTCCATCTCAAAATAAAATAAAAATAGAATAAAATAAAATAAATTAAATAAATAAATAAAAATAAAAATAATATGCTAATATTCTCTATCCCTGTACTTTTCGTTATGCTAAGAAGTCACTTGGGCCCTTTTTTTCTCTTGTCTAGTCATTTTCTTTGCCATTTCTTGAAATTTCCTTCTGAAAAAAAAGAAAAAAAAGGAAAAACATAAAATGAGCTATTAGATGATGACACAATATCTCCAACTATGTTTTTTAGAATTATTTTAGGCAAGTGTGTTGCAAAATTTTAAAAATAAAAACCTGAAAGTAACAACATTATTGAAAACAATGCAATGATATACAGTTATTGCTGTCTTTGGTCATTTCACAGATGAAACACATCATTACATTATCCTTTCTCTTACCGGTATCATTGTTTTCCATCTTCCTACTCACCCTTTCCTCCATAAAATTTTCTTCAAATTTATTCAGGCTTTACTACTAACTAAATTCTTCCTATAAAATGATCTCTCCCACCTTTACATTAACTGAAACTTGGTAAATGCCTGCTTGCATTGTAGCGTTCTCACATTTTCTAACAATCATAGTTGTGACTAAAAGAATTGGTTTTCTAGTTCTTGATGATCCTTCCAGATTATAGTAACTTTCTATCACTATTTTACCAAATTCTCACAAACTTAGTGGCTTAAAATTACAGAAATTTATTATCTTAAAATTTTTAAGGTTAGAAGCCTCACTGAGCTAAAATCAAGGTGTGAGCATGACAGCATTCCTTCTGGAAATTTGAGCAGAAAACCTGTTTTCTTACCTTTTCCAGCTTCTGGAATTGCCAGTATTCCTTGGTGCATGGCTTCTGCCTTCATCTTCAAAGGGAGCAGTGTAGCAACTTCAAATCTGTTTTCTCTAACTCTGATATTTAACTCCCTCTTATAGAGACCCTTGTGATTACATTGGGCTCTCTTGAATAATTTAGAATAATCTTCCCATCGCAGGATTCTTAACCAAATTACATCTGCAAAGTCCCTTTTGCCAAGTAAAGTAAGATATTCACAGGTCCTAGGGATTAGGACTTTGATATCTTTGGGGAGGCCATCATTCTGTCTACCACATAGATCTTTCAATCTCTGTGAAATATCTTAAAATGAGTTTTGTTTGTCTCTAAAACAATACAATTACTATCCAAACAAGAACTAGATCTGAATATTATCTTAATTTTTAATTTCTCCCTCACAGTCCATATACAAATACACATGAAATGCTGTGAACTCAAACTTCTCTGTGTTTTAGTCTACCTCCTTCACCTCCTGTGCCTATGCTCCTTTTATTCCCCTATCATTTCTGTCTTGATCTATTGCAAAAACAACTTAACTAGACTTCCTGGCTCTAGTACTGTCCTCGCTCCCAAATCTATTATTAATCATACTGCCAGATTTATCTTTTTAAAAAGCAAATGCTTTATGTTACTCCCTAACTTCACCCATTTTGGAGGCTAATTATTTACTAGAAAATAAAGTTAAATTATTTTTTAAGTTTCACAAGGATCTTTATGATACTAGCTCAACCTACCTTATTTTTCTCACAGAATATCTGTGCTATTTAAATTATCTCTCACTTCCAAATCTTTTTCTCTAAATTATGCATTGTGATTCTGGGACTGAGACTCTGCAAAATCATGAAACCTTTCTGAAGATTCTTTTTGTGAAAAACGACTTCTGTCTTGTTTTGAAGACCCTAAAAGAGACTGAATATCTTAGCACATGACATGAAATAATAAATGGATTTCAGTGACTCATCATAAAGTGCATGTTATCTAACTGAGCAACCCAAAAGGTTAACCATGCATAGCCTAACCAGTTTGACATTAAGTACAAAGAGAATATGAGAATCTCAGCTCCAACAGATCTCAGGCACAGGAGAGTTGCATGAACAGGTAGCTGAGACTCCTAGAATACTTACACTTGCTTCATCCTCTCCTCTCCTTCAATCACATCTACAACCTCATTGAAAGAACATAAGCACCAGATGATTGATGAGAAAACCATTTTGCTGTTTTAATAACTTTTACTTTAATGAGATACTTGTACCTACCAGCATTAGATGGTTGTCAATCAAGAGCTTCCCTGAAAGACAGTGATGAAGAGAAATGTTACTAATAGACAGAACTGAGTGGAATGTATTTTGTTATCTACTTTATACTGAAGAATGGTTATACATATGGATTTGCACAAATTAATATGTGATGGCTAATGGCTTGGTCTCATGGTCAGGAACTGGAAAGAACAGGATGGAAGATTGGCAATTTGAAAGAGGCATAAATATACATTATTAGAAAAGGGCAAAAGATACTAAGATTTTTGTTTTCACTTGAATGTTCCTGACAATGTGAAAAGGTGGTGTGGGTGTGTGTGTGTGGGTGTGTGTGTGTGTATTCTGTGGACATCAGTAAGCCTCTTTCTCCAGCCTTTCTGGTGCTTGATGAATGAATGAATTCAAGTATGGCATGGTCACAAAAATAGAGTTGGAGTTATATGAACTCAACAACAGTAGACTTTCCTCATCAAGTCTGATCTGGATAGTACCACTGCTTAGTAGATGAACTTCCAAGAGCAGAGACAAATGCTGTGCTGATATAGAGCTACTAGTATGGCATAATTCCCTTGAGGAACTAGCCAGGCCTCTAGTGATACAATTTGGATTACCCTAAATTCCTTCCAGGCATAGAGATGTCAACTACTTTGCTTCATTAAAATAAATAGATAGTTCCTCTATTGTTATTTATTTCATGACCATAATTCTTCTGCCAGTATCAAAATCTGTGGACTTAGGGAATGGCTTTTGTTCTAGCATTCCACCCAAAGTTGCTTTTGTCAAGGAATTCATTTCATATCAAAGTAAGTGTTACAGTTGGCACCTGCCTATGGAATTCACTAGTCTTACTAAATCATTTGAAGATGCTGACATGAGAGAATGGAGCAATAGCCTAATAGAATACCGAAGACTCAATTACAGCACCAGTTGAAAGAGAACATACTGAAAACTTGGTTTATTTTTCAAGATGCCATACACATATGCTCTCAATAATGAAGGTATATGAATGATAACATTGAATGTCAATGAACTAAACTCTCTAATCAAAAGACATTAATGGACTGAATAGATGAAAAAACAAGATTCAATGATCTATTGCTTACAAGAAACACACTTCACCTATAAAGACACACCCAGACTGAAAAAAAAGATGAAAAAAGATGTTTCATGTCAACAGGAACCAATAAAGAGAAAGAGTGGCTATACTTATATCAGAAAAAATAGATTTCCAGGCAAAAAATAGAATAAAAGACAAAGTAGATTATCATATATTGATGAAGGAGTCACTTCAGCAAGAGGAGATAATGATTGGAACTGTATATGCATCCAACATTTGAGCATATAAGTATATAAAGCAAATATTTGTAAAGCTAAAGAGAGAGCTAGACCTCAATACATTAATAGCTGGAGAGTTCAACACCTCACATTTAGCACTGGATACATCTCTCAGATAGAAAAATCAACAAAGAAATTTTGGACTCAATCATCACTATACAACAAACAGATCTAATAGTGATTTATACAACATTTCATCCAATGGCTGCAGAATAAACATTTTCTCCTTATCACATGAATCACTCTGAAGGATACTATATGTTAGGCCATAAAACAAGTCTTTAAACATTCAAAATAATTGAAATAATATCAAGCATCTTCTCAGATCACAATGGAATAAAACTACAAATAAATAACAAGATAAATTCTTGCAACTATACAAACATATGGAAATTAAACAATATGCTCCTGAATGACAAATGAGTCAATGAAGGTATTAAGAAAAACTTGAAAAATATTTTGAAGCAAATATAGTGAAAACAAAATGTACCCAAACCTGTGAGATTCAGCAAAGCAGAACTGAGAGAGAATTTATCACTATAAGGGTCCATGTTGAAAAAGAAGCAAAACTTTAAATAACCAAATGATGCATCTTAAAGAACAAGAAAGGCAAGAACACACAAAACCTAAAATTAGTAGGAGAAAGGAAATGATAAATATCAGAGCAGAAATAAATAAATTTGAAATGAAGAAAACAATACAAAAGATCAATGAAACAAAAAGTTGACTTTTTAAGTAGATAAACAAAATGGACAAAACTTTATATAGACTAAGAAAAAAAAAAGAGAATGCCCAAAGAAATAAAATCAGAGATGAAAAAAGACACTTTACAATTGATACTACAAAAATTCAAAGGTTTATTAGTGTCTACTATGAGCAACTATCTGCCAATAAATTGAAAAATCTGGAATAAATGGATAAACTTATAGACACATATAACCTACCAAGATAGAACCATTAAATCCAAAACCTGAACAGACCAATAACAAGTAACACAATTAAAGCTGTAATAAAGTTTCCCAGGAAAAATAGCCTGAGACCTGTTGGCATCACTGCTGAATTCTACCAAACATTTAAAGAAGAACTAATACCAATCATACTCAACTGTTCTGAATAATAGAGAAAGAGAGAATACTTCCAAACTCCTTCTAGAAGGCCAGGATTACCCTGATACCAAAACCAGATGAAGGCACATCAAAAAAAATAAAGCTACAAGCCAATAACTCTGATGAACATTAATGCAAATATTTTCAACAAAATGATATTTAATAGCAAACCAAATTCAACAATACCTTATACAATCATTCATCATTACCAAGTCTGATTTATCCCAGGATGCAAGCATAATTCAACATATGCAAATCAATTAACGTGATACATTATATTAACAAATTAATAAAGGACACAAACTATATGATCATTTCAATTGATGCCGAGAATGCACTTGAAAAAGTTCAACATCCTTTCATAAAGACCCTCAAAAAAGCAGTATAAAAGGAACTTACCTCAATATAATGAAAATCATATATGACAGACTCACAGCTAATATTGTACTGAATGAGGAAAAACTGAAAGCCCTTCACTGCAGATCTGGACCATGACAAGGATGCCCACAGTCACGACTGTTATTCAATATAGAATAGCAATCAGATAAGAGAAAGATATCCAGCCAAACTAAGTTTCATAAGTGAAGGAGAAATAAAATCCTTTACAGACAAGCAAATGCTGAGAGATTTTGTCACCACCAGGACTGCCTTACCAGAGCTCCTGAAGGAAGCACTAAACATGGGAAGGAAAAACTGGTATCAGCCACTGCAAAAAACATGCCAAATTGTAAAGACCATCAAGACTAGGAAGAAACTGCATCAAATAATGAGCAAAATAACCAGCTAACATCATAATGACAGGATCAAATTCAGAGTGGACAGGCAACCTGCAGAATGGGAGAAAATTTTCACAATCTAGCCATCTGACAAAGGGCTAATATCCAGAATCTACAAAGAACTTAAACAAATTTACAAGAAAAAAATCAAACAACCCCATCAAAAAGTAGGCAAAGGATATGAACAGACACTTATCAAAAGAAGACATTTATGCAGCCAACAGACACATGAAAAAGTCCTTATCGTCACTGGCCATCAGAGAAATGCAAATCAAAACCACAATCAGATACCATTTCACACCAGTTAGAATGGCGATCGTTAAAAAGTCAGGAAACAACAGGTGCTGGAGAGGATGTGGAGAAATAGGAACACTTTTACACTGTTGGTGGGACTGTAAACTAGTTCAACCATGGTGCAAGACAATGTAGCGATTCCTGAAGGATCTACAACTAGAAATACCATTTGACCCAGCCATACCATTACTGGGTATATACCCAAAGGATTGTAAATCATGCTGCTATAAAGACACATGCACACATATGTTTATTGCGGCACTATTCACAATAGCAAAGACTTGGAACCAACCCAAATGTCCATCAATGATAGACTGGATTAAGAAAATGTGGCACATATACACCATGGAATACTATGTGGTCATAAGAAAGGATGAGTTCATGTCCTTTGTAGGTACATGGATGAAGCTGGGAACCATCATTCTGAGCAAACAATCGCAAGGTCAGAAAACCAAACACTGCATGTTCTCACTCATAAAGTGGAAAATGAACAATGAGAACACTTGGACACAGGGTGGGGAACATCACACACCGGGGCCTGTCGTGGGGTTGGGGGAGTGGTGAGGGATAGCATTAGGAGATATACCTAATGTAAATGACGAGTTAATGGGTGCAGCACACCAACAAGGCATATGTATACATATGTAACAAACCTGCACTTTGTGCACACGTACCCTAGAACTTAAAGTATAATAATAAAGAAAAAGAAATAAAGGGCATGAAAATTGGAAAGGAAGAATCAAATTATCATTGTTTGAAGATGGTATTATATTATATTTGGAGAAACCTAAAGACTTCACAAAAAATCTATTACAACTGATAAAAAATTTAGTGAAGTTGCAGAAAACAAATTAACATACAAAAATCAGTAGCATATTTGTATGCCAACAGTGGACAATATGAAAAAGAAATCAGAAGGTAATCCCATTTATAATAGTCACAAATAAAATTAAATACCTAGGAATTAACCAAAGATCTCTACAATGAAAACTATAAACGCTGATGAAAAAAATTGAAGAGGACACAAAATATAATAAGATATTTTATTTTCATGGATTGGAAGAATCAATATTGTTATAAATGTCCAAACTACCCAAAGCAATCTGCAGATTTAATGAAAACCCTATCAAAATACCAGTCACATTCTTCACAGAAATAGAAATAACAATCCTAAAATATGTGGTACCACAAGAGACCCAGAATAGCCAATGCTATCCTAAGAAAAAAGAACAAAACTGGAGGAATCCCATTACCTGACTTCAAATTATACTATAGAGCAACTTACCATATTGCTTACTATAGTAAGCAATACAGCATTGTACTGACATAAAAACAGACACATGGAAAAATGAAACGGAATAGAGAATCCAGAAACCAACCCACATACCTACAGTGACCTCACTGTCAACAAAGGTGCCAGGAACATACAGTGGGGAAAAGAGTCTCTTTAACAAATCGTGTTGGGAAAACTGGATATCCACATGCAGAAGAAGAAAATTAGACTACTATCTCTAGCCATATACAAAAATTCAATAAAAATGAATAAAAACTTAAATCTAAAACCAGAAAACTTTGAGGAAACTCCCCAGGACATTGGCCTGGGCAAAAATTTCTTGAGTAATACTCTAAAAGCACAGGCAACAAAACCAAAATTGAACAAATGGAATCATATTAAGTTTAAAAGCTTTCTGCACAGCAAAGGAAAGAAGCAGCAAAGTAAAGAGGCAACCCACAGAATGGAAGACAATATTTGCAAACTACCCATCTCACAAGGGATTAATTACTAGAATATAGAAGGAACACAAACAACTCTATAGAAAAAAAATCTAACATTTTGATTAAAAAGGGACAAAAATGTAAATAGACATTTCTCAATGGAAGGCATACAAATAACAAATAGGTATATGAAAAGGTGCTCAACATCATTGATCATTAGAGAAATGCAAATCAAAACTACAATGAGATATCATCTCACTCCAGTTAGAATGGCTTTTATCCAAAAGAGAGGCATTAAGAAATGCTGGCAAAGATGTGAAGTAAAGGGAACCCTTGTACACTGTTGGCGGGAATGTAAATTAGTCAAGCCACTATGGAGAATGTTTTGGAAGTTCCTCAAAAAACTAAAAATAGAGTTAACACATGATCGATCCAAAAAAAAAAACAAAAAAACACATGATCAATCCAGCAATCTCACTGGAGGTGGTAGGTATATATCCAAAATCAAGTAAATTAGTATATCAAAGAGATATCTGCACTCTCATTTCTGTTGCGCTGCTATTCATAATAGCCAAGATTTGAATGCAACCTTAGTGTCCATCAGCAGATGAATGAGTAAAATAAGTATGGTAGTTGTATACAATAGATTAGTATTCAACCATGAAAAGGAATAATATTTTCTCATTTGCATCAACATAGATAGAACTGGAGGTCATCTTGCAAAGTGAAATAAGCCAATCACAGAAAGATAAACATTGCATGTTTTCACTTATTTGTGGGATCTAAATGCTAAACAATTGAACTCTTGGAAATAGAGAATAGAAGGATGGGCACCAGAGGCTGGGAAGGGAAAGGAAGTGAAGTGGTGTGATAATGAGGTAGGGAATGTTAATGAGTACAAAAAATAGAAAGAAAATAAATAAGACCTATTATTTGATAGCACAACATAGGGACTATATTCAATAATAATTTAATTATACATATTAAAACAACTAAAATAGTATAGTTGGATTGTTTGTAACACAAAAGATAATGCTAGAGGGAATGGATACCCAATGTTCCATGATGTTATTATTACATATTGCATGTCTGTACCAAAATATTTCATATTCTCCATAAATACACACCTACTATTTATCCAAAAAATTAAAGATAAATTATTTTAAAAGGTTTACTTTATGATAGTTTATTAGACAATGTCCTTCTGTAACTTCTGTTCATCTTAGTTTTGAAGTTTTTTTCTAATTATACATATGGTTACTATAAAAATTTAGAAAATACTGAGAAACAGTGTATAAAATAAGAAAAATATTCATTATATTACTACCAAAAAATAAATCTTTAAAAAATTGGTACATTTCCTTTCAGCCCATAGTTTATGCATTTCTGTTAAAAATAGCAAGGACGTAGAAATAGCCTCTAGGGAGTAGAGAATGTAAATTGGGAAAGAATATAGTAATCTCCTTTGTTTTCTTTGTACAGAAACAAACTAATTCAAAATGAAGTGCTACCAATCCTGCATTGATTCCAAGTTGAAATGACACACAAATACACATACAGCAAACCCTCCCCCTACCTTTATACGTGTCCTGGGGCAAAAGGTAAAGGTATTATTTTACTTTCTGGCACTAAACTTTTCAAAGGGAAAAAAACCCTTTGCTTAACAAAATATCTGAATAAGCTGCTGGGATATGAAAGACCACTTAAGGGCTCTACAGAAGAAAAAATACCATTACATATTTAACCATTTGAAATGAAGGAATATTTAGGAGTGAAGGTTAGAAGATTGCTGGGAGAATTATTAAAACCCTCAGCAAAATTGGCATAGAAGACCTTAATGTAATAAAAGTCATCTATGACAAACCCATGCCCAACATAATACTGTACAGGGAAAAGCTGAAAGCATTCTCCATGAGAACTGGAACAAGACAAGGATGCCCACTCTCACCACTTCTATTCAACATAATAGCCAGAGCAATCAGACAAGAGAAAGAAATAAAGGGTATCCAAATTGGTAAAGAGGAAGTCAAACTGCTGCTGTTTGCTGATGGTATGATTGTATACCTAGAAAACTCTATAAGCTGTTCCAAAAGGCTCCTAGAACTGATAAATAAATTCAGCAAAGTTTCACAATACATTAATTATCATAATTCAGTAGCTCTGCTATACAGCCACAGCAACCAAGCTAAGAATCAAATCAAGAACTCAACATTTTTTACAATAGCTGCAAAAAATTAAAATACTTAGGAATATACCTAACCAAAGAGGCAAAAGACCTCCACAAGGAAAACTATGAAACACTGCTGAAAGAAATCATAGATGACAGAAACAATTGGAAACACATCCCATACTGGGGAATGTGTAGATTCAATATTGTGAAAATGACCATACTGCCAAAAACAATCTACAAATTCAATGCAACTCCCGTCAAAATAACACCACCATTCTTCATAGAACTAGAAAAACAATCACAAAATTCATACAGAACCCAAAAAGATCCCACATAGCCAAAGCAAGGCTAAGCAAAAGCAACAAATCTAGAAGAATCACATTAAACTGACTTCAAACTATACTATAAGACCATATACACCAAAACAGCATGGTATTGGCATAAAAATAGGCATGTAGACAAATGCTGCAGGATAGATAACCCAGAAATAAAGCCAAATACAGCCAACTGATCTTTGACAAAGTAAACAAAAACATAAAGTGGGAAAAGGACACCCTGTTCAACAAATGGTGCTGGGATAATTGGTTAGCCACATATAGAAGAATGAAACTGGATCCTCATCTCTCACCTTATAAGAAAAGTTGGTTCAAGGACTTAAATCTAAGACCCAAAACCATAAAATTTTTAGAAGATTTCATCAGAAAAACCCTTCTAGACACTGGCTTAGGCAAAGACTTCATGACAAAGAACCCAAAAGCACATGCAACAAGACAAAGATAAATAGACGGGACTTAAACTATAAAGCTTCTGAACAGCAAAAGAAACAATCAGCAGAGTAAACAAACAACCCACTGAATAGGAAAAACATCTTCTCAAACCTATACATCCAACAAAGGACTAATATCCAGAATGTACAAAGAACTCAAATCGGCAAGAAAAAATCCCATCAAAGAGTGGGCTAAGAACATGAATAGACAATTTTCAAAAGAAGATATGCAAATGGCCAACAATCATATGAAAAAATGCTCAAGATTACTAATGATGCTAATCAAGGCCACAATCTGATACCACCTTACTCCTGCAAGAATGTCCATAAAACAAAACTGGAAAAGAAAAAGGGAGAATAATAATAATAATAATAATAGATGTTGGTAGGAATGTGGTGAAAAGGGCCCACTTTTATACTGCTGGTGGGAAAGTAAACTAGTATAACCACTATAGAAAACCGTGTGGAGGTTTTAAAGAGCAAAAGTAGAGAACTACCATTTGACCCAGCAATCCCACTACTGGTTATCTACCTAGAGGAAAATAAGTCATTATACAAAAGAGATACTTGCACACGTATGTTTATAGCAGCACAATTTGCGATTGCAAAAATATGGAACCAGCCCAAATGCCCATCAATCAACGAGTGAATAAAGAAATTGTGTGCGTGTGTGTGTGTGTGTGTGTGTGTGTGTATATATATATATATATATAAAAAACATGGAATACTATTCAGCCATAAAAAGGAACAACATAGTAGCATTAGCAGCAACTTGGATGGAACTGGAGACCATTATTCTAAGTGAAGTAACTCAGGAATGGAAAACCAAACATCATATGTTCTTACTTATAATTGGGAGCTAAGCTTGGAGGATGCCAAGGCATAAGAACAATATAATGGACTTTGAGGACTTGTAGGGGAAGGTTGGAAGGGAGATGAGGGATTAAAAAACTACATACTGGGTACAGTGTACACTGCTCTGGTGATGGGTGCACTAAAATCTCAGAAATCACCACTAAAGAACTTATTCATATAACAAACACCACCTGTTTCCCAAAAACCTATGAAAATAGAAAAAATTAAAAAGATAGCAGGGAGACTGCTGGGAGAGTCCTATGTAAAACACATGAGATGATGGGACTGTGTCACGAGAGAAAATGGGACTTCTCAAAAAGGAGGATCCTCAGCATTTAATGCCATTCATTTGTATCACTCCAATATAAGCACCTGCACTTTGCTCAAAACTTAAACAGGGTCTCCTATATATCAAAACTTCTTATAAGAGTGATTATCTTGTAAAAATCAAGTCAGTTTGAATCCATGTTTGGGTTGGTTTAGAGCTGCGATGAAGGCATGGTTCCAAGAAACTGATTGAAGTCTAAGATTCCCATACAATTAAAATTTGAGCCAGAGGTAAGAAGAGAATTTTGCATTATTCTAGCAAAAAGAGAAAAGGAAATGGAGGAGATGGTTATTAGAGGCTTAGAGAATGTGGGAGGGGGCTTCAAACTGAACTTAATCTCCATCATGAGTAGCAATATGCTCCCTACTGACATAAGAGATACATACTTGCTTGCTGTGTATTTTGCTTGTATTTAAGAAAGAAAGTGGATCTGATATGTGGTATATAGTTCATGTGGCATGCTTTCTCTATCATTCCTTTAGGCATTGCCTTGAGGGAAAACATAAGATAGAAGAAAATATTTCTGAAAAGGGACAGGTTTCAACAAGGAAAATGATGTGAGTGTCTCACATCTCATATAATTTCTCATAAAATAATTTCATAGAAATAATAAAATGAAAGAAGACAGATTACTAGAAATAAAAGTAATGTTTAATTAGGGATTTTAATGATTGAAAAAAGCAGTGTACTTTCTGTCAAATGGGAAAACTTGTAAACAATTTTTAAAGCAGTAGCTAAAAAATGAGAAGAAAGTGTTAATTAGCTCATATTTTGTTAACAGCACAGAAGCATTTTATTTTCCATTTTCTCTAACATCAAATGTCTTTTAGAAATATTAACACATTTACTCATTATTATATTGTGGCTACATATGACTTCAGCTAATTTATGTAATTATAGATAGAAATACAAAATGATTTTATACTGCCAACAAATACAATTTTTCTTTAATTTCCAAGAATAGAATATATAATGCATAATTTCTATTCTTTTTTGTTGTTTTAAACCTTGGGTCTATTTTCAACCTTTGAGTCAGAGTTTAACATTGGGTAGACACAGACATAAAAATGGGAGCAATAAAAACTGGGGACTCCCAAAAGTGAAGAAAAGGAGGGTGGAAGGGAAGAGCTGAAAATCTGCCTATTGGGTATTATGTCCACTCTTTGAGTGATGGGTTCAACTAAAGCTCAAACTTCAGCATCACACAATACATTCATGTAACAAACCTGAACATGTACCACTTGGATCCAAAAGTTTTAAAAAGTTAGAAATAAAAATATAAAGCTCATGAAAAGTTATCCAACATTCAGTTACTTATGTGCATATATCAACGTTGAAATAGCATGTGATGCATCCTGCTATGACCATCACCAGGATTTTAATCAAATATTTTAAAAATATGTCATCTTATTGGTCTAATACAAAATTATAATATAAATTATGATATTAATAAAAATATGTTTAACTCAGATTGAGTGTTCCACAATTAACAAAAATTATTCCATTTTTAAATTTAATTCAAACTATTTTCTTAATTTCATATTTTAATACTGCCTCTTATTAACAGAATTTTACCTGTACTTACATTGTCTGTATTTCTAAATATCTCATAAATATAATACCTCACAGGACACATCAATTAACTGAAAATGCCTTATTTACATGGCATTTCTTGAACATTTCACTATTACATAGAATCATTTAGACTTAGAGATGGTGCCTCCCCAAACGTATTTAACATAGTAGAAATGTAGGAGATTTTAAACCTGAATATTTTAAAGCTGAATGAGCTTTCCAGGGATAGTAACCTCATAGACATTCTGGCAGTAAGAAATATTTTGTGTCTCACTGATCTGAAATTGGCAATATAGCTTTGACTACACAAAGGGACAAAAATCAACACTTTGCAATATTGGCTAAAGTTTTCCTGTTTTTAAATGTGAATTCTGCATTCTCTTATATATGTCAGAATAAACTGTTTCTCTAAGTTTCTTTTTTCTAAACATACACAGTGTAGTGATACATGAAAATGACCTATGCAGAATAGGTAGTTCCAAAGTTAAAAGCAAATTCTTTAGCTTCAACATATTGATAACTTTTTTCCTTAAGTATTAAAAAATTGGTAACATTAACTATGCACATAAAAATTATAATTAGAATTTTTAGCTTTCACTTAATTATTTAAGAATTATGTTTTTAATGCAGAATCACATGGTGTCCATATGATAAAGCTTAAACTTAGGGTAATTCAGAAGCACTACCATTAAATATTTCACACTGGGCTGGGTGGGAGCAGTGGCTCATGCCTGTAATCTCAGCACTTCGGGAGGCCAAGGTGGGTGGATCACTTGGAGCCAGGAGTTTGAAACCAGCCTGGTCAACATGTATTTACTAAAATACAAAATATAATACAAAATAAGCCCAGCGTGGTAGCATGTGCCTGTAGTCCCAGCTGCTAGGGAGGCCAAGACATGAGAATTGCTTGAACCCAGGAAGTGGAGGTTGCAGTGAGCAGAGATTGTGCCACTGCACTCCAGCCTGGGCGACAGAGTGAGACTCTGACTCAAAATAAATAAACAAGTAAACAACCCAAAACCAAAACAACAACAACAAAAATTCACACTGAAACCAAGAGCTATTCATTTAATTATTAACAGCAATAATGTAATCAAATTTATAATCATAATTAGTATTTAATGTATGAATAATTTTGGAATTCTATTGGAATCAGATTTTTGTTCATAGCAAATACAATAAGTTTTTACTGTACACCTCTGTTTAATATAAAATATTTAATTCTATTTCTCATTATAGAATGTTTTTATGAAAACTGAGAAGAAAATACTTAGTCTTTGCTAATGACAAAAACCCTAGTTGAAGTACTGTTGTGAGCATTTTGCATTTAAAAGTAATAAAGAAAACAAAGGTTTGGAACTCATTTTTACAGAAGACATAAAAAGGAAATGAGGAAAACTATGACATATCAGTGCCAACAATTGGCATAAAGAAGAACTAGATAAATGAATGAGCTCTCTGAGGAAATTAAAAGAGGTAGGCTTAACCTGTCATTTCCTGGTTCATTGGTGCTATTAGATGTAATACTACTTTATGGATAGAATACCACTTATATAGCTGAAAAACACTAATTTCAGCATCAACCTGACTTTAAAGATAGCAATTATTAAAATTTATTTACAACTTGTTACATATCATCCTCTCCAATATATGGAGTCCAGATTTTCCCAAATCCTTCTGATAATTCTTTATATCTAAACAATGTAATTTCTACTTCAATTTTGATTGACTGCAGGATGTTTATATATTTTGTTGTGTTTTCTTTTCTGTGATTTAAAAAATGCTTCATATTTCACAAAGTTTCCCTGGCTTCTATTTATAATCTTATAGTCTCTATTTTGGCTTGAATTTTTTCTTTTGGACACCTTTTGCTGATTTGTAAGTGCTTTCTGAGGCCATTGTCTTTAATCCAGCAATAATACATGTATTTAAGATGTGACTGTTTCCTGAAATTTTTTTTAAAGTTCAACTTCGTAAAAATGTCATCCTTAGTAAATATTTCACTGATTATGCTGTAAATATGAATGAGAGAACTAAAATGTAGCCAATGGAAGCTTAAGCGAGGGTACAAGAAATGACTCCTCCTGAGATCAATTGTACATCATGGTGACTATAGTTAGTAACAATATATTGCATACTTTTAAATTGCCAGGAGAGTAGATTTTGGATATTATCCCAAAAAAAAGTATGTGAGGTAATGCATATGTTCATTAGCTTGATTTAGCCATTCCACGATGTAAACATACATGAAAACATCATGTTGTGCACGATAAATACATATACGTTTTGTCAATTAAAAAACAAAAAGAAGGTTGGGTGCAATGGCTCACCACCTGTAATCCTAGCACTTTGGGAAGCCAAGATAGGCAGATCACTTGAGATCAGGTACTGGCAATGCCATTTCAAAATACTTTGACATAAAATTTAAATTTATCGTAAACTGGATTTCCTGATCATTTCTCAAATAATATTTGGTCGAATTAATTTTACTCTTAGGAATTTCTGTAGCTAGTGCATAAAATAATATTTCTCCAAAGTTTTACCAAATAACATGTAATAACTGGGCAGAATGAATCTGTAATCCTGGAGGTCTAATTAAATAAACTTGTTTGTGCCAGTTTCTTAATCAATCTTAAGAAAATGTTTTTTTCATCTGATATCTTATTGCTTTCAGTATTTGATAGAATTGTTCCCCCTCAAGTTATTCAGTAAATTAACTACCCAAGAGTATTAGCCACACTTGTAGTTTCCAACAGCACCTGGACAACCACTGGCTAGCTCTGGAAGAGTACATTATGACAGTCAGAGAAACACAGATGGGGACATCTGAGAAATATTAAATAATAAACGTTATTTTTTTCCAAACAGAACAAAGGCAGGACCATTAATATAAATGAAAAATAATATATTTACATGTATAATAGTAAAACCAAGTCATTATATATCTAGTATTTCTAGTACACATAGGTATCCTATAGATGAATTGATTTCATATTAATGAATAATTTACATATGCATAATCATTTTCCAAGAAATCATTAAAAGGAGCTTTAAATACCAAGCTTACTGAATGGTAATGCAACGTGTAGTCTTTGGTAGTGATATTAACTTCATACTCTCATAGGTTACTTTTCTTCATCAGTATGAATTATTTATAGAATGGAATACTGCTTTTAAGCTGTTCAAAGTATGCAACATCTCTTGTCTCTGTCTTGTTTACTAAATCAAGATAGTAACTTGCGTTTAATTATTTTTTATTGTTTTATTACCTATCTTGCAAACAATATTACCTTCCATATTCTACCTACGTAACAGTAGCATCATTCATCCATTCAGTTAAAGCAGTATAAAAGAACAATATTATTTAATTTTTAATAATTTATTTAAAATGTTTAATATTTAAAATATGAAATATAAGCAATTTTCAAACTCATCAAATGTAATTAAAATGAAAGCTGCAAGAAAATGTTGATGAGAACATAGATTGTTCTACTTATCTATTGTGAGACCTCACATAATAACGTATTTATTCCTTTTCTCTTTCAGCTTTTATTTTAGAATCATGTGCAGATTTGTTACAAAGGTATATTGCATGATGCTGAGGTTAGAAGTACAAATGAGTCCATCACCCGGGTAGTGAGCATAATATCCAATAGGTAGTTTGTTCAACATTTACTTGCCTCCAACTCTCCTTCCTCTTGTATTTCCACAGAGTTTATTGTTCCCACTTTTATGATCATGTGTACCCAATATTTATCTCCCACTTATAAGTGAGACCATGTGGCATTTAGTTTTGTTTCTGCATCAGTTCACTTAGGATAATGATTTCTAGCTGCATACATGTTGTTCCAAATAACATGATTTGTTCTTTTTTATGGATGGGTAGCATACCGTGCATATATGTACCACATTTTCTTTATCCAGTCCACCAATTATAGGCATCAAGGATGATTCCAGTTCTTTACTATTGTGAATAGTGCTGGGCTGAATATACACGTACATGTATCTTTTAGTTTCACTGATGTTTTGAATCAATTTTTGGTTCTCAATTTAATTTAGTTCTGCTCTATTTTGGTGATTTTTTTTCCACTAGCTGTGGGTTTGATTTGTTTATTTCTTTCTAGTTCCTCTAGGTGTGATGATAGATTGTTAATTTGAGATCTTTCTAACTTCTCGATGCAGGCATCTAGCTCTATAAACTTTCCTCTTAACAATACTTTAGCTGCATTCCAAAGATTTTGGTATGTTATCTCTCTATCTTTATCAATTACAAAGGTGTTTTTTATTTATGCCTTAATTTTATTGTTTACCCCAAAGTTAGTCAGGAGGAAGTTGTTTAACTTCCATGCAATTGTGTGGTTTTGAGAAATCTTCTGGGTATTGATTTCTGTTTTTATTGCACCAGTCTGAGAGTGTGCTTGGTATAATTTTGATTTCTTGAACTTATTGAGACTTTCTTTGTGACTGAGCAAGTGATTGATCTTAGAATATGTTCTATGTAAAGATGAAAAAAATGTATATTCTGTGGTTGTTGGGTAGAATATTTTTTAGATGTCTATTAATTCCAGTTGGTCAAGTGTAGAGTTTAGGTACAGGATTTCTTTGTTAGTTTTCTGCCTTCATGACCTGTCCAATTCTGTCAGTGGGGTGTTGAACTCTCACCATTATTTCGTGGCTAAGTCTTTTTATAGGTCTAGAAGAACCTGTTTTATGAATCTTGGTGCTCCAAGGTTAGGTACATTTATATATCAGATAGTTAAATCTTCTTGCTGAATTGAACCCTTTATCATTATGAAATTGCCCATCTTTGTCCTTTTTGTTTGCTGTTGGTTTAAAGTCTGTTTTATCAGATATAAGAATAGTGACCTCTCTTATAAAGTACCATACGTCCTAGCTAAGCACCTTCAAAAATATTTCTTTTCAATCTCATAGAAATGGATTATTTTAATTATTTTAATATCATTAAGTATATAATGTATCTTTATTGTTATTATTAATGGGTATTCTAATAATGTAAACAATAACATTTTCTATTTAAATTTGTTTTAAGATATTTACATAAAATTGAATATAGAATTCCTGGGTTAAAAATATTTTCAATAATTTAAATTGAAGCATCTTAAAATTTTCAAAATTATGGTGGGCCAAATCATATTCAAATAGACTAATTTATCATGTCTCAAACATACTCAATACAGTGTAAAAGTTTTCTTTTGTTAATATAAACATATTTTAAAGAAAAAACTCCTGATTAAAGAGTAAATAAGTTACCTCTAAATTTAGGAATACGTGAGTGTATGAATCTCCCAAAATATTTAGTATATTACTTTGTGGAAAATAGGCTGATTATTCAGAATATTAAGTAATAACTCATATTCCCATGAACAAAGTTGCTACTTCCCAAAAGTTTGCTGGAGATATCTAACATTCAATTTTTCAATCCATTAAAATTTATAATAGTTGATACTTTCTAGATTCCAAGAAGAAATTTTAAAAATCAACACCATTACTTGTTAATATTCATTATTTCTCCATAATTTTGACAATCTAAACAAGTTCAACAATTTTTAAATCAGGGTTTCAATGACTTCATATAATTGAAATCAATAAATGATCATATAAATAGGAGTGTTTACATGGTAAAAGTTTTTCCCAGAGTGAGTGATCCAAGAGATAGAGTAAGGAGAGAATTAGAATGTCTTTTATAACCTGACCTCAGAAGTAACAACATTATTTCCACCACATTCTATTCATTAGAAGTGAGCCAATACACTCTTACGTTGTGGGAAATTAAGTTTCACCTTTTGAAGAGAGAAGTATCAAAGAACGCATGGACATCTTAAAACGCAGTCAGCTCTCTGGCCACAAATCATTTACATCCTCCCACATGCAAAATGCACTCCCCTAACTTCTAGATTTGCATCATGACATTTCATACCATTATAACATCTGCTCAATGTCCTGAATTTTTTCATGGAAATCATGTACACGTGAAGATGAGGTTCTTCAGGTCCAGTTCTTTAATATACCTCCTTGATTATAGTTTTCTCAGACTGTGAAACCAGAGACAAGTTATCTTCTACACACACAGCCATCATACGACAGCAAGGCAGGTTTAGAATAAATGCTATATACATTTCTGTTCAAAAAGGCACAAAGGAGTTTACAGCAGTTCTGAAATTCAGTCTGCCACATGTTGGAGTTTGTTGGTTAAAACTCAGGACCTGGGAATACTTATTCATGGTCTATACCTTTAAGCCCTAGTTTTTACCCCTGTGACATCATTCCCTTTTCATGAAAGGTAGTACATGTATGCAGATGATCATATTTCTCCACATGTTTACTGCTTATAGAAATTTGTGAGGTCAATGTTATCTTCTCATTTTGTATTGTCTCTGTCTTTTCTCAATCCAATCTGTTGGTGTTTCTGCAAATGCAATACCCTTAAAAACTTGCAGGTTTCTGGTGACGTTTACTTTATTTTATTTTATTTTGATTTATTTATTTATTTATTTATTTGAGATGAAGTCTTGCTGTATCGCCCAGGTTGGAGTGTAGTGGCGTGACCTGGGCTCACTGCAACCTCCGCCTCCCGCGTTCAAGCAATTCTCCTGCCTCAGCCTCCCGAATAGGTGGGACCACAGGCATGTACCACCATGCCCAGCTAATTTTGTATTTTTATCAGAGATGGGTTTCGCCATCTCTGATGGTCTCGGACTCCTGACCTCAGGTGATCCACCCACCTCGGCCTCTCAAAGTGCTGGGATTACAGTGGTGAGCTACCGCACTCAGCCTCTGGTGAATTTTACTGAAATTCATTCCAGTACATAAAAGTCTTCCAAAAATATATTTCAGATATACAGTCACTTCCTTGAGTTTCTGTTGAGGGAAAATGATATTAATCTTATGAGACTCTCCATGATTTGATTCACAAGATGCCTGAGAAATGCGTTTAAAATATTTCTGGTGTCTATTTTCTGAGCTCATGCCTTCTGAGGCACCGCCATTGATCTCCCTGGGGTCTCAACAAATAATTTTACAGTAACACCCTCAGTTTAATCTTTAGACCATAGTTTCTGAGAGCGCTGTGGATTTAATGTTTGCCTGGAAGTAATTTCTTAATATCTTAATTTAGCTATCTGGAGAGGCTGAGAATCTTCAAAACCATAAACCCAGCTTATTTTTGTTAAGTACTTTCATGGACTTATCTCTTTCTCTGGAATTTTAATATAAGCATCAAGAAGACAGTTGATACCTTCAACATCCTTTGTGAAATTCTCCATAGCTATATAGCCAAGTTCATCAGGCACATTTTCCCATTCCCCACATTAGCACAGGCTGCAGAGCTGATAAACTTTTAACCACTAAAGGGAGGTATTATCTTTCTCCCAGCTTCCAAAATGATTTGTCTTGCTTCTCTTTAAGCCCTTTCTCATAGCCTCCTCAAAATCCTCCGTGATTCTACAGTTTTTTCAACAGTCTTTAAGATTTTAGTAACACTTTCCTGAACATGTTTCTAGATTGTTCCCAATATCTGGTTTTAAGGACACTCAAGTTTTGGTTCCCTCTCCTCATGGTAACACTTCTCATACCAAAATCTGCATTTGTCACCTTTTTGTTATTAATTCATTATCCTAAAACTTGGTGCCTTAAAACAACATTAATATTTATTTATTTAATTTCTCCCAGTTTTTACATATGTCAGGAATCTGGGGATGGTTTAACTTAGTTTAGTCAAGTATTAAATAGTTGGGGTTGAAATCTTCCTAAGGACTCATTAACTGGTTGGCCAGGTCTATCATCATCTGGGGGCTTGATAGAAATTGGAGGATCCAATTCCAAGATGGCTGTTGGCAGAAGGTCTCTGTTCCTTGCTGGATGTCTTCAGAAAGGCTGCTTTCCTCACCACTACAATTTATCCATAAGGGCTGCTTGTGTGTTCTCATAGCATGGCAGGTGGATTTCCACACAATATTCTAGGAGGAAGGAAACAACATATAAGAGACGATGAATTTAATGACCTACCATCAAGGGTTATTTACCATCACATCTGCCATATTTATTAGTCACAAAACCAACGTGCTGCAATGTAGAGAAGTGATACACAAGAGCATAGATACCAGGAGGTGGTAACTATTGGAGGCCATCTTGGAGGCTGGAGCAGTTAAATGTATAACCAAAGAGGGCAAATAGCCAATCTATACTAAATGTAGACTGTCTGTTGGATGGAAAAAACTTGAATACTCAGAAACCATAGTATGTTGACAAGATGGATGGATCTTAAGCCTGATTTAAGTGGTGATATACGGTACTCCCTTGTTCAAGCAGTGTACACTTTGTGCATACATACAATTTACTACCAATTGTAATTATGTACATGACAATGAGTGTACATGAATTATAGATAAAAATAATCTACATACAAATCTACAAAATCTACAAACAAATCTACAAAATCTACATATCACTACAACCAAGATGGAAGTTACTCTGAAATGAAGATATAAGAGTATTTACTTTTTACAAATTATATAAAGTAATGACTTTTTCCCCCAGGATGAAGAAAATACTTAAGCAACTAAAATTTCTAATTGAACTACTATTAGTGGAGATACTATGATTTAAACAAAGCATTGTAATTTGTATTTAAAAGGGGACATCAGCTATATTTCTTAGTGTTATTATGATTAATTTTAAAATAACAGGACATACATGAGAAATATCACAATAGATTTGGCTTTTGCCTACAAAAGTCACAAAGGACAACACTTGCTTTGTGGTCAACATCTTGAAATATGTATCAAAAAATGACAAGTTTCTCTTTATTTAGGTTTCTTTTTTTAAACCTATTCTAGGGACTCATTTTGAAAAAAAGAAAAGTCTTGACTGATAAAAGAAACTCTACCGTTAGCCTTGACCACTCTGTTTATGAAAAATAATACAATAAACACACACAGACACAGAGAGAGAGAGAGAGAAAGAATTAAGCAATACCAAGAAGACACATAACATTTTCTTGAAAAAAGTCACAAAAGAAATAATCTCCAGTTTTTTCAGAATCAGATAATTTTATGAAATTTATCTTGAACAGAGATATTGCTTCTTATTTCCATATGGAATTGGCTAGTTCTTAAACTGGCATTTGGTTTCAAATACAAATTGAAGACTAAAGTATTAAACCAAACATTTATAAACATTTTGATGGTTAGTTATTTATACAAAACATCCATATGATTGACCACTTTGTTTTTCTCTTAGAAAAATTTTAATACTAGATTCAGATGTAATGCTAATAAGTCTGTCTTTTGACTTTTAAAAAGCCTGTTTCTAACTCAGAGACAATAATAAGTGCCCAAACATCATCTGCAACATCAGACAATACGAACGATTTTTTAAAAAAACCCTGTCTTTCACTATATAGTCATATATAGTCATGCTGTCATGTTCAAAGGATCATAATCAATAAACTAATTCAAAACTAGCTTTTAAATTATCTAAAATATACAAAATCAAATTTAAATACAAGTGCATATGGATTATTTTGATGTGTGTGACAGTGTCTTTGTCAGAACTCATGAAAATGAGCAGTTTAAATTGTCTTATAATAAATAATCAGTTTAATTATACCAAGAAATTTTCAGGCTCATTTCTTATTATATGTTCTGAGAAGAGACACAGTGATCTGTCAGCCTGAGAAGTTGATTTTTATTTTGGGTAGATACTTCAGGAAAGGAATTAGCAAAAAAAGTATAAAAGCAAAAAATACATATTGAAAAATGGAGAACTGCCTCAATATAAAGAAACCTTTGTAACAGAGGATTAAGAAGAAAAATTGATGAGAAAAACCAATACAACTATAAATATACATGTTTATAGCAGATGGCATATTCAGATTAGTGTAGTTGATGGCAATATACCATTCTCGAATTATTTATTAAGGGTCATTTTCTTAACCTTTCTGAAATTTAAAGTTTCTTACCATTGTAGGAGTATTCAAAGAGTATTGCTCAAGGAAGGATAGCCAGAACATTCCATTGTTCTTGTTAACTTTTTATTTTGAAATAATTATATAGACTCAAAAGAAATTGCAAAAAAAAAAAAAAGTACGGAGAGGTCCCATGCAACCCCTTCACCTAGTTCACCAAAATAGTAGAAATTTACATAATGATAGTAAAATTTCAAAAACAGAGAAAAAGCGTCAAAACCATCTACAGAGCTTATTCAGATTTTACTAGTTTTACATGCAATTGTGTGTGTGTGTGTGTGGTTCTATGCAATTTTATCACATGTGTAGATTAAGTGTAACCATTGCCATAACCAATATATAGAAACATGACCACAAGACTCTTTTCAGCTATGGCTTTACACTAACATTCCTCTCTAGTCTTCATCTTAATTCCCGAGAGCTATATATTTTTTCTTTTTTTTCTTTTTTTTTTTTAGACGCAGACTTGCTCTGTTGCTCAGGCTGGAGTGCAGTGGCGCGATCTTGGCCCTCCCGGGTTCAAGTGATTCTCCTGCCTCAGCCTCCTGAGTAGCTGGGAATACTGGCGTGTGCCACCATGCCTGGCTAATTTTTGTATTTTTAGCAGAGACAGGGTTTCGCCAGGTTAATCAGGCTGGTCTTGAACTCCTCACCTCAGGTGATCCACCTGCCTCGGCTTCCCAAAATGCTGGGATTACAGGCATGAGCCACTGCTCATGACCTAAGCAAATATTAATCATTATAATTTTGCTATTTAAAGAATATTATAGAAATGGACCTATATGTATTAGGTTGGTGCACCAACCTATTTAACCTTTAGGAATTAGCTTTTAGAATTCATCATATTTCCTTATGATCTATTTAAGTTATTGCATGTCAATAGTTTATTTACTTTTATAGCTGAATATTTCTGTGGTATGAAGATATCACAGTTTGGTTAACCATTATCTGTTAAAGAATATTTGGGATATCTGGTTTTAAGCAATTTTAAACAAAACTGCTACGAACATTCATGTTCACGTTTTTGTGTAAACATTGTTTAATTTCTCTGTGATAAATGACCAAAATAAAATTCTTATTCATATGGTAAGTGTAGGTTTATTTTTTAAGAAATTGCTAAATTATTTCTAGAATAACTATATTATTTTACAAATTCACCAACAATATAGAAGTGATCTGTGTTTATCTTCTTCCTGACAAGTGTTTTGTGTTACCACTATTGTTTTTATTTTTGCCATTCTGCTAGGTATGCAGTAATATTGTGGTTTTAATTTGCATTTCTCTACTAGTTAGTGATGTTGAAAAATTTCCCTAATTTTCCACCTGAATATCCTTTTTAATGAAATGTCTATGAATTTAATTTTCCTAATTTCTAAGTAAATTATTTTTAGTTCTTCCTGTTGAATTTTGAGAATTTGTTGTATACTCTAGTTACAAGGTCTTTTTCAGGTATGTAGTTTGCATGTAATTTCTCTGAGACTATAGACTATTTTTCATTTTCTTTACTGGGTCATTTGCATAGCAAAGGTATTTACTTTAGTTGCATAAAATTTATTATGTTCTTATTATATAGATGATGCTTTCAACACTAAGTCTAAAACATTTTTTCTATTCCTGCATCCTAAAGTCCTAGATTTTCCCATGTGTTTTTTCCCTAAAATTTTATATTTTTATATTTTAATTTAATTCTGTGATTCATTTTGTTTTTTGTACAAGGTGTGATGTTCAGGTCTTTCCATATCATTTGTTGAAAAGCCTATCTTTCCCCCATTAAATTGCATCTGCGTCTTTGTCAAAACTCAACTGGGCAAATTTGTGTTATTTGCATGTGGGTTCTCCATTCTGTTCTATTGATCTTCATTAACACCATACTGCCTTGATTAGAGTTATTATATAGTACGAAACATTATTATCTGAAAGGGTAGTTTCTCCCTTTTCATTCTTGCTTTTCAGTACTATTTTAGATATAATATGTCCTGTGACTTCTTCAAATAAATTTAAGATAAACTTATCTATTATCTACAAAATCCTTGCTGGGATTTGATTGGATTTAGAGTAATCCTATAAATCAATTTTTTTTAAGTTGACATATGTACTATGTTGAATCTTCCAGTCCTTTAACATTGTATGTCTATCCTTTATTTATTTTTATTTACATTTTAAAAATTTCAATTTTTAAGTTCAGAAGAACATGTACAGGTTTCTTACATGGATATACTGCATGATGCTGAAGTTTGGAGTATGAATGATCTTGTCGCCCAGGTAGCAAGCATAATACCCAATAGGTAGCTTTTCAACTCTCACTCTTATCCTTCTCTTTCCCATCTATTAGTCCCCAGTGTCTATTATTGCCATTTTTATTTCCATGAGTACCCAATGGTTAGCTCTCACTTAAAGGGAGAATATGTGGTATTTGGTTTTTCTATTCCTACCTTAGTTCACCTAGGAAGATGGCCTGAAGCTGAGCCCATGCTGCTACAAAGAACATGATTTTATTCTTTGTTTATGGTAGTATTGGTATTCCATGGTGTGTATGTACCACATTTTCATTATTCATTCCACCGTTGATGGGCATGTAGATTGATTCCGTGTCTTTGCTATTGTGAATAGTGCTGCAGTGAATATACGACTGCATGTGTCTCTTTGGTAGAACAATTTATATTCTTTTGAGTATATACCCAATAATGGGATTGCTGGTCAAATAGTAGTTTTGTCTAAAGTTCTTTGAGAAATCTCCAAACTGCTTTCTGCAGTGGCTGAACTAATTTACAATCCCACCAACATAGTGTAACCATTTCCTTTTCTCAGTGACCTCCTCAACATCAATTATTTTTTTACTTTTTAATAGTAGCCATTCTGACTAGTGTGAGATGGTATCCCATTATGCTTTTGATTTGCATTTCTCTAATGATTAGTGATATTGAGCATTTTTTTCATATATTTGTTGGCCACTTGTACGTCTTCTTTTGAAAAGTGTTTGCTCATGTCCTTTGCCCACTTTTTTTTTTATTATACTTTAAGTTTTAGGGTACATGTGCACAATGTGCAGGTTTGTTACATATGTATACATGTGCCATGCTGGTGTGCTGCACCCATTAACTCATCATTTAGCATTAGGTATATCTCCCAACGCTATCCCTCCCCCCTCCCCCCACCCCATAACAGTCCCCAGAATGTGATGTTCCCCTTCCTGTGTCCATGTGTTCTCATTGTTCAATTCCCACCTATGAGTGAGAACATGCGGTGTTTGGTTTTTTGTCCTTGCGATAGTTTACTGAGAATGATGATTTCCAATTTCATCCATGTCCCTACAAAGGACATGAACTCATCATTTTTTATGGCTGCATAGTATTCCATGGTGTATATGTGCCCCATTTTCTTAATCCAGTCTATCATTGTTGGACATTTGGGTTGGTTCCAAGTCTTTGCTATTGTGAATAGTGCCGCAATAAACATACGTGTGCATGTGTCTTTATAGCAGCATGATTTATAGTCCTTTGGGTATATACCCAGTAATGGGATGGCTAGGTCACATGGTATTTCTAGTTCGGACTTGTTTTTTATCTTGTAAATTTGTTTTAGTTCCCATTCTGTAGATTGTCTGTTTACTATGTTCATAGCTTCTTTTGCTGTCCAGCAGCTCTTTAGTTTAATTAGGTCCCATTTGTCAATTTTTGTTTTTGTCACAATTGCTTTTGAGGACTAAATTATTTGCCAAGGTTAATGTACAGAATGGTATTTCTGAGGTTTTCTTCTGTAATTTTTACAGTTTTAGGTCTTACAAGGCTTCAATGAATCTTGTGTTAATTTTTGCATATGGTGAAAAGTGGGGGTGTAGTTTCATTTTTCTGCATATGGCTAACCAGTTATCCCAGCACTATTTATTGAACAGGAATTTCTTTTCCCACTGCTATTTTAGTCAAGTTTGTAGGTCAGATGATTATAGGTGTGCCCCTTTATCTGAGTTCTCTATTCTGTTTTATTGCTGTATGTGTGTATTTTTGTACCAGTATCATGCTGTTTTGTGTACCTTGTAGCCTTGTAGTGCAGTTTGAAGTCAGGTAATGTGATGTTGCTGGCTTTCCTCTTTTTGCTTAGAACTGATTTGGCTATTCAGGTTCTGTTTTGGTTCCATACAAATTTTAGAATAGTTTCTTCTAGTTTTCTGAAAAATGATGTTGGTAGTTTGATTGCGATAGCATTGAGTTTGTAGATTGTTTGGGCAATATGACCATTTAATCATATTGATTCTACTAATCTATAACCATAGAATGTTTTTCTATTTATTTATGTCATCTTTAGGATATTTTAGGTGTAGAATTATATCAGTGAAGAGAGATAATTTGACATCTTCTTTTCTTATTTGCATGCCTTTTATTTATTTCTCTTGTCTGATTGTTGTACATAGAGTTTACAATAATAATGTTGAGTAGGGAGTGGTGAGAGTGGGCATCCTTGTCTTGTTCTTGTTCTCAAGGGGAATGCTTTCAGCTTTTGCCTGTTCCATATGATGTTGGCTATGGGTGTGTCATAGATGACTCTTATTATTTTCAGTTGCGTTCCTTCAGTGTATAGATTGTTGACAGTTTTTATATCTCTGATGAACATAGATGCAAAAATCTTTAGCAAAATACAGTGTATAGCAAACTGAATCCAGCGGCACATCAAAAAGTAACCTAATTTACCATAATCGCATTGGCTTTATTCCTGCGATTCAAGGTTGGTTAAACATACAAAAATCAGTAAATGTGATTCACTACATAAACAGAATTTAAACAAAAACCACTTGATCATACCAATAGATGCAAAAAAAATCTTTCAATGCAATTCTTTTATTCAAGGCTCCTTTTCTTCCTTTCATAATTATTTTGACATTTTCAGCATATAGGCTTATACATGTTTTGTTAAACATATACCAAGACATTTTATTTTGTTTGGTGTGAATGTAAATGGTACTGCATTTTGAATCCATGTTTCTATATTCAACTTTCATGTATAAAATTGTGAATGATTTTTATTTGTTGATTCTGTTACCTTGTTGAACTCTTGTAGAAATTCTGTTTTTATTTTGTAAATTATTTATAATTTTCTATGTCAACATCATGTCATCTCCATTTAAAGACAGCTTGATTTCTTCCTTTCTCATCTGTTTGTCTTTTATATCTTTGACTTTACTCATTATAGTAACTAGAACTCCCAATACTATGTTGAATAAGAGTGGCAAGAGTGGATGTCTTTACCTTTTTCCTGGTCTTAGAAGAAAAACATTTTCTTTCACTATTATGTATAACATTAGCAGGAAGTTTTTTATAGATACCCATTATCTGTCTTAGATAACTTTTCATAATTTGCTAACAGCTTTTGTTTTATGTAAGGTTGAATTTTGTCAAATGCTGTCTCTGTATCTATGCTATGGAAAGTTATATGTTACATGATTTTTCTTTGTTACCTTGTTGATAATGATGGATCACATTGATGAATTTTCAAATGTTGAACAAGTCTTGCATACCTGAAATAAATTCCATTTAGATATAGTGTGTAATTCTTTTGATACACTGATAAGAAATATAATTTTTTAGAAATTGCTGTTTTAGAATTTATGTTTATATTTTTATGTTTATATTATTATAATGTATATTTATATTTTTATAATCATAATTTTTAGAAATTTTTTAGAAATATAATTTTTTAGAAAAAATTGTGTAAGAGAATGTGTTAATTCTTTAAGTGTTTGATGGAATTCTCAGATGAAATTGTCTGGACATGGAGAGTTTTTTTTGAGGATATTTAAAATTATGATTTCCATTTTTAATAGCTATAAGGATATTAATATGATCTGCTTCATCTTGGTTTAGTTTTGCCAGTTTGTGATTTTAGAGAAATTGGGCTTTTTCTTCTATTTTGTGAAATATATAAATGTAAGGTTACTCGCATTATCTTTCTAATGGCTGCAGGATCTGTAGTAATCCCTTATTTTTATTATCACCAGCTTTATTTTAAATTTCAGCTTTTATTTTAGATACAGAGGATACATCTGGCAGATTTGTTACATGGGAATATTGTATGATGCAGAGGTTTGGAGTATGGGTCCCATCACGCTGATAGTGAGCATAGTACCCAATAGGCAGGTTTTTAACTTTTCCCACTCCTCCACCCTCCAGTAGTGCACAGTATCTATTATTCCCATATTTATGTTCATGTGTGCTCAGTGCTTAGCTCCCACTTATAAGTGAGGACATGTGATTTTGGGGTTTCTGTTTTTCCATCAATTTGCTTAGGATTATGGCCTCTAGCTTCATCCATGTTGCTGCAAAGGGCATAATTTTGTTCTTTATTATGACTGCATATTATTCCGTGGTGTATATATGCCACATTTTTTTATCCAATTTGGCATTGATAGGCACTTAGGTTGATGCAATGTCTTTCCTATTGTGAAGAGTGCAGTAATTAACAGAAAAGTGCTTGAGTCTTTTTGGTAGAATTATTTATTTTCTCTTGGGTATATACACAGTAATGGGATTGCTGGGTCAAATGATAGCTCTATTTTAAGTTCTTTGACAAATCACCAGACTGCTTTCCACAGTTGCTGAACTAATTTACATTCCCACCAACAATGGATAAGCATTCCCTTTTCTCTGCAGCATTGCCAGCACCTGTCGTTTTTTGACTTTTTAGTAATAGCCATTCTGTCTAGTGTGAGGTATTATATCATTATGCTTCTGATTTTCATTTCTCTGATGATTAGTGATACTAAGCAATTTTTTTCATGTTTGTTGGTCACCTCTTTGTCTTCTTTTGAGAAGTGTCTGTTCATGCCCTTTTTTTTCATGTTTCAATAGGATTTGTTTTCTTGTTGATTTGTTTAAGTTCCCTATAGATTCTAGAGATTAGGCCTTTGTCTGATGCATAGTTTGCAAATATCTTCTCCCATTCTGTAAGTTGTCTGCCTTGTTGATTGTTTCTTTTACTGCGCAGAATCTCTTTAGTTTATTTAGGTCTTGCTTGTCAATTTTTTTTTTTTTTTTTTTTGCTGCAATTGCTTTTGGAGACAGTCAAAAATTCTTTGCCAAGGCCAATGTCAAGAATAGCATTTCCTAGGTTGTCTTCAAGGATTTTTATAGTTTGAGTTCTTACACTGAAATATTTAATCAATTTTGAGATAATTTTTGTATACAGTGAAAGGTAGGGATTCTTTTATCATATATGAAAATTAATCCTAGCTTCAATTGATTGATCCTAGCTTCAATCTTCTACATATGGCCAGTTATCCTAGCACTATTCATTGAATAGGAAGCCTTTTCCCCATTGCTTGTTTTTGTCAGCTTTGTCAAAGATCAAATAGTTATAGTTGTGTGTCTTTGTTTCTCAGTTTTCTATTCTGTTCCATTGGTTTATGGGTCTGTTTTTGTATCAGTGCCAAACTGTTTTGGTTACTGTGGCTTTATAGTATAGTCTGAAGTTGGGTAGTGTGATGCCTTTTTGGCTTTATTCTTTTTATGTAGGATTGCTTTGGCTATTTGGGCTCTCTTTTGGTTCCATATGAATTTTAGAATAGTTTTTTTTTTCTAATTCTGTGAAGAATCACATTGGTAGATTGATAGGAATAGCACTAAATCTATAAATTGCTTTGGGCAGTATGGCTATTTTGGCAACAATATTAATTCTTCTAATCCATGACTGATATGGTTTGGCTGTGCCCCCACCCAAATCTCATCCTGAACTGTAGTTTCCATAATCCCCACATGTCATTAGAGGGACCCAGTAGAGGGTAATTGAATCATCGGGGCAGTTACCTCTATCCTGTTCTTGTAATAGCAAGTGAGTTCTCAGGAGATCTGATGGTTTTATAAGGGGCTTTTCTTTCACTTTGCTCTGCACTTCTTGCAGCTGCCATGTGAAGAAGGATGTGTTTGCTTCCCCTTCTGCCATGATTCTGTTTCCTGAAGCCTCCTCAGCCCTGCAGAACTGTGAGTCAATGAAAGCTCTTTCCTTTATAAATTATCCAGTCTCAGGTATGTCTTCATCAGTAGCATGAGAACGGACTAATACAGTGACCACGAAATGTTTTTCCATTTATTTGTATGGTCTCTAATTTCTTTCAGCAGTGTTTTATAGTTCTCCTTATAGAGATTTTTCACCTTTTGGTTAGCTGTATTCTTAGGTATTGCATTTTCTTTGTAGCATTATAAGTAGGATTCTGTTCCTTATTGCACTCTCAGCCTGGACATTGTTGATGTGTAGGAATGCTACTGATTTTCATGCATTGATTTTGTATCCTGAAACTTTACTAAAGTCACTTATCAATTCTAGGAACCTTTTGACAGAGTCTTTAGAATGTTCTAGATATATAATCATATCATCAGTAAAAAGAGTGGCTTCTTTTCATATTTGCCTGTCTTTTATTTATTTCTCTTACCTGGTTGCTCTGGCTAGGACTTCCAGTACTACATTGAATAAAAATGGTGAGATTGAGCATCCTTATCTTATCCCAGTTCTCGAGGGGAATTGTTCCAACTTTGTCCATTCAGTATGATGTTGTCTATAGGTTTGTCATAGATGGCTCTTATTCTTGCAGAATTTCATGAAGTTTACTGCAATTTTTTGAAGAGTCACATTTTGTTTTGTTGATTTTCTATATTATTTTTATTTTCAATTTTATATACTTCTGCTCCTATATTTAACATATTCTTCATGTTGTTTGTTACTGGTTTATTTATTTATTTTAATTTTATTTTAGATTTCCGGGGTACATGTGCATGTTTGTTAGATTCATACATTGTTTAATGGTGAGGACTGGACTACTAGTGTAGCTGTCACTCCAATATGGAACAATGTATCTAATATGTAATCTTTCAAACTTCACCCCTTCCCTCTATCCCCACTTTTGGAGTCCCCAGTGTGTTTTGTTTCCATCTTTATGTCCATGTGCATCCATCGTTTAGCTCTCATTCATAAGTGAGAATATGTGACATTTGATTTGATTTTCTGCTCGTGAGTTAATTTACTTAGTTATATAACAGCTTCCAGCTCCATCCATGTTACTGCAAAGGACATGATTTCATTCTTTTATATGGCTACAAAATATTCTATGGTGTATATGTATACCACATTTTCTTTATCCAATCAACCACTGATGGACACAGGTTGGTTCCATGGCTTTGCTATTGTGAATAGTGCTGCGACAAACATATGAGTACAGATGTCTTTTTTATATAATGCTTTCTTTTACTTTGGGTAAGTAGTGATTCTACTGGGCTGAATAGGAGTTCAGCATAGGGATTGAACTAATTTATATTTACACCAACGGTGTATAAGCATTTTTTTCTTTGTCTCCATGCCAACATCTGTTGTTTTTTGACTTTTAAATAATAGCCATTCAGTCTGGTGTAAAGTGATATCTCAGTGTGAATTAATTTGCATTTCTCTAGTGATTAGTGATGTTGAGTATTTTAAAGTATGTTGTTGGCCATTTGTATTTCTTCCTTTGAGAAATGTCTGTTCATATGCTTTTCTCAGTTTTTCATGGGGTTGCTATTTCTTGAGTTGTTTGAGTTTTTTAATATATTCTGTATATCAGTCATTTGTCAGAAGCATAATTGGCAAATATTTTCTCCCAATCTGTAGGTTGTCTGTTTACCCTGTTAACAATTTCTTGTGCTGCATAGAAGCTTTTAAGTTTAATTACATACCGTTTGTCTAGTTTTGGTTTCATTGCATTTGCTTTTGGGTTTTTCATTATACATTGTTTGCCTAAGCCAATGTCCAAATAATTTTTCTTAGGTTTTCTTCCAGGAGTTTTATAGTTTCAGGCCTCATGTTTAGGTGTTTAACCCATCTTCAGTTAATTTTTACTGTGGTAAGAGATAGCAGACAAACTTCATTCTTCTTCATATAGCTAGCCAATTTTCCCAAAATCATTTATTAAATATGGTATTCTTTTCCATTATTTTTGTCAACTTTGTCAAATGTCAGTTGGTTATAGGTATATGGCTTTATTTCTGGGTTCTCTGTTCTGTTCCATTGTTCTATCTGTCTATTTTTGTACCAATATCATGCTGTATTAGTTACTATCGCTTTTTATTATAATCTGAAGTCAGACAATGTGATGCCTCTGGCTCTGTTCTTTTTTCTTAGAATTACTTTGGCTATTCAGGCTCTTTTTGGTTCCATATGAATGTTAGCATTTTTTTTTTTCTGATTCTGTGAAAAATGGCATGGGTGATTTGATGGGCATTGCATTGTTAGCATACTGAATTGTATAATTATAAATAATTTCAGAAATAATGTTAAATGATTCACACTCTGCTAGTTTTATTTTATCCACAGGTACCAGCCCTATTTCTATTCTCTTTTTGATCATTGTATATTTCTAATCTGTAACTAAAAGAGTTTGGCAAATTGCTTATTTATAATAGTATGACAAGCCACCAATCAAAGTATCTGGCTTCCAGAATCAGATTATCCTAATTCTGTCCACTATTTATTTCGTGGTTGCAGCGGAGTCCCAGGAACATACAATAGCATGGCAAGAAACAATCAATGCTAACACAAGCCACAAAGATAATCGGAATGGAATCAGTGGTTTGCTATTTTCTTTCTTAGGATTCTAATTTTCTTTTACCTTATCATAGACATGGACCAATAACCATTTCAGGATAAAGCTAAACTAATCAAAATAAATGAAGTCCCCAAACTACCTGTACAATCCAGACATTTAAAAGCAGAGGAGTTGCACTGAATCTATAGAATGCTTTGGGCAATATGGTTATTTTAATCATATTGATTCTTCCAATCCATTAGCATGGGATGTTTTTTTTTCATTTTTTTTATGTTCTACAGTCTTTCTTCAGTATTTTATAATTTTCTTTGTAGAGATCATTCACCTCCTTGGTTAAATGTATGCCTAGCTATTTTATTTGTGTTTTGCTTTGTTTTGTTTTGAGACAGTCTCACCCTGTTGCCAGGCTGGAGTGCAGTGGCGCAATCTCGGCTCACCGTAACCTCTGCCTCCTGGGTTCAAATAATTCTTCTGCCTCAGCCTCCCAAGTAGCTGGGACTACAGGAGCGTGCCACCTCGCCCAGCTAATTTTTGTGTTTTTAGTAGAGATGGGGTTTCACCATGTTGACCAGGATGGTCTCGATCTCTTGAACTCGTGATCCACCCGACTCAGCCTCCCAAATTGCTGGGATTACAGGCATGAGCCACCTTGCCCGGCCTGAGTGTGTCTATTGCAAATGAGATTGAGTTATTGATTTTGCTCTCAGCTCGTATGTTATTGGTGTATAGAAATGCTAACTATTTTTGTACATTAATTTTTGTATCCTGAGACTTTACTAAAGTCATGTATCAAGTCTAGAAGCCTTTGCGGGAGTTCTTAAGGTTTTCTGGATACACAGTCATCTAATCAGTGAGCAGAGATCATTTGACTTCTTTTACAATTTGGGTGTCTTTTATTTCTCTCTCTTGCCTGGTCGCTGTGGCTATGGCTTGTAGTACTATGTTGTGTAGGCATGGTGAGAGTGAGCATCTTTATCTTATTCCAGTTCTTAAGGGAAATGTTTTTAACTTTTTACCATTCAGTATGATGTTGCCTATGGGGTTGTTACATATGGCTCTTATTATTTTGTAATATGTTCCTTTAATGACTAGTTTGTTGAGAGTTTTTACCGTAAATGGATATTGGAGTTTATTAAAAAAAAAAACAACCTTTTTGCATCTATTGTGATTATCTTTTGGTTTTGCACTTAGTTCTGTTTATAGAATAAATCATATTTATTGATTTACATATGTTAGAACAACCTTGCATCCCTGAAATAAAGCCCACTTTATCATTGGAATTATCTTTCTGATGTGCTGTTAGATTTGGTATGCTAGGATTATGTTAAGAATTTTACTGCAAGGAAAGTTTATAGCATAAATGCCTACATCAAAAGGACAGATAATTTTTCAAATGAAGAAATTAATGTCACACTTCAAGGTATGAGAGAAATAAAAACAAACCAAACCCCAATCTAGCAGAAAAAAAAGATCAGAACAGAACTAAATGAGTTTGAGACCAGGGAAAAAACGACACAAAGGGTCAATGAGATTAAAAGTTGATTCTTTGAAAGGATAAACAAAATTGCCAGACTGCTAGCAAGATTAACCAAAAGAAAAAGATTTTAATAAGCTAATCAGAAATGACAAAGATAATGTTACCACTGATACCACAGAAATACAAAAGATCATGAGAGACTGCTGTGAATACATATGTGCACACAAACTAGAAAACCTAGGGGACCTGGATAAATTCCTGGAAGTATATAACCTCTGAAGATTGAACCAGGAAGAAATAGAAATCCTGATCAGATGAATAATAAGTAATTAAATCAAATTAGTAATAAAAAATCTTCCAACACAAAAGCAAAGAAGCGGACAGATTCATAGCTGAAATTTTCCAGACATACATAGAAATGCTGGTATCAGTATTAATGAAACTGTTTCAAAAATTCAAATATGAATCTCTCCCTTATATAGTCTGCAAATCCAGTATCACCCTGATACTTAAATCAGGCAAGGGCACAACAAAAGAGGAAAACTGCTGGCCAATGTCTCTGAATATAGACACTTTTGGTTTATTTTGCTCTTATTTTTTAAATTTCTTGGTGTTGAAACTTTATTTACTTAAAACTTCTCTTTACTTTCAATGTAAGCTTTTAGGGCTATAAACTTTACTCTTCGTATGACTTTTCCAGAAAACCAAATATTTTTACATGTGGTTTTGATTTTGATTCAGTTCCAAATTATTCTAATTTCTAAGACTTTCTCTTGAACCCATAGATTATTGAGAAATGTGTTAATTTCTAAGTATTTAGAGATTTCCCCCATCATCTCTCTGTTATTTAAGTTTTTAGTTTGACAACGATAAAATCAGAGAAAACACAGTATGATTTTAGATTTTTTAAATTTGTTGAAGTATATTTCATGTCCCGGAGTATTATCTATCTTGGTGAATTCTCCTTGGACACTTGAAAAAGAAATGTGTGGTGTTCTATATATGCCAATTATAAGCTGTTGGTTGATTGTGCTATTCAGATCTGTTTTCATGTTAATTTTCTTTTTAATAGCTCTATCAGTTTCTGAAATTAAGTGTTAACTCTAATTCTGTGTTTGTCTATTTTTTATCTTTCCAGCATTATCAAATAGTTTTCATGTATAATAACATTCTGAGTGTTGGTACATACACTTTCAGGATTCTTATCCCTTCTTTTATCAATAGATATAATATCCCTCTTTATCTCTAGTAATTTTCTGTTCTCTAAAATTAATTCCATCAAAAATCTAGCCACCCCTGATTTTGTGTTAATTAGAGTTTGGTTTTCTTTTTCAGTCATTTTTACTTTTAAACTACTTGTATGTTATTTTGAAGTGAACTTCTTGTTCATAGCATATACGTGACTCATGTTTTTGCATCCAATTTGTAAATATCTGTTTTTTAATTGGTATATTTAGACTATATTAAGGTAATTATTCAAATGTTAAGACTTAATCTGACATTTCATTTGTTTTTTTTCTGTTGTTCCCTCGCTCATTCCTGTTTATCTTTTCTTGCCTTCCTCTAAATATGTTGAGCACCATATCAGATGTTATAATATTTTCTTCAGTGATATGATATGAATTTTTACCTGATAAGAGAATGCAAGTACATTATATTTAACTTTACCCATTATGTTGTTTTTCCTTTCTTTCTGAATTTCCAGACTCTACTCTCCTGTCATTTTTATTTATGTTTTAAAAAAATTTACTTTAGCCATTCTTTAAGATTTAGTCTGCTAGCAATAAATTCACTTATTGTTTCTTGTCAGAGACTATCTTTCTTCCATCTTTATTCCTAAAGGATATATTCACTGGATATAGATTTAAAATTGAGGTTCTTTTCTTTCAGCACTTGAAAAATATGCTGCTTCTAGCATCCATGGTTACATATGAGAAATCTTCTGTTATTCAAATTGACATTCTGTTTTAGATAATGCATGTCTTCTCTCTAGTCTTAATATGCATATTAAGACTATACACACACACAAATACACACACATATTTGTCTCTAATTTTCAGAGGTTTGTTATGATGTCTCTTGACAGAGACTTATTTTGGTTTATCCTGCTTGTGATTTTCTCAGCTTCTTAAAACTATAGGTTTAAGCCTTTTGCCAAATTTAGGAAATGTTCTGTCCTATGTTTATTTTCGGCACTCACTCCTTTCCTTCTCTGGGGCACCAATGCTTTGCAAGCTAGATGTTGCTTTTTGTCCTATTGGTACAGGAAGATTCTGTTCATTTTGTAACTGTCTATTTTCTCTGTGTTGTCAGATTGGGTAATTTTTATTCAATTGTCTTCAAAGTCACCGATTCTTTCTTCTGTCATCTCCAATCATTGAGCTACTTAGTGCCGTTTTCATTTTGGTAATTGTATTTTTAGTTCTATAATTAGGCTTTCTCTACGTATTTTTTCTTTTGCTGACTTTTCTACTTTTTTTGCTTCATTAATATTTGTAATCGTTCTTTATCAGTGGTACCTTAGAATTTTTTTTCTTTTATTTTAATTTCTGGGGTACAAGGACAAGTTTGTTACGTATGTAAACTTGTGTCATGGGGGTTTATATTATAGATTATTTTATCATGCAGGTATTAAGGTTAGTACCTATTTGTTGGTTTTCTTGATCCTCTCACTCCTCCTACCCTCCGCCCTCCAAAAGATCCCAGTGTGTGTTCCACTCTATGTGTCCATATGTTCTCATCATTTGGCTCCCACTTACAAGTGAGAACATGTGGTATTTGGTTTTCGATTCCTGTGTTAGTTTGCTAAGGATAATGGCTCAACATCACTGGCCATTAGAAAAATCCAAATCAAAACCACAATGAAATATTCATCTCACATCAGTCAGAATGGCTATTATTAAAAACTCCAAAAAAAAACAAAAAAAAACGCTGATGAGGTTGTGAAGAAAAAGGTAAACTTATACACTTTTGGTAGGAGTGTGAATTAGTTTAGCCATTGTGGAAGACAGTGTGGTGATTCCTCAAAAACCTAAAAACAGAAATACCATTTGACCCAGCAATTCCTTTACTGGGTATATACCCAAAGTAATATAAATTATTCTGTTAAAAGACATATGCACACATATGTTCACTGTAGCACTATTCACAATAGCAAAGACATGGAATCAACCAAAATATCCATCAATGATAGACTGACTGGATAAAGAAAATGTGGCACATATTCACCGTAGAATACTATGCAGCCATAAAAAAGAATGAGATCATGTCCTTTGAAGAGACATGGATGGAGTTAATATCATTTTTGAATAATTTCTATATCTGAGTCATCTCATTGTTATTTTCTGTCATTTTTTTAATTCAAGTTGTGTAATTTTCCTGTTTTTTGATATAATAATTGACTTCTGTTTTCTGGACAGTTTAATATTATGTTACAGTACTCCTATAGTACTCTTCGATGTGATATGACTTGACAGATTTATTTTGGTTTATCCTGTTTGTGATTTGCTCAGGTTCTTAAAACTATAGGTTTAAGCATTTTGCCAAATTCGGGAAATTTTTTTGTCCTATATTTATTTTCAACACTTACCCCTTTCCCTCTCCTCGGGGCACCAATGCTATTTAACCTTTCATTTTAGCAAGCAGTCACCTTACTTGGGTGTAGCATACAGGTCTAGTTGTGAGTGGATGTTTACCTCTCATCATGACCTGACAGCACCACCCCAGCAAAAGGGGAGCACTGAAACATACAGCATCATTACACATGGATGGGACATAAGTCAAGTCTTTCCTTAGCCCCACAAACAGTTTTTGGGTAAAAACAGACTTCTGACTCACACATTATTGCTGCCTTACCTCTGTATTGGGGTGTAAACTCAGTTTCTCTACCGAGATATGCTAACACAAGGTAAGAGAGAAACAAGGCCAATTTACACTGCCCCATTGCTTCAAGTGTGTGTGAAAGAGAGAGGAAGAGAAAGATAAAATAAGAGAGAAAGAGAACTTTTTTTTTTAACTAATATAGTTTAGAAGAAGTCTTTTGCATGAAATTTGACAAGGGAAAGTGGGTACTGAGCCAGTAGGTTCGAAAGACAGAGAGGAGTACAAAAATACTAAACAAATTATATTAGTCCATTCTCACACTGCTAATAAAGATGTACCCAACACTGGTTACATCTTTTTTTATAAAGGAAAGAGGTTTAATTGACTCACAGTTCAGCATGGCTAGGGAAGCCTCAGGAAACTTGCAATCATGGTGGAAGGGAAAGCAAACACATCCTTCTTCACATGGCAGCAGCAAGAAGAATGAGTGCCCAGGGAAGGGGGAAGCCCCCCAAATCATCAGATCTCATGAGAACTAACTCACTACCATGAGAACAGCACAGAGGAAACTGCCCCCATGATTCACTTGTCTTCACCTGGTCCCTTCCACGACATGTGAGGATTACGGGAACTACAATTCAAGATGAGATTTGGGTGGGAACACAGCCAAACCATATTACAAAGCAAAGACAAACAATTAATGGTGGATTGGTTTCTAAAATTAGGAAAGGCCAGTGAGGAACAAGAAACAAATAATCTTCCTTTATATCAAACAACGGGTCTTTTCTATAAAGAAGGCATAAGTATTAAGATGATCAATTTTGATCCTAATAGTAAATTATTGAATGTATCATGTGCTAAGGAAACTATGTGCAGGTAGAGGATGTTTGCATTTCTGGCACATAGATGAAGATAGGCATATTCACTATTAATAAATTGTTGAACTGTTCATGTAAAATCCACCTAAACTAGGCACTAAAGTACTAAACATAGATTCATTAAACTATTCAGCAATCACACTTCTAGGTATCTGCCCAAGTGATTAAAAAACTTATGTCTGCACATATGTTTACTCTGCTAATAATAGCTGTATTCATAATCACTAAAGACTGGAAGTAATTAATATTTATTTCAATAGATAAATAGATCAACTTTGGTATATCTCTACAACAGAATACTATTCTGCAGTAAAAATGAGTGTTATCAAATCATACTAAAAATGGGTCATAGATGCATACTGCTAACAGAAAGAAGTAAATCTGAAAAAGCAAACTACTTTATTATTCTAGTTATTTGATATTCTAGAAATGGAAAATACAGAGACAGTTAGCAGATGAATAATTGTCAGTGTTCTCTTTTATAGGAAGGGTTTGAATAGGTGGAGAAGATAGAATATTTTTAGGATGGTGGATTTATTGTGTGTAATATCTTAATTCCACATCTCTGGGAGGAAATTGATTTGACCATATGGCTGAATGATCAGATAATGGAATTTATAAGATACTTAAGTCTATGAATTTATAGATACTTAAGTCTATGAATTTGTCAAATCTTGTAGAACTTTACAGGACAAAGATTAAATATTGCATGCAAATTTTAAAATATGATCTTGAACATTGCAGAATCCTAGCATGGAATAAAGAATGGGATAAAAGAATCCAACTGAATTAGAAATATGTGAAAATACCTAACTGAAGTGGGTGGAGAAAAAATATGCTTATTAAGTTAAGTATGTTTAAAAATTAATAGAATATATGACTAAAGGCAAAAGGAATTGTACACAAGCACTGTAATTGAGTGGATAAAATTATTTCTGTGAAGCACAGTTTAACAATTCTGAAACCACAGTACACATATACTGGTATTGAATAATTAATAAATGAATGGCAGAGGAAATAGACAGATTTTTCATGCTGAAGTGGTAGGTTACAAAAAAATAGAAGACCAGAATAATCCATGAGGTAATGAATTAAATGTGGAAACATCAGTATGCTTAGCTTACTATAGATATAGATAACACAGAAATATTTAAGGATATGTATATACACAGCTGTCAATACACACACAGATATTTTCTCATTCTGTCAGTTGCAATGGCCTAGAAGAAATATATTTCAGTAGTAACAGACACTCCTAGCATTCAGATCATGGTTTCCAATGTCATTCTTCAACAAAATAAATTAAGGCTCCTTAGACATACAGGGATTCTAGGCTGTGGCATATTTAAGATGAATATGAACATGAATATGGAGCATTTTATACTACCAGAAAAGAAGACAGTATTAAAACACACATACACACACACACACACAATGATGGAAAGAAGTCATTTGTAAAATGGCAAGTGTAAAAATAGGGAGCTCTGACAAGAACTACCACAGCCACATATAGAAGGTCAACATTATCAACAGTGTTGTCATGTTGATAGCATATAATCTTGATATGGTATAATTAAAATGACACCTAACCCCTGTGGTTTTCTTCTCCCAAATGCATAACCCCAGAGTAATCCTGGGGAAAACACCAGACCAGTCCCAATTGAGGGACATTCTACAAAATACCTGACCAGTATACTTCGAAACTGTCAAATCATAAAAAAAAAAAGACAACTCTTAGAAACTGCCACAGCCAAGAGAAGTGTAAGGAGATGTGTCATCTAAATTGTAGTATATTCTGAGTGGTATTCTGGATCAGAAAAAAGTATTATGTCAAAATTAGATAAAATAACTTCAGTTAATATTAATAATGTATGAATACTGACTCATTAGTTGTAACAAATTACCACACTAACATAAGATATTAACAATAGGGGAAAATGAATGAGGAAACTGTGTATTACCTTAAGAGTCCTTGTGTAAATCTGAAACTCTTCTAAATAGTAAAGTTTATCAAAACATAAAATAATGATATCACTGTTCTTAAAATTCTTGTGCTATATGCCACTTAAAAAAAAAGATTTTTTTTGCTTTCTAAAGAGGCTATATTCTAGCCATATCAAAATCCATATCATACCTAAAGATCCCAACCTCTTCTTCCATTTGTTATATTATGAACATAAAATCAGTATAAAATTTTACCTTACTGTTAATCATTTACATTTCTAACTTTTAATGCAATATTGAGATTTAGCATTCGTTATTTCTATTCTTATCCTCAGTTCTGGCAACACTTTGAAATGAAACTTTTCAAATACTATTTTGTGTCAGTCGTTCACATAAGAAAAGATTTTACTGTCCATGGCAACTGCTTAGTAATGAATGTGAGATATTCTTCCCACCCACTTTCAAGGTGATCACTGAATGAAGAGGGCATATTTGTTCTTTTTTATTTTTCCCTCAAATTCCACATCTCTGGGAGGAAATTGATTTGTCCATATGGCTGAATGATCAGATAATGGAATTTATAAGACTCTTGGGGAAGCAACTGAAATAGAAAATATCGTATACTACTGCTTTACAGCAAGACTCCTAGGAGCCTAAATTTTCCAAATAAATCATACATGCCCTCTTATATAGAAGCACTTAACACTGAAAAAAAAAAAATCACTTCTAGTCTTCGAAGAGAACATTATTAATAACAACGGCATCAATGATTCCTCAGTTTAAGTAACAAAATAATATTCGTGATGACACTAATATACAATATTTCTGTGACGATTTCATGAAAAAATAACATGAAAATATTTAGTAAACTGCAACTTATTATTGTAACACACACTAATTAAGAATTTTTCTCTTCTCCATAACTTGCCACTAGGATATAAAGCTGAAAAAATAAAAATAATGTACACTTTGGGGACTCCTCAGCTCATCCAAAGGCAGAGCACACTAACTTAACAACATCTTTTAATGGCAGACAAAAAAAAAACAAATGCATAAGCATGTTTACAGTGCCGTTTTTATTGTTTCCCTCAAAGTAATCCAACACCCACATGAAATATAAAGAGTGGAAATAGTTGGAGTTTGGGAGTCTTGTTAAGAATGTGGTACTGCCGGGCGCGGTGGCTCACGCCTGTAATCCCAGCACTTTGGGAGGCTGAGGCGGGCGGATCACGAGGTCAGGAGATCGAAACCATCCTGGCTAACACGGTGAAACCCCATCTCTACTAAAAATACAAAAAATTAGCCGGGCATGGTGGTGGACGCCTGTAGTCCCAGCTACTAGGGAGGCTGAGGCAGGAGAATGGCGTGAACCCAGGAGGCAGAGCTTGCAGTGTGCTGAGATCGCGCCACTGCACTCCAGCCTGGGCGACAGAGCGAGACTCTGTCTCAAAAAAAAAAAAAAAAAAAAAAAAAAGAATGTGGTACTAAGGCCGGGTGTGGTGGCTCACGCCTGTAATCCCAACACTTTCGGAAGCCGAGACAGGCAGATCACGATGTCAGGAGATCGAGACCATCCTGGCTAACACGGTGAAACCCCGTCTCTACTAAAAATACAAAAAAATTAGCCGGGCGTGGTGGCGGGTGCCTGTAGTCCCAGCTACTCTGGAGGCTGAGGCAGGAGAATGGCGTGAACACGGGAGGCGGAGCTTGCAGTGAGCTGAGATTGCGCCACTGCACTCCAGCCTGGGCGACAGAGTGAGACTCCGTCTCAAAAATAAATAAATAAATAAATTAATTAAATTAAATTAAATTAAATTAAAAAATAAAAAGAATGTGGTACTAAGAGAAAAGAGTTTGTTCTCTCCCTCTACTCTATAGGGTAGAGTGAAAGTCGTCCCTCTTCTATGGAACAAATCGAGGGTTTCAAAATAGCTCTCATAAAGGTCTAAAGTTGGTGTACCAAGAGAAGAATATAATCTTGCTCTACATTTGGAGTTTTAGTGAACTCTTGAAGCTCTGTGTCAAAGTTTCTTAACCCTTGCGCTGTTGACATTTTGACTGGAAAGTGTTGTGGAGGGCTGTGCATTGTACAGATTAGGAGAAAAACTCTTAGAGTTTGTAATGTTGAGCAGCATCCCTGGCATTACCCACTAGATACCATAGAGCCATTCTTCCCCTAGTCATATACCAAATATGCCTCTAGGCATTGCCAAGTCTCCCATAGAAGGCAAAGTTGCTTTCAGTTGAGAATTACTGCTCTTATTCCACATAATTCTGCCAATTAAACAGAGTGCAAAGTGTGAGGAGATTTAGAAAACATAAGTGAACATAGACACAAGTTGTAACCTGAAGCAGAGAGATTAAAAAATAATGTACTATTGGTCCTCAGTATCTGTGAGTTTCACGTTCATGGATTTGACCAGCTACAGATAAAAAATATTCATTAAAAAATGAATCGTTGTGTCCATACTGATCATACACATACTATATTTCTTGTCATTATTTCCTAAGCAATACAGTATAACAACTATTTACATATCGCTTGTACTGTAGTATGTGTTATAAATAACCTAGAGATGTTTTAAAGTATACAGGAGGATGTGTGTAGGCTGTATGCAAATATTACAGCATTTTGTATAAGGGACTTGAGCATTTGTGAATTTTGGTACGTGGGACAGAAAGGTCCTGGAATCAATCCATGAACACTGAGGAATGGCTGCATAGTAGAGTATGCCTCGTACATGGATTAAGAATAGAACATTTGTTTCCTGAAACCTTGTTACAGAAAAACGAACAATTCCTGTGGCCTGACGTGGAGCACAGATGTAAGAAATGGATCCGAGGACACAGAATTGCCCATCTCTAAAATGTCTTCAGCATTTTAGAATGTTAGAGCATTTAAGGAGCTTGTTGGTCTGAAACTAAAAAATTCAAGGAAATCATATGCACCAAATATATCAAGACCACTATTGAGAGAAAACAAATTATATAATATCTCTGGCTCCCTTATTTACCCTAACCTTGGAGTTGGGCTCTGGTAAGAAAGAGGAGAAAGTTCAGACCATGCCGCTGGCACCCCAAGTATCTCAAACTAAAGTCTACTTGGTTTAAGGGGAAAGATATATATTAAAAATTAGATCTAGAAATTGTTTTATGCCACCATAATCATTATGTCAAAACCTGAAAAGGATATTACAAATATAATGGAAGTAAAAGCAGTATCATTTATGGATATATAGAGACAACATTTCTTAAAAAAAATTAACAAAATCCAGCAATACATAAAGAATGACACAAATAATCAAGTTGGAATGCAGGTTGTTTCAAAATACAGAAATTAATGTAATTCACTACATTAAGAGGTTGAGAAAAATATATTAAATGGGCATTTTGATGTATATAGAAAAAGCATTTGACAAACTACAACACACATTTTTAAAAAAATGTTCAGCAAACTAGGAATAGACCAGACATGAGCCACCCAGGACTTCCTGGTCAGCCCTCAGTTGAGGGCAATTCAGCCAGCAGCCAGCTTCCAGCTATTATTTCCTTTAGGGTCCTAGCTACAGAGAACACTTCCCTGGAATTCACACTCTGACCAGGGCAGTCTGCATCAGGTGATTGAGCAAGGCAGTTACACAATGGCCTGTACATTTTACCCAGCATGGAACACTCAGGGGCAATACTCACTCCAGAGTTTACCACTGGGTTGGTCGAGGCCTTGGAGGGCCTACATGTCTGTTCACATTCTGTCTCTGAGCAATCTTTTTTCCTTTCCTTTTTTTCATAATGTTGATTCTCAACAAACATCTCATACCTCATGTTTTGTCTTGGCATCTGCTGCCAAAGAATCTGAAATCTTTCTAGTGATTGCCAAACTGTTTAATTATGCAGTGATTTGCTGCCCAGATTTACAGGGATAAATTATGTCCATTAAATACAAGAAGTATTGTTGGACCATAATAACATTCATATTTAGGTGTAAAAATCCTTAGAGTAAAATTTATTATGATGCTCATCAATACAGTTAATTTGTGTTCTTATAACATTATTGGTAAATGCTGATACCTAATTTGCTTTATCTATGCTAGTGGTTGAGGTTGGAAAATTAAGACACACAATGAATTTATCATAGCAACATAGTCATCAGGAGATGAATATCTGTTACTTATGTATTTGAAAACAGTGTTCTATAAAAAAAAAATTGGTGTCAGCTGAGTTACTATGAATAAGAGCCTTTTGTCAAAAGCATTTCTGCCTAGACTGTCAGAAGAAAGATTGAAGAGAAAACTTGGAGACAAAATAAAAAGAATGTGATTTGTGATTTCATGTTACAATGATCATCCTTTTTTTTTTTTTTTTGGTAATTGTTTCTTGCCAAAACTTTGGTTTGTCATACTGTAGATGCACGAATACAACTAAATAGAAGATGTTTTTATATAAAATGACACTGAGATTTGTCACAATATAAAGGATGCTCTGTGTTTTGTGCAGTATTGCACATTGTGAGTATATACATAATAAAAATCCAAAGTTACTGAATATTAAGAAATCACCCTAACATTCCATTTACATTTCAAGTGAAAAAAGAATTTGTTTGTAAAAAAAAAAAATCTGTGCCAATATTTACAACTTATGTTTTTCTTTCACTGATAGACCTAAATGGGTTATCTGGCAGCACAGAGGATATGGAAGACACTGAGAATTACATATTCACATAAATATCTATAATTAATATCCAAATGTTTGTGGTATATACTAAAATATGACTATGTATGTTTGATACTGTAAGATAGTGATCTGAAAATTGTACAGCTTTCTATCTAACAGAAGATTGATATTTGTGCCTTTTTAAATTTAGCTTAAGTCTCTTAAAAGTTCTATGTTAGCCACGATTATAAACTAAGAGAGGAAAAAAATGGAATCCTTAATTTTTTAAAATTCTATCACTCGAGGTAATAACTAAAGGAATTCACTTATTTAAAATGGAAGTGTGGAAATTATTAAATTATATGAAACATGATTTCCATATGATAACTCATATGGCTAGTTGTACACATTTAATACAATGCTACACCATAGAATTGAAAGTGATGCTTTGACTCATATAAACATCAGGTTTTCATAATATTTAATATTTCATAGAACTCTTTATTCCATAATTGTTCTTTCCATCATGACAACCCCTAGAAGAAAAGATGAATCCTTTACCTCTTGATGAAAAGTAGAAATGTGAATATTTTCTTTTTTAATCCAATAGTTTTTCAGTCTGCAAATAAGACAAAAGAGAGAACAAGCTTTCTTTTTGTAAACAAAACTGAGTAGACTTTTCACAGAATAAAGTCTATCATCAACTATAGCTTCAAAAGCAAAGCTCTGTCAAAATGAGTACCCAATTTAATTGGGCCAATAAGTTATTTTATGGAAATTTAGGGTTCTAACGTCATGTCAAATAGTAAAAGATATTGCACTTTGGGGTAGGTAGATAATGAATCTTGTCTGCATATTTTGAATGTACTCTTTAAATCATCAGATTTTAAACACTTTGTTTTTCCTATTTCAAATTCAGTAGCAAAATCAAACTGTGCAATTGTAAAATTACTTCTAAGGCTGAAAATGTATTCCAATTTTTATTTGCATCAGCTAAATAAAAATGCTTTTATAATCACTTAATCTTAGTTAATATTCAATATTTGTTTAACCAGATATACCATTTACAATCAGTTCTCACAAGACTCAAAAACTATGAAAAGAGCAGGACTTCACCAGTTCAACACAGCTGTCTCAATAGAGATGATCCAGCTGTCACTTGTGGTCAGCATCAGGCATCTGCCACTGAAGGCTCTGCTCAAATCAAGAAGTCTTTCTTGCAAGATGTTGATGACCATCTAGGTCAGCCTAGGACACTCCTTGTCCATGTTGCTTTCTTTGAAATGGTTTATTAACTTATTTCCCTATCCCTTTTCTCTTGTTATTAGATGTTACTCTGATTGATGTGGAAATCTTGATATATAACATTTATGTATCAATTTAGTATCCTACTAGTATGTATGATTTGCAAAATTGACTGACTTGTGGATTGGCTTGTGCTTGTGTGCCCAGGGCTGTGACTACTGAGTGAACAGGTAGTGTTGAGAATTGCCTCCTTGAGAATGCCACGTAGCTCATGGCTTTTATGATTAAATAAACATCAATAAAAGTCTGGTCTTGTGGAAAGACATAAACATGCATAGACCTGGTTATGTCTGACTTTATGCCACTTAAATATTTGTGTTAATATGATTGTATGTAAGTATTTATGTTAATCAGAGTGATCTAAAATATTTATGTTGACTGGAGTGCTCACCTCTTCAACATTCCTACTGGGTTTTCCCCTTCACTAATATAGTTTCAGTTATCATGAAAATGATACTAAAAACAACATGTTGAATACTTATTAAAAGCTAGTCCTATGATGAGAATGCTATATTTATTTTTAAAACTTAATATTCACAATAATTTTGTGAGGTAGAAACTCTAATTGGCAGATGAGGAAATTGAGACTGGACTAAGTTAATAATATGCACAATTTGATGCAGCTAGTTAATTGCAAAACCAGGATTCACAATCATGCTTTTCTGAAATCTGTGACTTGGGGATTCTGCCCTTAACAAACTTGACATCTTGGTCAAGAAAACTTGATCTTAAACTTATCAGGTCATAAAATACGCTAACAAATATATGTTTTAGGCTCTAACTTTTTTGAGAGCTATAATTACAATTATTTTTACACTTGATCTTATCCAAAAGGCCGAGAAGCGATACAATTATTTTTTTGTTAGAAGAAAGTGAGGAAGTTGAAAAGATTGAAGCAAAAGGAGAGGAAAGAGATGGGATACATTGGGAATGGACAAGTAGAATGAGAAGGAAAAACATGGAAAAACAAAGAGAAGAGTGATGTAGAGAAAGAAGAATAAATGGGATGATATGGTTTGGGTCTGTGTTCCTGCCAAAATGTCATGTTGTATTGTAATCCCCAGCATTGGAGGAGGAGCCTGTTGGGAGGTGATTGGATCATAGGGGTGGATTTCTCCCTTGCTGTTCTCTGGATGGTGAGTGAGTTCTCACTAAACCTGGTTGTTTAGAAATGTGTGGCACCTTCCCCCTTGCTCTCTCTTCCTCCTGCTCCTGCCATGTAGATGTGCCTTCTTCCCCTTTGCCTTCTGCCATGATGGTAAGTTTCCTGAGTCTTCCCCAGCCATGCTTCCTGTACAACCTGCAGAACTAAGTCAGTTAAATCTTTTTTCTTTATAAATTACCCAGTCTCAGGTAGTTCTCCATAGAAATATAAGAACAGACTAATACAAAAGAAAACATGCATTTATTGAATACAAATACTTTGACATCCATTCACAAATTTATCAATTTAGTATTCACAATTTAGTGAGTTTAGTTTTATTATCTATGTTCATATTGATAAAGGCATTGACTATTCAACCCAGTATATTTTAAACTAATTTCTTTAATTCAACTTCTAAAGATGTCCAGTTAGGTTTGGTAATTATAGTACAAACAGGAGAAGATAAATATCTTCTCCATAGATTACATCATTGTTAAATCTCAATAATTTTAAATATAATTAACTTTTAATAATGCTTTGGATTTAATAATATAGCTATTGCATGGGAATTGTCCACAAACCATTATAAATCTATTTGTTTAGGTTTAACCAACCAAGTAATAAAGTCTATGTGTAGCTTGGGCCCACATTGTGCTTAGTAAGTGTCTCACTCAATGTAATTGATTGTAAAATCCACCTCAAATCACACCAAATTAAGAGTATTTTACAAGTTGAAAAAAAAAAAGATGTCCAGTTAATAGCAACATCCATCATCCAAGTACTCAAAGCAGAAAATTCTGAATTGTGTCTGACTCATTTGTCCTGTTGCCCATGCTCAATGGTACGTAAATAAAGATGATAGAGTCAAATTAGGATTATATCATTTACTATTATTTCACATTCAAAAAGGAATAAAAATGTGGATGGAAAGACACATAGAGCAGTGACCCAACTCCCAATCTTCTTAGGACCTGAATGTTAGAAACGTTCTTTTATGTGGGATTTAAAAGGGAATTAACCTTCCAACTTGAATAAGCCAAGGGTTTCTCTGAACAACTAATGTCATATCTCTGTTCAAGTGTCTCTCTTGACAAAGAGAACCATAGAAAGAAACATGTTGTAACACAAGGAGCTGTTGATGCAGGATCTGTTCATGCAGGATCTGTTCATGCTTCTGAACCAGTAAGGCTGAGTAAGGTAAATATCAATCCTCCTTTTAGAGTTAAACGTTTACTATGAGTGATAATAAATTGTATTCTATTATCAGTGTAGCTAGTCATCTTTTAAAAGTTGTAAGAACACATGCTAGAATGATAGATGAAGATTGGCTCTGAGAAGCAGAGGATAATTACTACCCATTACCACAGTGAGAGAGGGGTTATTGGCAGGAAGAAGGTGGATTGGTGGAGAATGCATGTCTTTATACCAAAAACAAGTATTAAGAATAGCAAATTAAATAGGAATCCTTCTGAAAAGTATGCGTTCAGAAGTTTTTAAAGGCCATAACCACAGTTGCACAATATCTCCAAGGATTTTATGACTTTAGAAAAAGTTGCTATTCGATCTATCTGTTGCAGCTATCACAGAGTACTCATTTTCAGTCTAGATTGGAACTTCTACAGTACTGTTGACACCTAAGGATTTCTTCCTTGATTTGAAGTTTATCCTGTAAATACTAATTTCTTTTAATAATTATAACACATTTTAACAATTATTTAAAAAATTCTGTGAAAATGTTTAATTTATAAAATTACACATCTTAAAGCATTTTAAACTCCTTTTCTAAATATCACTTTCATGGATTTGAATTTCTTGCTTAAAAAATAACACTATCCAGAAGACTGAATACTATGATAAATCTAAAAAATTAATAAATACAATGATGCAAAGTTATTTTAATATCTGTATTAGTCAAGGACTGTATTAGTATGTATACAGCTATTAGTCTCTAGAGAAACAGAATTAATAGCATATATGTATATATAAAAGGGAGTTTATTAAGGATAACTGACTTACAGGGTCACAATGTAAAGTCCCACGATAGGCCATCTGCAAGTTGAGGAGCAAGGAAGCAAGTGGTAAATTAGTTCAAATCCCAACACTTCAAAAGTAGGAAAGCCAACAGTGCAGCCTTCCATCTGTGGTCAAAGGTTGGTGAGACCCTCGCAAACCACTCAAGAATCCAAAAGCTGAAGAACTTGGAGTATAATGTTTGAGGGCAGGAAACATCCAGCACAGGAAAAAGATGAAGGCTGGAAGACTCAGCAAGTCAGCTTATTCTAACCATACAGGCAGTTGATTAGGTGGTGACCACCCATGTGGAGGGTGGGTCTGCCTCTCCCAGTCCACTGATTCAAATGTTAATCTCCTTTGGCACCACCCTCACAGACACACCCAGGAACAATATTTTGCATCCTTTAATCCAATCAAGTTGACACTAATATTAACCATCACAATAGCTTAGTAGATTTTAATTTAAAACAATATAAATTATTTAATTAAAAATCAAGTTGGAGTTAGAAGATTGTAAATCACCTAGTCAAATTTATCTATGTATACAAAATATCAAAAAATGTAGTCTTTTGGCAAAAAATATATATATGATGTGTTTCATGCAGAACACATCTCTGGATTTAAATTTTATCAGCCACTATTTGTTTATCTTCAAATCACATTTATGCTAAATGAAAATTGATAATTTTGTTGAGTTTTGTACTTAAATATTAAAATATATTTTTTCTTCTAGTAAAATAAACTGAATGATGGAATCTTAAATGTAACTTTACCTTTTTTATGTGAACCTTAAACTTGATGGAATCTTGAATTTTCTTAGATACTATGGTTATCCAACTCTAACAGATATTTGAAATTGTACCCATGTGAGACTTGAGTTGTGATTTTCTTACTTCAAGTCACAACACATGGGTCATTAAACTAGCATTTACACTTAGGTGAAAAATGTATCTTTACCTTCTAATTTAACATTAAGTTAATTTTGGCATTCTACACTCAATCAAGTATGGGCAGGAATAACAAGATTTAAAAAGTCATAAATTCTATTCCATTTTCAAATAGAATATTCTTTGTATTTTTCTCTTTAATGAATCATCATGAATTCCTGTTTTTTCAATGTGCTTTTATCAACAACAATTATTCTTTTGCTGATGAAATAAATTTTGGCAATGTATACATACTTTTAGTTTGCTACATTTAAAAAATTAATTTTTAATTTTTATGGGTACTTAATAGGTATATATATTTATGGGTTACATGAAATATTTTGATTCAAGCATTCATTGAGTCATCACATCAGGGTAAATGGGGTGTCCATCACCTCATGCCTTTATCCTTTGTGTTACAACCAATCCAATTATATCCTTATTTTAAATTGTACATTTTAAATTATCATTTTAAAAGCCATTTTAACTGGGGTAGAAAAATGTCTCATTGTAGTTTTGATTTACACTTCTCTGGAGATTAGTGTTGTTGAACATCTATTTATATGTCTGTTTGCCATTTGTATGTCTTCTTTTGAGAAATATCTATTCAGATCTTTAGCGCATTTCTAAAACTGGATTATTGAATTTTTTCTATAGAAAAAATAAGTTTGAGCTCCTTACATATTCTGGTTACTAATCCCCTGTCAAATAGGTAGTTTGCAAATACTTTCTCCCATTCTGTGGATTTTCTCTTCACATTGTTGTTTGTTACCTTTGCTGTGCAGAAGCTATTTAACTTGGTGTGATTTTATTTGTCTTTTTGCTTGGGTTGCTTGTTCTTGTGGGGTATACTCAAGAAATCTTTTCCTAGTCCAGTGTCCTGGAGAATTTCCCCAATGTTTTCTTCTAGTCATTTCATAGTTTGAGGTTCTAGATTTAAGTCTTTAATATATTTTGATTTGATTTTGATATGCGGTGAGACATAGGGATCTAGTTTTTTGTTTCTGCATTTGAATATCAAGGTTTCCCAGTACTATTTATTGAAGAGACTCTCCCTTCCCCAATGTATCTTCTTGGCACCATTGTCAAAAATGAGTTCACTATGAATATATTAATTGATTTCTGGATTCTCTATTTTATTCCACTGATCAATTTGTCTTTTTTTATGCCAGTACCAGGTTGTTTTGGTTACTATATCTCTGTAGTATTATTTGAAGTCAGGTAATGTGATTCCTCCAAGTAATTTCTCTTTTTGCTTAGGATAGTGTTTAGTCTGTTCTCACACTGCTAATAAAGACATACCTGAGACTGAGTAATTTATGAGGAAAAGATGTTTAAAGGCCCCACAGTTCCACATGGCTGAAGAGGCCTCAAAATCGTGGCAGAAGATGAAGAAAGAGCAAAGGGACTTCTTACAGGTTGGCAGGCAAGAGGGCGTGTGCAGGGAAACTCCCTTTTATGAAACTGTCAGATCTTATGAGACTTATTCACTATCATGAGAAAGCATGGGAAAAGCCTGCCTTCATGATTCAATTACCTCCCATTGGGTCCCTCCCATGAAATGTGGGAATTATAGGAGCTACGATTCAAGATGAGATTTGGGTGGGGACACGATCAAACCATATTATTTCACCCATAACTCATATCAGATAGCTTTGGCTATTCTGAGTATGTTGTAACTCTATATAAATTTTAGAATTGTTTCTTCTATTTTTTGTGAAGAATCAGGATATTTTGATAGAGATTGCAGTAAATCTGTACATTACTTTGGATAATATGGACATTATAACAATATTGAATTTCCAATCCATGAACATAAAATACCTTTGCATTTTTTGTGTGTACTCTTCAATTTTATGCAAAAATATTTTATAATTTTCACTGTAGAGATCTTTCACTTCTTTAAGTCCTGAATATTTAATGTTATTTGTAGCTATCATAAGTGGGATTAGTTCTTGATTTCTTTTTCAGATTGTTTGCTGTTGGCATATAAAAAGCTACTGATTTTTGTGTGTTGATATTGTGGCCTGCAACTTTTTGAATTTGTTTATCAGTTCTAATAGTTTTTTTCCAGATATAAGATCGTATCATCTACAAAAAGGATAATATGACTTCTTTATTTCAAATGTAGTTGTTCTAGTTGTTCTTATTTCTTTCTCATTCGATTGCTCTAGCTAAGACTTGCAGTACTCTGTTGAATAACAGCGGTAACAATGAGCATATTTTTCATGTCCCTGATCTTAGAGAAAAGGCTTTTAATTTTTCCCCATTCAGTATGATATTAGCTGTGGGTCTATAAATAAAGTCATATATGGCTTTTATTACATTTAGGTATGTTTCTTCTATATCCATTTTTTGAGGGTTTTAATCATGAAAGGATGTTGAATTTCATCAAATGCTTTTTCAGCATCAATTGAAATTATCAAAAAGTTTTTTGTCCTTCATTCTGTTGATATATCACATTGATTGATTTGCAAATTTTGAACCATTTTTCTTCCCTGTGATACATTCTAGTTGGTCATGATGAATGAACTTTTTAACATGTTGTTGAATTCAGTTTGCTAGTATTTTGTTGAGGATTTTTGCATAAATATTTATCAGTAATATTGGCATGCAGTTTTCCTTCTTGATGTGTATTTTTTTGGTTTTGGTATCAGGGTAATCCTAACCTCTAGAATGAGTTTAGAAATATTCCCTCCTCCCCTGTTTTTTGAAATAGTTTGAGTAGGATTGGCACTAGTCTTTTTAAATGTTTGGTAGAATTCATTAGTAAAGCCACCAAGTCCTGGGCTTTTCTATGCTGGGAAACTTTATTACAACTTTTATCTCATTGCTTCTTATTGGTCTGTTCGCATTCTGAATTTCTTTATAGTTCAGTCTTGGTAGGTTGTATGTGTCTAGAAACGTATTCATTTTGTCTAGATTTTCTAATTTATTGGCATAGTTTATCATAGTAGCCACTAATGATTCTTTGAATCTCTGTTATCAGTTGTAATGTCTCCTTATTCATCTCAGATTTTATTTTTCTGGGTCTTCTGTCTTTTCTTCTTAGTCCTGGCTAATATTTTGTCAATTTTCTCTGTCTTTTCAAAATCAGCATTTATATTGTTGATCTTTTGTATATATTTTTTTCATTTCAATTTCATTTACTTTACCTCTGATCTTCATTGTTTCTTTTTTTCTACTAATTTTGGGTTTGCTTTGCTCTTGCTTTGTTGTTGTTGTTGTTGTTGTTGTTCTTTAAGATGCATCATTAGGTCGTTCATTTACAGTTTTTTTAATCATATAGGCACTTATATCTATAAAATATTATTTTAGTTCTTTTGCTGTATCCCATAGATATAGTATGTTGTGTTTTCATTATCATTTCCTTTATAAATTTTTAAAATTTTCTTCTTAATTTCTTTATTGGCCCACTGTTTATTCAGGAGCATGTTATTTAATTTCCATGTATTTATATATTTTCCAAAATTACTCCTGTTACTGACTTCTAGTTTCATTCCATTGTGAACAGAGAAGATGCTTGATATTAATTTAATTGTACTGAATATTTTTAGACTTGTTTTGTGGCCTAACATATGGTCTATCATTGAGAATGATCCATGTGCTGAGAAGAAGAATGTGTATTCCACAGCCATTGGATGACAAGTTCTGTAAATATCTAATAGGTCTATTTGTTTTATAGTGTAGATTTAGCCCAACGTTTTTTGTTGATTTTCTGTTGGGATGACCTATCCAATGAGGAAACTGAGGTGTTAAATTTTCCAGCTATTATTTTATTGAGGCCTATCTTTCTTTAACTCTAGACATATTTGACTTATATATCTGGGTGCTCACATGTTGGATGCATATGTATTTAAAATTGTTATATCCTTTTGCTAAATTGGTGAATCTCTCATTATATAATGACCTACTTTGTTTCTTCTTATAGTTTTTGCCTGGAAATTTATTTTGTCTGATATATATATGTACATATCAATAAGTGCCTTTCACCATGGTTATAAATATCCTAAACCCTCCCCAGCCATGCAGAACTGTGAGTCAATTACACATCTTTTCCTTATAAATTACTCAGTCTCAGGTATTTCTTCATAGCAATGTGAAAATGGACAAATACAGGTATTTATTGTAGTGTTTGTGGTATGGGCTTGTTTGTACTCATCCTTCTTTGGAAGGCTTTCCAGGTATTTAAAACAACTTGGGTGTAATGATCTAAGCCAAATCTGCATTAGAGGCCACCCCATGCCTAGTAATTCTGTGGTTCTTGCAGACTCATAGAAGTGCCCATTTGGTGATCTTGAATAAGATCTGGAAGAATTACCTGTATTATGAAACAGAGACTCTTGTTCTCTTCCCTAACTTTCTCCCAAACAAATGTAGTCTCATTTTCTGTGCTGAGCAGCCTGGAGCTGGGGGTACGGTGACACAGATATACTTGTAGCTTAGATCACTGGAACTACACTGGGGTCAGACCTAAAGCCAGCACAGCACAGGGTCTCACCCAAGGCCCATTGTAACCATTACCTGACTACTGCCTATGTTTGCTCAAGGCCCAAGGGCTCTACAACCGGCAGATGTTAAAGCCAGACAGACTTACGTCCTTCCCTTCAGGCTGGCAAATTCCCTAAGTGCCAGGTTGGTCCAGAGATGTCATTGAGGAACCAGGGACCCCAAAACATTAGAAATCTACCTGGTGTTCTATTGTATATCAGCTGATCTGAAATTCAAACCACTCTTTTCTCCCCTTTACGCAGTCAGAGGAGCCTCGCTCTGTGGCTACCACCACAACAGGCCCATGGGGAGTACTGATAGACTATCTCTGATGTTCTGTTAAGGTCCAGGGGCTCTTCATCAGTTTGTGGTGAATGCTGCCAGGCCTATGACTTCATCCTCTGGCCCAGGGCAGCTCTATAATAGCTGTTCAAGAGCCAAGGCCTGGAACTGGGGACCCCAAGAGCCACTTGGTGATCTACCCTGCAGTAAATGAGCTATTACCTAAAGTGCATACAAAGTCTCCTTTACTTTTCCCTCTGCATTTTTCAAGAAGAAGGAGTATCTCATTTTAACCACCACAGCTAAGAATGTGCTGGGTGTCACCTGAAGCCACCATGTCTCAGAGTCTCACTCAAGGCCCACAGCATACTACCTGGGTATTGCTGCTGCTTATTCAAGGCCCAAGGGCTCTTTAGTCAGCACGATGGGTCTTCCCATGTCTCTTTTTTTTTTTTTTTTTTCCTTTAAGGCAGCATGTTTAAATCTGGCCCAGGGTGTGTCTAGAAATGTCATCTGGGAGCTAGAGCAAGGAAAGGGGGCCTTAAGACTCTGAGTGGTTCCCTACCCTACTGTGGCTGAGCTGGTATCCTCTTTTTACTCTTTGCTCTTCCCCTTTCTCTCCTCAAGCAGAAGAAAGGGGCCTCTCTTGGAGCCATGAGCTATACTGCCTGGTTTTAGAGGATAGTGGCATAAGCATTCCTTTAGCTGCCCCAGCTGGTATTTTATGTGCTCCCCCAATCCACTGGCTCTTAGCCAAGCACAACACTAGTACTCACCTAGGAGTTGCAGTCTTTGTGGCCTAGGCTGCCTTTCAAGTTTATTTAGAGTCCCAGAGCACTTTATCCTTCTGTGGAAAGGCTTGGTAGAACTCAAATTCTGACCACTGCGATGGGCAATACCCTTCTGACTAGGGGTTGTCTAAATTGTCCCTCTGTGTGAAGTTATCAATTGAGTTTAGTTTGGTTTTGCTTTCTGCTGTGACAGGGCAGCACTGAGTTCAGTGCAGTCTCACAATCATTCCACTCTTCCCCTTTCAAGTACACAGATTCTCTCTTTATGCCATGCAGCTGCTGCTAGGGAAAGGGGTAGGGGTGGCATCAGTAATTCAAGACTGTCTTTTCTACCCTCTTCGGTTCTTTCAGTGATATAAAGTTAAAAGCAGGTACTATGAGTACTCACTTGATTTTTGGTTCTCATAATGGTGATTTTTTTTGTGTAGGTAGTTGTTAAATTTGATGTTCCTCTGGGGGGACGTTCAGTGGAGCCTTCTATTCAGCCATCTTGCTCCACCTTGCTGCTACATATTTTTTACATGCTCTCTTTAACCTATGAACTCTTCGTTTTTGGCACACAAGACTCCCCAGGATTATCTTGCACATTTTCTATTCCAGATGGGATTAGCTATTTATTCAAAAAACCTTACTTCTTTCTAGATAAATGGTAAAAAATTGTTGTGAGAATTAAATAGAAAAATAATTTAAAATTATCATACAACTTAATTATTCAATGGAAAACTTGAATGTGGTAGTCTCTTCTAAAGCTACTCCTTATTTTACTACATGGAAAAAAATGAATTATATATACTTCTTACTTCTCTGTTATTTGGTTAAATCCTGTGCATCTCTTTTTCCATATCTGCTAACAAAGTTGAATTCTACAGACCTGAATTTTGTTTCTAAAAGTTAACTACTAAAAGTCTAGCAAAGACCTTAAATCTGTAGCTTTTTATAATTGCCAATAGGGTGTAAAAGGAGCTAGATGAGCTCAATATTCCCTCTTATTTGAATATATATATATATATAGAAAGAGAGAGAGATAGAGAGAGGGAGAGAGCAGTATCCCAGTGTATTATTAACTAAGTCAGGTAATCTGATTTGATAAAGTGTGAAATTGAGAACTTTCATAAGAATATCAATTTTTTGTTGCAATAAGGGGAAATTGAATATTTCTGTTTCATATTAATATAAAAGTCTTTGAAAGCATAATTGAAACAAGGAGGTTTCATGAGACTACTAAGATTTTGAAATTCTTTTATTATCTTGATCAAAAAATGTATTAAGTAAACCTGTAATACTCAGTTGTGCCTAACCTGATAACACATTATTGTAGTAATAATATTGTAGTTGATATTTCTGTATCCCTAATTTGTGGAAATACTTGTAAAATCATCTATTAATGCATGAGACGATGGCATTTCCCTGTTATCTATGCTCATGGTAGAAAAATAAAAGCTTATGACTCTGCTAGAGTTATTATTTAACAAAATAATTAGGGCTTGCATTTTTGTTTAAATTTCACTTATTAGAATTACCTTTCTAAAACCTAGAGTCAGTATGCTTCTGCCCAATGCTCTTCTTATATTTGCTGAAGACTTGCTAACCTCTGTATAAACATCTTAGAAAGGCATTCCAAGCTCTTCTACAATCTGGTACCCATATATATTTTAGTTTATTTATTCCCACTGAAATTCTAGCTACCCAGCATCTTCCTCTTTCCCAAACTATGCATGTTAACATGCCAGAATTTTGCTGTATTTTAAACAATCATTTTGAAATGCCTTTGAGACACTACATCTATCATCTACCTTGCTCATATTTCCCCCCAAAAAAGAAACAGTCCAAGGAAAAATAGTTGAATGCTTCAATGCTACTCCTCAACTGTTACTCTAAACTTGTATTTATTGTTATGTATTTGGCTTCCTTTTCCACACACATGATCTTGTTCTGATTCCTTAGAAATAAAGTCATAAGCTTTCTTCATCTCTCTTATTTATGCCAGAAGTTCAGACTCAAAAACCATAAGATGTTCAAACTCAAAAAATGTATTCAAAATCTGATTGGAATGCAAAAAAATTCCGTTAAAAATTATTCAAAAAAATGCCAAATAAAATCCTTGAAATATTTAAAATTGAAGTCAACTGTATTTTTTATAAGTTCATTATTTCTTCAACAACCTACCAAAGATCTTAGGCAACCTTGAGAAAAGAAATATCCAGGGAAGCGGTTATTTTCCTCCTGTTTTGTTGCTATGTAGTGTATTTTATTTTATGTGGTAGGGCAAAAGTCACTTACGTTTGTGTTTTCTTTTATTATAATTCTTTTTAATCTCCAGAGGGCCTTAGACATCTCTCAAACTTTTCATTCAGTGCATGTTTTTAATAACAATCAGAAACTGTGACCCTTATCTGCCTGCTTTTTTTTCTTGTTTCTTTGTTTAAAAAATCTTCTTTGTTCTTCGAGTAAATTAAAACATCATCTCTTTCAAAATCTTACCCAATCCAATAAAACCTTTAGCCTACCTATTACTCCCTTCTGAGTACATCTGTATCCATTAAAATTAGTTTTTACTGCATATATCAAAACAAAACAAAAGGTAATCTTGAAATATATTTCATACTCATAAAAAAACAACACTGAGAGGCAGATTTTTCCTGGACTTAATGGCTCAATGGTCGTCAAGATGACATACTCCTCCATTTTAACATTTTGAATGACAGTTTAACATGGCTCCTTTTGCTGATTTTTTATTCTGTTTTGCATATTTTAATTGAATTAAGAGGGCTTAAAGAAATGTACAAAAAAGGAAAGAAGATGTTTACTGAGAAACAACATGAGCAGAGGTTGTGGTCTGAGAGGAAAACTTAAAGCTTGTTTAAATAGTAAAGAGAGGACTCCAGTGCTTGTAAAGTTCCAGAAGATGGGATAAGAGATAGAGAGAGAATCAGAGAATAAACTAGATTAGGAAAAGAGAATGAACAGATTGGCATGCCACATAAAAGGGTTTGGACTGGGACTTACATAATTATCCTGTTATGATTAAATACATTTTATTTAAAATATTTTTTACCAAAAATATGATGAAAAAATTAAAGCACTAAAAGATGTGCAGATTTACAGATTAAGAATTTAGTTGTGATAAGAGGTGATAGAGGCTTACATTAGGGCAGAGGCAGTGGAATTAAATAAGCTTAAATGAGAACTTGCATTTAAAGGCTTACTGCAGAAGTCATCTTGACTTCCCAACAAGCTATTGATGTTACTGCCACAGGAGAGTGTTATGCTGCTTCTTTAATGAGAAGACTACATATTTATATTTTTATTTATGAAAGGATAAATTGTCTTTGGCTGTTTTAGTTGTATTTTCAGTAGTCTTAGCAGTTACTGTGAAATAAAAGTTTCAAAGGCTAAAAATGCATGAAGATACAGGCTAAACAATTATAATAATGAGCTCCAACTTGACCTCTATCAAATAAAAAACATGTAACCACATGAATCAAAAAGGTTGAATTGAAATTGAGCAAATAAAATTGTTCAAAGGCATATAAGACCTTTAGATGTAAATATTTTATTTTTTATAAGTTACTAATTTTTATGCTCTTTTTGTTCATGTTCTCCTTTAAATACTTCCAATGTTTCTGTGGGGCATAAATAAGTGTAAATAGAAAACCGTATTTCATTCTCTTCTAATGTATTAAGCAAAGGAGACCCAGTCAATTCAGAAAGGTAGATAAATTTAATGAACTTAAACACTGTATAATTTGTGACTATACACATCTAAAATTATTGAAAGGGAGAGAATACAGTTATGCATCACTTACAACAGGAATACATTCTGAGAAATGCATCCTTAGGCAACATGCAAACATGAGTGTATTGACACAATCCTAGATAGCATAGTCTACTATACAGTTATACTATAAACCTGTTGCTCCTAAGCTACAAATCTCTACAACATGTTATTGTACTGGGTACTGTAGGCAAATGTAACACAATGGTAAGTATTCATATACCTGAAGAGAAAAGGTACAGCAAAAATATGGTAAAAAAAAAAAGATTTTAAAGAAGTGTACACCTGCATAGTGCACTTACCATAAATGAAATTTGCAGGACTGAAAGTACCTCTAGGTGAGACAATGAGCAAGTGATGAGTGAATATGAAGGTCTGCAACATTAGTGTACTCTACTGTAGACTTTATAACAACTTACACCTAGGCTTCACTAAATTTGTTAATAATATTTTCTTTCTTCAATAATATACTAAGCTAAGCTTATAGTAACTTTTTTACTTAATATTAACTTTTAATTTTTTTAATATGGCTCTTTTGTAATAACACTTAGGTTAAAACATGAACACATTGTTTAGCTGTACAAAAATATCTTCCTTATTTATATTCTTATCTATAAGCTGTTTTCTGTTTTAATTGATTTTGTTCTTTTCAAACATTTTTGTTAGCACATTGACTCTCATTAACCCAGGCTTACACAGGGTCAAGACCATCAATATCACAAACTTCCATCTCTATAGCTTGTCCCACTGGTAAGTCTTCAGGGGCATTAACATCATGGAGCTGTCATCCTTTATGATAACAATGCCTTCTGCTGTAATACCTCCTGAAGTACCTGCCTGACACTGTTTTACAGTTGACTTTTTTCATAAGTAGAAAGAGTACCATCTAAAATGATGACAAAATGTGTAGTAAATACATAAACCAGTAACATAATCTTTTGTTATTATCAACTACTGTATACTATATAATTGTATGTGCTATGCTTTTATATGACTGGCAGTGCAGTATATTTATTTACACCGGGATCACCACAAACACCTGAGGAATGCATTGCACTACCATGTTACGATGGCTATGACATTACTAGGTGATAGGGAATTTTCAGCTCCAGGACCACTGTCGTGTATGCATCCTGTTGTTGACTGAAATGTCAGGTGACATGTGACTGCATATATACTATGTTACAGATATATTTTTTCATGATTTCATAATAATAAGCCTCACAATTTTAATTTGAAAAGGGTTTCACAGCAAAGATTTTCACATACCTGTGTAAATATGGAATTTTTTTACATATGTAAAGCATTACACACAGCTAAACTAGGTATGTATTAAAACTCTAACATGCTCTGAATAAATTTCTTATGCCAATCAACATCATAATAATGAATTACCAAATCAGGTCAGCACCATTACAGTCTCAAATTTAGTAAAGACATTTATTAATTAAATATCAATATTTTGCTTGAGGTTAAACTCAAATATTCAGGTCTCACTTAATTACACTTGAAACATATATACACATGATAAATGTTTTATATATATCATATATAAATACAGATATTCATATCTATTGTGTGTATATATACACACACTATATATATAATATATATACACACACTATATACAGTATACTTTCAGACTAAAGTATATATATATACTTATATATAATTTTTAATATAAATTGAGTGAGAATAGCTAATAATGTAAGAGAGCTACACTTTCCAACTATATAAAAGAAAATTAAAATTTATCTAAAATGTATTAATCAAAAACAGCAGTATAAGAAAAGTATTATGATATGTTTAGGTAAATTTTTAAAAAGCTGAAAATGGTAACAATAGTTTGCCTTTGTATAAGAGGAACAATAGGTAATGGTTAGATGGGACAGGTGATTGCTATCTTTCATTGAAGTTATTTAACACTAGTATATCTTCAACTGTATACATTTATTACTTTGATACAATTTAAATTAATGTTATGTAAGGGGTTTTATAAGAAATGCAGGTTTAAATAAGAGTTTCTTTTGATCCAATAATTTCACATATATTGAGAACTAAATAACATAACAAACATTGAAACATTTTAGGAAGTAAACAAAAATAACTGAACCTGTATAAGAATTTTGAGAAGACAATTAAACATTATATAATAAAATATTAGATAAATCAGAAAATTAGAACAGATAAGTATTAAAGAAAGAAAAGAAACAATGGAGAGAAGAGGAAGAATAAAAATTGCATTAAAATTGAGGAGAGATATAAATTGTCACTAACATGAAATAAACACAGAAATATGATATAGAAGACATGTCTTACCATTGTGAATATGACAGAAAGATATTGGGGACAAGAGTTAAATATATTGTATAAATATAATAGGCCAGGCACGGTGACTCACGCCTGTAATCCCAGCACTTTGGGAGGCCGCAGGGACGGATCACGAGATCAAGAGATCGAGACCATTCTGGCTAACATGGTGAAAGCCCATCTCTAGTAAAATAAAATTAGCTACTAAAAATACAAAAAGTAGCTGGGTGTGGTACCGTGCATGCCCGTAGTCCCAGCTACTCCGGAGGCTGACGCATAAGAATGGCTTGAACTCGGGATGCCAAGGTTGCAGCGAGCCGAGATCACGCCACTGCACTCCAGCCTGGAGACAGAGTGAGACTCCGTCTTATAAAATAAAATAAGATAATAAAATAAAATAAAATAAATAAAAACATTGTATAAATATAATACTTTGTCAATATCTACTAAGAACTTCATAAATAGCACATCTTGAACAATGTACAGCTTTTCACAATTTTATAACTAGTAACATCTTGTAGTAAACACAAAACTTACTATTTTTAAAAACCTTGATTTAACAAGAAAATGAAGTAAAAAGAAAAACATAGTAAATATGTGACTAGATTCAAAACCCCTGCGAGAAATGACTCTTTTTTTCTTAGAACTCTGCATCAGTTTCTGAACAACCAAACTAAAATAGAAACTTCAGTCTCCTTGCAGAATGCTGACTAGATTAATTAAAGTAGGTAGAAGTGACTGCTGTAGTTGAATTATAATCTTTTTTAAGAGCAGTTATTGTGTTATTCTTTGTATTTTATTAACCCTTTTATGAGTTCTACTGCTAAGTCAATTCTAATCTCTGCATCAACTGGAAAAATTCCACTTTCCACTACCAGATCAATTATAGTCACACAGTCAATAGCTGGTACTTCAGTCTTTTTGACAAAAAGAACGTAAAAAAGAAAAGAAAAGAAACTCTCCTAAAACACCAAGCAGAAATAATATTACTTCTGTATTCTTTTTTAAAAAGGAAATCCAGTTAAGCACATAATTATCCACATTGGATATGAACTTCCATAATAAAAATTATTTATATGGAAAAATAATATTTTCAATTAATTATTATTAAACCTATTATTAAACCTATTTTAATAATTATTAAACCTATTTTAGTAATTATTAAACCTATTTTAATTGACTCCTAACAGACTATTTGACAGTTTACACTTAAGATTTCTTATATATTTATTACAAGAATCTCTTGTGCTAGTTTATACATCAGACTGAAACAATTTACAACATCTAGATTTCACATTGAGCCTGAGACATGCTGGCTGCTCTTCTATTTCATTATTTTTCCTGTCTCACCAATAATTTTCTTGTTTCAAGGTCATACCACTTTTTCTTTTCCTCTTGTTATAATATAAACTCTAGAATGAATTTCCATTATTCTCAATACTTTCAAAACTTAAGAGTTTTCATTTTTTAATTTTTTAATCCTAAATCACAGTAGCTATTATTTTTATATTTTTAAGTCACTAATAATGCATTTCTCTAAATATCTTTGATCTCCTAAAATATAATGACATTTGTTTACATAATTATAATTCAGAACACCCGAGGGACCAAATTTCCAGCATGTCCAGTTTTTAAATTACCTTTTGTGACACTAAATACTTCTGTATTTCCCTCTTCCTATTTTTCTTGAGAATTTATTATTAAGAATTGTGTTCAGTCTCATAGTGATTTTCAATCCATCACCACTTTCCTAAGTATCTTGATTCATGGATTGTTCAGAAACTAGTGGAGTTTCTCCCTTGAACCACATTATTTTGATTAGTCTCTAAGAGCATATTTTCAGTTTTGGCATGATAAACATGGTACATGCCTGTATAAATGATTAAAAATACATCTCAACATCAGTTGTATCCCCCTTGTGTCCCATGTCAGTTAGAATGTAGTGAAAATATTTAGACAAAACAGAATGCAGAAAACATTTCTGCAGCGTTGAAGAAATTCCTAGACGTTGTTTTATACCACCACCAAATATTGTGTAGCTTCTCTGGATTGCTGAGATTTAGCAGGACATAGAATTAGTGAAATCCTATAAATTATCATGGTTTAGGTTTTCATTAGAATGCTGTAGGGAAATCTCTCATAGTTTAGAGTTGTTGGTGAGATTAGAAAATGTAGCACTAAAAGTCTTCCTCTAATATTTGCTTGGCACAGCTTACCTATCAGTAGGTGTATTGTAGGTGGTCAATGAGGACATGGAGCCTTGAACAGGACCTAATAGGTTTTCTTTTTGCCATTTTGCCAAAAGATATCATATAATCTTTCATTTAGTAAAAATATAAAATTCTAATTATTTTAAGTTTATGAATAAGCTTGCACAAAAGAAATCCTCATGATAGTGTGGTAAGCAGAATAATTGTCCCAAAGATGTTCATGCCATAATCCCTAAAACCTGTACATATATTACTTTACACTACTTTACACAGCAAAGGGGACTTTGTAGATGTGACTAAGATTATGGAACTTGAAATGTGGACATTATGCTGGATTATCCAGGTGAGCCAAATTGATCACACAATTTCATTCACTCACTATTTCACACTCTTCTGTGTATTACATAGACCCTTCAAGGATGGGCTCACTAGGAAATGACAAGGAACAACTCTTAAATTACTTGTGAAATCATGCTGCTTCCATCCTTCGAGGCTTGCTGCTGAGTGTGGCCTAAACTCTTTATTACAGTAAGTTTCTTTCAGAAGTTCTAGTGTCATACCTTCAATCCTGGCCTACAGCTCAGATTCCTCATCCATCTAACCTGTCTGCACACACCTTGAAAACAACTTTGGGTTGAATTAAATTAGGAATTGTTTCACCCATGAAAATCAACAATGTGGCTATTTCAAAGTCCCAAAACTGTTCTTCACAGTTAAGGATTTTTCTGAAACCTCTTTTGCCATAAGGCTGGTTTATGTTGAAAAGATATTATCATTTCCCATCTAACTAAAACACTGTATTAAACAGTGATTATTTGTCTGTGACAGAATATGCAGATTTTATATAGAAACTTGATTCTGCTCTTCTTAATTCTTTAGTGCTCTTCTCTTGTATTTATTATATTTTAGGCTTTCTACAGACAATTTGTTACCTTTCACACCTGCTTTGTGTAAAAGTGAAAACATTGACAATATGTTTTTATTCTGTTTTCTTTAGTTTTATTTTAATTTGAAGATTTGTCAAAGTGTCATCTACCTGAATAATATTGATCCCTCAGAATTGCTGTAGAGGTGGCAATATCACTTTGAATACTGTCTTTGAGTAATGTTTAAACTCAATACAAAACATTTTATTTGTTGGGGCTTTAACTGTTTATAAAGCACTTTGGTATACCTTATGTACTGCAATTTTTGCAAGAAGCCCTCTGAAGCAGACGGAATAGAGTAAGTGGTTTTGCACAAGTTCAGTCATATGAATGGTAGCAGTCAAAAATAGAATCCATAACATTTATAATATATAAAACCTTTGGGTCATTCTCTGTGTTCTTTCTGCTTACATAGAGCCCATCATCAAATCCTGTTATTCTTAAAAAAATCTTTTAATCTATTCTTCCTTTTTGCTTATATTACCAACCCTGTATCTAACATAATTATCAACTTGTAACTAGAGTAGAATGGAGTAATAATCAGCTATTTTATCCCTTTCTGCCCTACCGTCAATTCTGTGAACTACAGCCAAATTAATCTGCCTGTGATACCATAATTATCTTATGACTTCCTTATTCATATGTTTCAAGGGTTCATTGTTGCCTAAAGGATGAATTCTGCATATCTTAACCTAACTTCCACCTACTTAGAAGTCTTAGTAACACTAATTGTTTCATCCTGAAGGATCAGGGAGGTGTACTATAAAAGACTGCCAACCTCAGAATCAGAGAGACTCCAGTAAAATCCCCCTTCTGCCTATTCCTACTATGTGACATTGGCATGCTTCTATCCTCTGTTAACTGAACTGTAAAATGAGGACAATTGTATTTAAGCCATAGTATTATTTCAATTTTGTTAATGTACACAAATATGCTGCATATCATGAGTAAGTGGTTGTAATCATTACTTATTATCAAAGGTTATTTTCTGCTATTACTTAGCACCAAATTGTTTTTATCTTAACACAATTCAAGAATCTTATGAAAATATTTTTTCTTGCCACATATATTACTTTCATTTGCCTACTTGCGTGATGTTATGCCCAATCAAAATCTCAGAACAAGAAGAGGTAAAGAAAGGTGTAACATTAAAAAGAGTAAGGTAAAATAGCTTTGAGAACTCAATAATTTAACAAGCTTTATCTTAATAAATAAATAAACAAAATAATGAAACCAACAGTATATTTTTATGAATTTGAAGTTTATTAGCAACAAAAGTAAATGAGTAAATAAGTAGACTCTCTATGTTGATAGAGATTATTTATAATAGTGCCAACAAATATGCTCAAAGTGGATGCATAGAAGGACAGGAAGAGTAAATGAAGAGATAGCTAGCTCTGCATGTTGTCAAATATGATGAGTTTTGGTTGTAAATTCAATCAACCAAGAAAAATTATTAATCTTTGTATAATAAATTTAAAAGTTATCAGTGAATGACAAATTGACTCTCAGTATATTCAAATATTAGTTTGCTATGTAAACCTATCATTTTATTTAGTTCCTTAGAAAGGTAATGATATATTTCTTCTAGCCTCCATTAAACTTTTATAAGATCAATGATGCCAGATAATGTACATTTTCATTGGTTTACCAATTACTTATTTTTATATTCCATCAGTAAGCATATTTTTGCATTTACTAGCAATAAGTCTAAATATTTCAGTAACTCACGGTGCAGTAAATGCAATTAGTTTAAAATGTATTTTTGCTGCAGATGAGCAAATTAGAAATTAAGCTATTAGTGAATCAATCAAAGAATATTGCAAGGGTAACAGAAATGGATAATAATAATAGCACCATGATAGTGAATGAAGAAAGAGGGTTTGTTAAAGCAAGTGTCTGATGTTTTAACAACTGAAGATGGGGAACACTAGATTACAGGTCTGTTCTCTGATAATGACTCACGTAGTAGATGGCATTTTACAGCAATGGGATAGCATAGCAGTACATTCACAACAAGGAGAAAAAGGGTAGATTTTCATTATGTTAGGAAGTGGTTACATGAGATAATGTGGTGAGCATGGCTCTCTTGACTCTATTAATCCCAGTGTTGAACTAAAATGTTAGTAATTTTGCCATCATACTTATAAAGCTTAAGCACTATTAGAGAACTCCGATTTTCTTTTCTGTGAAATAGAGACAAAGATTTCACAGGGTCATGCTGAATAACATATAAAAAATATGTAAAATAATCAATTCAATGTAAAATTGTTGATTGATTGGCCCAAGACTGCTGCATTCACACCCTTCCCCATCTCAGTAATAACAACGTTATCCTTTTAGTTGTTCATGCCAAAAAACTTAGACTCATCTTTGGCTCCTCTCTTTTGTTCACAAGTCTACATCCAATCTATTATGAAATCCTCATGACTTCACCTTCAAAAATATATACGGAATCTTTTTTAGGTTTTTACCACTGCCATGACCCCAGTCTTTTCATGTATCTATCGGTTGGTTCACTACAATAACCTCCATCTATCTGAATGTGTCTACCTTTGCCCTCCCAATGACTTTCAACTCAGCATGATGTGCTAAATGATGTGCTAAAATATATTCCGTGATACCACTCTGGACAAAACCCCGCAATAGGCAGCCCTTTTCATCAGAACAAATGAAAAATTCCATACAGTGACTAGTGATCATATCTTTCATTACCCCAGCTTTGCTCACTCTTGCTCCAGCCCTCTGGTCTCCTCAGTCTCAAAGACAGGCCAACATGCTGCCAACGTAAGACTGTGATGACTTCAGTACTTTTCTCAACCTGGAACACTCTTTTCTCCAGATATCCATGTGATAAACTTCTTCACATCCTTCAATCCTTTTTTCAAATCTCTACTTTCAATCTTGTTACTCTTCCCTTGTTCCTTCACTCCTGCCTGCCTTCAGCTCCTGAACTCTCTATTCTTTAAACCTGCTATAATGTTTCTTTGATTTTCCATACTAGACATTTCACTGTCTCCTTGCTAGAGTGTAAGCTCCACGAGGGCGGGAGACTTCTTCAGTTTTGTCCACTGAAATACTCCAAGCCCCTGAAACAGTGCCTGTAATATTATAAGTCCTCTCTATGTATTTGAGAAATATTATATGAAGGACTGTTCTGTAAACTTATTGACTATGTTAACAAAATTCGATAATGGTATTTGTGCAAGCACCTCTATATAGGTGACAATTAATACTCTCCCTTCTCTTCTCTATTTATAGCAATTGAATGTCCTATCTATCTCATAAACTATTAGTTTCATTCATTCACAGGAAATGCCCACAGTAAAGAATTAGAGACCCTATGTCTTTTTAGAGAGGCCTAATAATTATTGTTTAGAATTCTAAATCATATTAATGAAAGAATTAAAATAAAATAAAAAGGTATACTATATTCTATGTTATATTAAAATGATTTTGAACCGTAAATTTTTTTTTATTAGTGAGTTAGTAATAGTTCACTGAGATGAAGAACTAGTGCCTTTTCCTAGTTTGAAACAGATTCAATGAGACTTGTACTTGTACTATGAATCCAGAAGACCGTACTTTGGAGTTGTTTACAGATTCTTTCCCTAATAATATTGCTATTATTACCAGGATTTACTGCAACTGTTTTATTTTATATGCTTTTAAATTTCTGAATATATTTATTTTTGTAATAACACAGCTTAAAACATATTATACAGCTATACAAAAACATTTTACCTATATGCAAATTATATATGCTTTTATCTATTTTAAATTAATTTTTTTACCTAAAATTTTTGTGTGAAAAACTGAGAAGCAAATACACAGAAGGTTGACACAGAGTCAGGACCATCCAAATCACAGTGTTCCTTTTGCACATCTTGTCCCACTGGACGGTTTTCAGGGGCAATAACACAGATGGAACTGTTGTCTCCTATGATAACAGTGCCAGAAGCTCATAGTCAGTTCCAGTGGTCTTCTGGAAAGCACCCACAATTTTGTTGTAGGCAGTCAAAATCATCAGCAGTTTCCTGTGATTCTTGCTTTGTGATTTCCTGCACACTGGCAGCAGATTCTCCAACTTACGTCTCATAAGCTTCCTCTATTAAGTTATATTATATTATATTATATTATATATATTATATATATTTCAAATATATAATATAATAAATATATTATATGTAATATATATATTCCAATTATATATTATATTATATTATATATATTCCAATTATATATATTATATATATATTCCAAAGGTAACAGCTAATAACATTACATAAACAATTTTCTGAAAATAATTGTGACATAATTTTGTTTAGTTATTTGATTTTTATTTTCCTTACACAATGTATAAGAATAAGTGGATTTTTAAGGTAATTCAGTAAGGTTGAGTTTGTGATACTGAAAAATTAATTGTTTTACTCTCACCACTTTATGGCCTCTCATATTTCCTAAAGGTAAGCAAAAATATAAAGTTAGTTTTAAAAAACCTATGGATTAAAAATATATTATTTTCTTTATTGGATTCATTATAATTATTTTTACTTACTTAAACTTTACATGTTAATTTTCAGGAAGAAAAATTAAACAAATTAAGAAATCTTGACACACACAAAACAAAAATAATCGATCTTTCCTCTTCACTCTACTTTATCATCCTGAGAAACGGGGTCTTCACATAAATATATTATAAAATGAGGTGATAGTTTAAATATTGGCAAAAAATTATCTTGCTAGAACTACTTATTTATAAATGGTTTACATTTAAACCTAATCCAAACAATTTATTCTCATATGAAAAAAATCACAGCAAATGATTTCTCACTTTAGGCGGTCAGTCCACTACAATAGGTAGTCTCCAGCATATCGTCTTCTGTTTTTAATATCTAAGAAATAATGTCTTAGATTCAAAAATAATTTCAAAGTATTTCAACTACCAACTCTTTATCCCCTCATCTCCATTCTTACAAGGAGTCTTATCTGCCCCAGAAATGAAGAACATTTTTTAAGAATAAAAATATTAATCAAGATAAAATACTTCAGGGGAACATTTTGTCTTGTCAGTGTCAAATCAACTCAACCACCATAGCAGGACCACTTGTTAGTGTTGAATTATTTTTCTTGCTATTATTAATCACTTTGGCATTTTTTAGATGTGTTTGCATACTAACATGCTTAATTTAATTCAAATAACATCTTAGATTCCATAGCTCATATCTGATTGAAAGGCTCTTTTCTCTGGTTGTCAGTATTGATGATGCCATTAACTTTATAATGCAAATACATATTTCAATTTACTTGTATTATTTTCTAATTTTATATCAGAGTTAAGATTAATATTCAAGATAGAATTATGATTTACTTCCACATTTGTATCTGTCTAGTAGTTCTCCCTAAGTTATTGTTTATTTTGAAAATTATAAGTCAAAAATAACAATCAGAAAAACTAGTTGCTTCTGAAACAAACCCAAAGAGAAGTGAAGAAATTTCATCCTATATTATTAAATGTTCTGGCAGAGATTTCAAAAACATTTTTTGTTTGTACAATTACAGTTTATTTTCATATTGCTGGCTCTCAGTTACTATTGTTAAATATAGGAATCTAATATATAAATAAACCAAAGAAGTTTAATCTCTAAATGTCATTCATGTTTTACGTTGAAATCATTATGTGACATAATATGGCATACTCGCCTTCCTAATCTTATTTGTATAGACTAATATGACCAGTTTATTTAGTGCAGCCAGAATGCAGTAGTCCTTCCTTACCTATTGGTGATAAATTCCAAGTGGATGCTTGAAACTTTTAGTACAGAAAGAACTATATATACTATGTTTTCTTTGTATACATACATACTTGTGATAAAGTTTAATTTATAAATTAGGCACAGTAAAGATTAACAATAACTAATAATTAAATAGACCATTTATAAAAATATGCCAGCATCACTACTCTTATGCTTTGGGGCCATTATTAAGTAAAATAAGGGTTATTTGAATACAAGCTCAACAATACCAGGTCAGTCAATCTGATAACCAAGAGGGGTATTTAGTTACTAACAGGCAAGTAGTGTATACAGCACGTGGATATGTGAAGCAAAGGCATGATTCACGTTCCAGGCAGAATGGAGCAGAGTGGCACAAGATTTCATTACACTACTCAGAGTGGTGCAATTTGAAACATGAAGTGTTTATTTCTAGAATTTTTTATTTAATATTTTCAGACAGCCGTGTACCTTGGATAACTGAAATTGTGGAAAGGAACTTGAAACCACAGATAAAGGGGGACAAACTAATTTGAGTCTCTTTAATATCAATTGTTTCAAAGGTAAGAAAAGACTTAGTTTAGGTTGCACTTTTATAAAATTACGTATTTCCAAATATGCCATCCTCCCCAAAATTAAGAGTGTAATTTTGCTGCTTTCTGGGGAATACATACAGATTTAGGGGACCAATACAACATCACAGGATATGGCATAAAGGTAAGGTGAACAGGGAAATGTTTTCTCCCCTTGTATAGATTATTCAAATATTTTGTGTAATTATACATACATATCTGTTCTCATGTTTGAATGCAGAGACTGGGGTTGATATATGGATTAGACTACAAATACAGGAAAATAGAAATATGTTTCATATGGTTTAATACTTAAATTTACTTCATTTCCACATCAACTATCTTCATTACCACATCGACATGTTATCATTTTAAAAAGATTTATTGGCACTTTTTAAAAGACAGGTGACCACTTGACATAATGAAACACAAGCACTTTGTGAATTAGGGCTCTTGACAGTGACTGATTGGTATGCCCTTATCACAAGACTACGCATGTGCTTTGCCTAGACATCAAAACTAATTAGAGTAGTCTATTTTCTCATGGAGACAATAGGACTTTAAGAATTACTTATTTTCTTATTTTACTTTTTTGAGGGGAGTAGGAGATTTAGGGAGGAAAATCTTACTATGCATTTGTAATACATTTTTTTCTCATTCATTCACTCATTAGAACAGATTACTAGGGGAATATCACTTAACTCTTAGGTGGAATGTTAGATGAGACAATACCACTAGCCAATTTCTAAAAGCAAAACAAACTTTTTACAACAGTAATAATGGTAATAATAATTACTAGCATACCTGAATGCCTACTGGAAATCTTATTCTACTAAGCAATTGCCTGCATTATCTCTTTTTACTGTCTCAGAAATTCTGCCAGCTAAATGCTATAATTTCCAGTTTACAGATAAACTAATAGATCAATGGAGAAAAAGTAGAGGTACTATTTGTAAAATGTCCAACTTCAGAAGCTAAAACTTTGCAATAAAGTAGTTTCTTGAGAGCTTATTTATTATGACAGTGATATCTTTTTTAAGATATAATTTTAAATATAATTATTATAATTTATAACTTTTTTAAATTATTGTTTTAATTATTGTTTTATTATTGTTTATTATTGTTTATTTTTATTTTTTGTTATCCCTAAAAGAGTAGAAGTCAGGTACTACCAAGGGAAAAAAAGATATATTTGATCAGTTGTAAGACCATTCTAACAAATGTATACCAAAGGAAAATTTTAAAAGGCAGGCTTTGTGAAGAAAAAGATTTCTAAATTACAAAGGTCCTACTTGACCAAGGCAGTTTTAATGTTGTTCTCAGCTTGAATAAACTTTAGATAAGTTTCTTCCTGACTATAGGACCCTGATGTCTCTTTTCTTAGAGTATTTACTTTATAAAACTTACAATAGGACATTCTTCTTCTGACCTTTAAGATGTAAATCTTCTACAACACAGGAATATCTTTCTCAAAGACATGGAAGTCATCACTTTGAAATCTAATAATCAAGAAAGAGGGATCCTCTGTTTCCCAGCCTCTGTGGAAAGTCAGGAATATAACTTTTACAAGTGACAATCAGCAAACAGAGACGGCCTAAATGGCCTAATCATATTGACCAACCTCCTCAAAACATGCTTCAGGAATTTTTCATTAGTTCATCCCAGCATTGAAGTTTTGTTTCAGCAAAGTTGAATTCAATCTTTCTCCCCTATTGCAATAGTCTTGAAGAAAGTTTTCCTTGCTGTTCTTAACAAATGTCCCAGTACATTTTTTTTTCTTACATACCAGTTACATTTTTTTTTCTTACATACCAACAGTCAGGTCATGAAGGCTATAATTTAATTATTATTTTTTCTTCCATGTAGGAAGATGCTACTTCCAAAACTGAGCTGTAGACATTTTATCTCCAGTAAGAAATAAGATATGATGGAGAAAAGTGCACTCCAGAAGGTATGCACCTGTATAGTGAGTGCTCTGCTTCAGCCCTACGGAAGGTTGAGAAAGAGCAAGTGGGAGCCAGAGGGGGGTCTGCCATGGCTTCACTCCCCCAGGCCCAGATCTCAGTGGAGTGGTGAGAAATACTCCGGAGAAAAATCTCAGTTCTAAGAGGCTTTTGAATCATGTATCGATCAGGGTTCTCCAGAGAAATAGAACAAATAGTTTATAAAAATAGATATCTGGAGGGACAGAGAGAGATTTATTATGGGAATATACACAAACACACACACACATATAAGTGTATGTATATATATATATACACACACACATACACACACATATATACTCATGTATACATATACATGTATGCATATATACATGTGTATATACATATCTACACACACATGTGTATATATATGCACCTGTATGTGTGTATGTATATTCATCTACATGTGTGTATATATGTGTGTGTGTGTGTGTATATATATATATATTCCTCTCTCTTTATCACATGAATTGGCTCACATGATTATGGAGGCTGAGAAGTTTCACCATTTGCCTTCTGCAAGCTAGAGAACCAGGAAAGCCAGTGTTGTAAGATCGAAGTCCAAAAGCCTGAGAACAATTGGGGCCAATGTTGTGAGTCCAGAGTCTGAAGATCCATGAACCAGGAGCTCCAATGTTCATGGAAGCAGAAGATAAATGTCCCAGCTCAAGAAAAGAGAGAGAGAGAATTTGCCCTGTCCCTGCCTTTTTGTCCTATTCATACCCTCGGTGGATTGGATAATGTCTGCCTACCTTGGTGACAGTAGAATTTATTAGTCAGCCTACTGATTCAGTGCTAATCTCTTCAAGAAACACCCTCACAGACACATGCAGAAACAAAGTTTTATCAACCATCTATCCATCCTTAGCTCAGTTAAGGTTATATATCAAATTAGCAATCACAAACCATTTCCAGCTTCAGTCTCTGACTCACTAAGGAGCTATGTGCCACTTGAGAAGTCACATCAGGAGACTGGTGTCATGGTGTGGTCTGGCCAAAGGTGTACATCCCTTCAAGATCATCCTTGGCCCCTAAGCAGCATGAAAGGTCTACAGAATTCAATAAGTACTTTGTAGAGGGAGACAAAACAAAGCTAGTTAATTCCAGCTGGTGGATTTTAAAGCTCACCATGGTGTGTGTAAAGGGCTCGGGTGTTTCAAAATTTCAGCCAGAAAGGAATTAACACCATCATAAATCAGATGAAACTAGGCCATTTGGAAAGCCTGCTAGATTCTGCACAAGCCTTAAGAAGGCAGCACTCAAATGCACCAGCAATCAAATGCGCCACCTGTAGACATCTTTAGCTGATGCTTTCAGCAAGGCATGCTGAAACCCAAAAGACAGGCGACCTGCACAGAGGCTCAAGAAGAGACAGAGAACTTCAATCCTGTGAGCCTGAAGACTCAAGGCCAGTGAGGGAAAGAGAAAGGCAATCTCTGAGACTTCAGTTTTACTTAAAACAATCTGTTTTAAATGGAAATGGGACTGAGATGGCATTCATAGGAAGTTAACTGTTTTGGAATATAAGCTCATGAAGATGATTATTAGATCAGTTATAAAAAATAAAATGAAGTCAACGTTTTATTTGCATACAGTGAATATATTTGCCATCCATTCTGTATTCCTTGAACTCTGCCCCAAACTAGCTATATTAATATAGGTAATTTCCCCAAACTCTTTATTAAGCACTCAATTTTATTACAGTGATACCGTTAAGCACATACAGTGCTAGTAAGCACTTATAATGTCATAATCACAAAACATGCTCAATAAAAAAAAATCCCCATCATTTTTTGTGCACTAGGTATGGTGTGAGAGATTCTATGTAGAAACCACAAAATGAAAACCTTTGTTCTCATATAGTTTACAGCAGGGATGAACAAACTGAATCCCCCAAGTCGAATATAGTCCACCACCTATTTCATAAATGAAGTTTTATTGGAGCACAGCTGCACCCATCTGTTTACCTATTGTCTATGGCTAAAAGAACTGTGTTCATAGAGATGTTACTGGCAAAGGCAACTTGGCACAGTTGAAGGACTGAAAGATTAGCAGAGGATCAGTGCAGAGAAGTCTAGACAAGGCTGGCGAGGTAAAATGAAAACCAGATTACCCAAGGCCTTATCAACTTTGTAAGAGTTTGAGGCTTTATTCTAAAAGCATTAGGTATCCACCAAAGGTATATAAGTTTAGAGTGTAGGAATGAAGAACGGAGAAGGGCTCGACTGTGACATAATATAATTTGCATGTTAAAGAAAATAAAAATGGGCCAAAGACTTTAACAAATACCTCGCCAAAGAAAATATGCATATGGCAAATGAGCATATGAAGACACTTTACATTACATGTCATTGGGGAAATGCAAATTAAAGCAATGAGATATCACTGCTGACTTATTAAAATGGCCAAAATTCAGAACACCAAATGCTGATGAGGATATGGAGCAATAGGAATCCTCATTCATTGCTGGGGGAAGTCAAAATGGTACATTCACTTTGCAAGACAGTTTGGCAGTCACTTACAAAACTAAACATATTCTTATCATATGATCCAGCAATCATGCTCAATATTTATCCAAAGGAGTTGAAAATTTATGTCCACACATAAATCTGCACACAGATATTTATAGCACCTTTATTCATAATTAGAAAAACTCAAAAGCAACCAAGATATCCTTCAGTGGGTGAATGGGTAAATAAACTTGGTACATCCAGAGAATGGAATATTAGTCAGTGTTAAAAATAAATGAGTTCTACCAAGCCATGAAGTGACATGGAGGAAATGTAAATGAAATCTTACTAAGTAAAATAAGGGAATCTTAAGGCTACATAGTGTAAGATAACAACTATACGAAATTCCTAAAAAGGCAAAGCTATGAAGACAGTAAAAAGATCAGTGGTTGCCAGGTACTAGGAGGCAGGAAGAGAAGGATGAATAGTCACAGCAGAGAAGAATATTAGAGCAATGAAACTACTCTGTATGATACTACAATGGTGAATGTGGGTCTTTATAAATTTGTCCAAATTGTAGAATGTATGACACTAATATTAACTCACATGTAAACTATGGACTTTGGGTGAGAATGTGCGTCAAGATAGTTTCATCAGTTGTAGCTGATGTACCATTCTGGTGGAGGGTGTTAATAATGGGGGAGATTATAAATATATAGGGGCAGAAGTGTATGAGAAATCTCTGTACCTTCTCAATTTTGCTGTGAACCTAAAATTGCCCTAAGAATAGAAGGCCTTTAAAAATTTAATTTGGAAATAAAATTATAATCCATTTTTTGAAAAATAAAAATTGAATTAAAATAACAGATGGTAAAAGGAAATGGGGCCCAGAGTGGTTAAATGAAATAGCAGACTGTTAGATTAATCAGATGAGAGAAGACAGTACATTGAAATACAAAAGAATTACAAATATATAGTAGATATTTAGGAGTTAGCATTGTCAGAAATAGATGATGGGATTGTAAAAGAGATTACAAAAAACAAGGTAAAAAATTATTTCCAATAGGGTTCTTTTGTTTTTTTTGTTTGTTTGTTTTTGAGATGGAGTCTCACTCTGTCACCCAGGCTGGAGTGCAGTGGTGGGATCTGGGCTCACTGCAACCTCCACCTCTCGGGTTCAAGCAATTCTCTTGCCTCAGCCTCCCGAATAGCTGGGATTACAGGCGCATGCCACCATACCCTGCTAATTTTATGTATTTTTAGTAGAGACAAGGTTTCACTGTGTTAGCCAGGATGGTCTCAATCTCCTGACCTTGTGATCTGCCTGCCTCAGCCTCCCAAAGTGCTGGGATTACAGGCGTGAGCCACTGCCCCCAGCCCCAGTAGAGCTTCTAAATCTAGAACATATTTATTTAGTGTTCCCCGCCTCGCTGCATGTTTTATATAAATGTGGGCGAATTATTAGTGTTAGTCAATATTCTCAAAACATTACAAATAAATAAAGAAAAAACAATTTCTAGAAAGGTAGCCAAATACCTGACATAGAGACAAATCCAGGTTAAAATTCGATTTTCTTAAATTTTTAAATGTATAGGTACAATTTTAAAAGGTAGAATTATGGTCCCAACTTATCCCATGAACATTTTAAACAAAATTTTACAATAAATCTGAAAGTGACTTTACAAAATATTACTATCATCATCATGACAATTGTCCCTTTTTCCACAGATATGTGTATTGATTTCTTCAATATTCAGAAGAATGGGTTACTATAAAAAGTAGAGTGAAATAGATTATGAAAACATTTTATTTTTGATGAATGATGTGATCATTTGAACTAGAGAGAAAAGAGTAGGGACATAGCATAGCAATGTACATTATTGTGCAAATTATAAAATAATGAAAAGTTAAATGTGATTATATACTTTAAACATGAAGGTCGTCACTTCTGTGTGCTTTCTTCCACTGTTCAATCATAATTACTCTTTTATGATTTCCAAAAAAGGATCCAAGTATAAATGATTGTGATTATTATTTTAAAACTTTATAATTTATAGTAGAGGATGAGTAAATATCTTCAATAGTCATTTAGTGATTAGTGATTCTTTTGATGGTTTCACAAATGACTCACGTATGCAAACCAATAGAGTGGCTTGTCCTTGCCAGAGTTCTCTGAGAAAACTGTGTTTATAACTATACATAACACAGTGAATTTTAAAAGTTAATAAAATCAATACCTAAAACATTTATGCAACGTACTTTCACTAATATCCATCCCTACTTCCTACTTCCCAAGACTAGACTTTATCCTGCAAAATCTTCCGAGACGTTTCACATGTAAAATCAGTTTCAATAGCTCTAACACATATTCATAATTCTCCATCCCTACATACTTTATCCCTATTCATGAAGATGCATGGCTCCCAGTAATTAGGCCTTAAAATCACTGATTCTCTTAGATGCTTCTCTACTCTTTAATATTTTATCAATCCCTAAGTTCTCTTAAATTTTTACATCATTTCTCCATTTTTTCTTTTTCTCCCTGAAGGTAGCATGTTAAATGAAACAGGTCTAGGTTCAAATTACTGAGTGAACACCTAGTATATAAATTAGCCACAAAGTACAAAAATTAAACCTGGTTACTTCTTTCAGGGAATTCCTGGTCTGGATTTGAAGATGTAGGGTTTGTAATTTGAGAGATCATTATGCCAGGAAATTTATGAGTAGTTAGGTCTTTTCAAAATGGTTTTGTTTCTTGTAGGAAAAACACAAAACCGTTTTCACCTAGAAGAATTGGGAAAAATAGAGAGTGGGGGAAGAAGAAGAAAATAGATACTATTTGTGTGCCGTGCTTAGGAGAACATAGAACAATAAACAATGGGAGGAAACAGACGCTAGAGGTGAGGGAGAGGACAGGGACACAAAAAAGTAAACAGAATGTAAAGACTCAGAATTGCCCACTGGAAATTGAACGCTTCCTGGAGTAAATTAAAAAAACAAAAAACAAAAAACTGGAGACAATAGTTATTTCAACAAGAAAATTAAGCAGACAATTATAGAAGATTCCAATTAAATATAAGATAAAAAACAAGAGAATGCAAGATATCCAGTTATATCTCTTTAATGAACTCTTCTCAGTTCTCTGTGTAAAGACGGAATATAGGTTGAATGAAAATTAGGAAGACTAAGATACTTGAGATTTCAGAAGGATAGTAATTATGAGATATGAATAATATCTAATTCAAAATATGAGTCAATGTTTGTTTTAATCTTAACCAAATAATATATGCATTAAAATATGTTTCTTATTTTTAGTGAGATTGCCATTTAATATTGATATCTAACATTGATTTGATTTATGTCCACGGCTACCCATTGATTGATGAAAAGAAAGATGGGTAGACAGTCATGGGTACAGATTAGATCTCTCTAAGGTTTGGAAGCTATCTAAGAAGTTACAAGGCTAATGAAGTTTGGGCAAATTAATATCTTATCCACATAGTTCAATGAATTATTACATAAACTGAAAATTCCATGATCACTATCCTATCTTCTTCCCCAAGAGTCCAACTCTATTGGAATAAATCCTCTCTTCAGTCTTGGGGTGGTAAATGACTCCAATGAAGAACTAGATCCCAGGAATATTTTAAGGTTGGTGGGGTTTATATAGGCTTTTTTTTTTCTCTAAATTTTGGTGTGTTTTCTTTCACAATAACTAGCATGAGCTTAACATGTACTTCATGCCAGATTCACAGGTGTTATTTTAATTTGTACATTCATACAACCTCATTTACCTAGTTATCAATAAACCAGTCAGTATATTCATTCAGTATTATTATATTTGTTAATAATCAGCTGGCAGCCAAAATATTAAACAGCAGTTGCTTTTTATTTTCTTAGACTATATAGCAAAGGTTTATTTAAGACCACTTCCCCTTTACTTCTTAAACACCTGAAGTTAAGCCTCTCTTTTTGCTTAGGTAGTTAATTAACGTCATGAGCATTCATTTTAATTAATGAGAGTAAGAATCTTCAGTTGAATTTTCTGCCTAATTTTATTTGAATCTCAATTGTAATTTGAGTGAGCTCGTGGTCACAAATCAGGTTCAGTGGCTTTAGTGTTCAACCCAGATAACTTACCAACAAGTCATTTTCCCACTGAAGCTGTCACTGGCATTTTCTTCCCATTATTTATCACATCGTGGCATCCAGTCAAAAAAATAAGTAAAAATTCATCAGCTTTGCTCTTCTCTTATTTTAAGTCAACTTCAGTAACATAGGAAGTGAATTTAATAAATGCAACTCTTCTCTGTCAAGAACACACACCTAGATATGTCCATGGCTGTTGGAAATCTACTCATCGAGGCTTTACCAAACCACCCTGTTGAAAACTGCACCCAGGAGAAGGACGTGTCTTCTCCTGTTCCCATATATATTTGTCTACATTGCACTCACTGATATCTACCATGCTATTTATATACTGATAATATATAAATGTAACAAATACACAGTTAAATATAATGGATATATAAATAAAATATATAGATGTACAATTTGTTTATCCATATATTCATATACAGATATACATATTGTCTGCCATCTTCCATTATAAGTTCCATATTAAAGGAGATCCTTTATTTTTCTATTGTATTTTCAGCTCCTAGAGTAGTAACTAGCAAAATGTGGGTACTTAATACATATTTCATATGTTCTCATCCACAAGATCTGCCGACAATACAAAAGCTAAAATGGAAGAACTCTTATCACTTCTCTAAATTTAGAGCAGAACACTTCTCAGAGGGCAGGTACAATTATCAATCAGGTTTAAAACCTAAATTCTTAAGAATGGCCTTAAGGCCATTTTCCCTTACCCTTAAATATACTATGCAGACTATTTTAAACCCCTAAAAGTAAGGACATATTAATATATCTAATATTATTAAGAATACATTGGCATCAATGCCAAGTCATTCATCTATTCAGCTATACATGGAGTAGCTCAGGTTAAGAGTATGTAACCTTCCTCACCTAACTCTAAGCCAAGCTATTACGCATGCCTTTGCAGACTTTTAAGGGGAACCACGGGTCCCATTAACCATTATCAGGATAGCTCAGGAAGTAGAGACAGGTATTTTAATGAGCTCCTTTATCTTACTTTTATCTTAGCAGGTAAAAAAAGATAAGCATTAGCTATTGAGTCCCACTGTTCTTTAATGATAACATTGGTTGAGTGTGAAGCCACATTTTAAAAGGGCTGACACACCTAATAATATGTAGGTGCTATATAAGAGCCTTATGTGGTTACCTGCTTTTCTTTCAGGCAGTTCACCCACCAAAGAGTCAATCTTTTAACTTCTCTTCTAGACACATTGTATAAGCAGCTGTACAATTAAGATTTGAAATTTAAATCCAGCTTTTCAAAATATAGTCAATAATATTTCACAATTGAGCTCTTTTAGCAGTTTGTTGCATAATCAGCATGAAACCTAACAAAATTGCACACCAAAGAAAGTCAAAGACATCTGCCTAACTGCTTTATTGAGTGCTTGAGCAATTCCGTAGAAGCTTTTCCTGTATCACCTGTGGTGGAACAGATGTGGCTGCTGTGTGAAGCATATATTAGGGTTGTAGAATAACTGCTAGAAAGAAACTCCAAATGCAGAAATATATATTTTAGTTCATGAAAAGAGCCTCAAGGAATCCAAATCACTTTCTCCTATTACATAGTTATAGGCTGAAAAGAACATACCATGCAAGACAGATCTAGCTGAATAAGGATTTTATGTTGAAGAACTTGAATAAATTATAGTTTAATTTTTTTATTTTTAATAATATTAAAATGCTTCATTTAAGGTATAAAATGGAAAGTCACCGTGACAGAATATTTTGTGTTGAGGGGATATTTAATTTTTGTTTTAGTTTTGATTTAAATGAATCCTTGCCAAAAGGAATTTTGAGGGAATTCTGCAAAGTGTATTTTGTAATATAATAAGTCATTAGAGTTCACATTAATCTTTAGTGCCTCTTCCGTTAAAGGATGAGATAAAGGGAAAAGTAAATGTTATTTTTAAAAGTCTAAAATAATAGGCCGGACGTGGTGGCTCATGCCTGTAATCCCAGCACTTTGGGAGGCCAAGATGGGTGGATCACCTGAGGTCAGGAGCTCGACACCAGCCTGGCCAAACCCCGTCTTGACTAAAAATACAAAAATTAGCCGGGCGTGGTGGTGCGTGCCTGTAATCCCAGCTACTCGGGAGGCTGAGGCAGGAGAACGGCTGGAATCTGGGAGGCGGATGTTGCAGTGAGTCCAGATCGCGCCACTGTACTCCAGCCTGGGCAACAGAGAGAGACTTCGTCTCAAAAATATATACATATAAAAAATAAAATAACAGGGCAGGAGAACTCTGTTTCATTGGGACCCTTGTATTCGCCCTTGACATATCCATGGGAAGGGGCTTTAGACCACTCTCTGCCTCTACCTTCACCACACACTCGATGTACTGTGTCCTCAAAGTTAGGGATAAAAAATTGTCACTGATAGGTTTGGGAGGAGGTACTGAGCTTACTGTCTCTTCTCTCCAATCTACATCTCAGAGAAAGTGCCTTCTGTGCTATTCTCTCCTTGCATGCTGAGCACTACAGAAACCTGAAGTTGCTCAGTGCTGACTGAGACTGGGTGGGTAAGTTTGTTTGATTCAGTGGAGTCTTAGCCAGCCCAGTTACTTCATATTTAACTTATGTCCTCAAAATAGGCTTATGCATCAAAACAAAACAAAATAGATAAAACAGGTAAAAAAAAAAATAACTCACATTTTTATCTTTCAATTCCAAACGTCATAAAAAAAGTAATTTTATTTTAGAGTCAAGCACCATAGTCAAACACCTACAGAAAAGGTGTTTGAATTTTGAAAAAAAGAATGTCTCTAATTACTTTTGTTGCTCTATGTTTATATTTATACTTACTTAGAAATGTAATTCTTCCATACCTTACTCAGCACAAATATGTCAAAAATATTGCTCTTTTATTTCTAGGGGAAAATGTTTAAAATATATTGCTTTAACAGAAGATCAAAGTACAGATAAGAGGGGTGAGGGCAGAATTTGCCTTCTAAGCACTTTGGAAATTTGGGAGGCAGAGTTAGGAGAAGAAATACATGAGACTGACAGGTAGCTAATTAAATTTAGATCATTATAAACTGACTCAGAGTCTCTGAACCAGATGAAATTGTATTCAACATGAAAACCAAGGAAGAATCAAGCAAGTTCATGGAAGCAGGTTTGGCCTACAGACAAGCACAGGGGAGACAGTTGGCACAGGCAGCAGACTCTGACCTGGAAAACTCTATAAAGAGTGGGGACGTCTTTTATGGCCCATCCTCTGCAAAATCACTGGGGCTGCTGGCCAGTAAGGGAAAGCACTGGAAAGAACATGAAATACGCAGGTTTATAAGGAATTCTGTCTAATAAATGAAAAGGATCTAATGGATTCTGAGGTGGTGCCCCAGTCTCACCTAGGAACTGAGAGAAGTACAAGAAATATGCATTTATTGAAATACCACCCTGGTCCAATCTGAACAGTTGCCTTTCTATTATTTTTTCTTTTTTGCTAATTTTACATTATATTCTTTTGAACAGAATTTGTTGACATTGCAAAATTATATGTTTGAAATAAATATAAAAGAATTCAAAAGAATTTGTAATCAATTAATTGCAATTTTTACATACCCAGTTAAAGTAGTATATATCAGCATGACTATAGAAATAGATTTTCTAAATAGTCTTACAATAAAAAATTAGATGTCAGTCTTACCTTTCATCTAGTGATAGGTTAAATTATAAAATACATCTATAAGAAATGACCTAAAATTATTTCTATAATAAAATAGACATCAATTTAATGAATAGTTTTACTTCACAGAGCAAACAAAATTTTACTGTTCACAAGTATGATGCTTGAAGTGTTATTCAAGTTTAGTCTAGTAAACCCCCAAATCAGAAAATTTTATATAATTTGGCATGCAATCTTTTTAAGTGAAAAAACAGGTTTCAAAGAGTAATGTGCACACTAAAAGGAGCTAGAAATTTACACATGAATGTATTAATGATTACTTCCATTGTTGAATATAAATATAGATATTTCAATGTGATACTTTTATTCTTTTTTGGTAACAATTTTTTTTAAAAAAAAGAATCTAAATTATGGAGGGGGATGTGAGAAATCTTTTCTATAACAAAGGTGGAACCATTTCTAAATTACTGAGACATACTTGTCTGTTTCTTTGTTAAATGTCCTGTATGACGCAGTGGATGCATTGTCCTAACAGTTTCTTTCTGTCCTGACAAAACTTATACTGTCATTGCTTCCATTATAGAATTTAAAAATTTCATTTACTTTGCCACACCTACTAATTTTCATTTATCTCACTATGTATCATGTTAATTTCTTCTCAAAAGTCTAACCAGAATTTGTACCTCCATGTCGTTAATAGTTGTAAGAATCCCATAACAATATTTGTTTCCAACCACCTGTAAAATTTGTAGAATATTTAAATATTCCCAACTGTTAAAAACAGCAACCCCATAAAATTTTACTAGATAATAGCATCAAAATAGCTGATTTTATTCCTGATATGCCACTTTATTTCTGAACTTTTGCCACACCAGTGTAGAAATATAATTTAACTAAACAACTTCTAATTTGAGCTTTCCTTTTCATATACTTATATTCTTCCTTCAAAAAGTACATGATAGGGTATTGTTAGGGCTATATTTTGAGTTATTTTTACTAGAGTATTGGTGAAATTTAATTTACTGAAAACTCAACTTTTGCAACAATAGACTCCTAATAAATATGTTTCAATAATTTAGAAGTAGCTCAAATAAACTTCAAACTTGCTATGATTTCATCTCCAAAGACTAGTGACCTTAACATTAATAAATAATATGAATCCTTTCAATGTTCAGTAAACCGACTTTTCAGAAAAACATTAACAAAATAAAATTCAGGTAATAAAGAAAATAGTTTTTCACTATCTGAATGGCTCTGAATACAAATCCTCGTTAGTAAACTAAAGAGAGGGGATCTTAGATGGGATAAAACTTCTGATTTGTATCAGAGACACAATTTATCACAATAGAAGATAAGTTTCCAAGAGCACTTCAGAGTGAATGAAGGTTTTATATTCTTGCATTTTTAAAAAAATAAAATCCTTTCAAATAACTTGACTGTTGTGTAAACAAGGTATATTCACACACTGAAGATATTTTATCACTTTTGTGTACAAAGCAGAACTGAAGCAGGCAGCATGAAATTAAGGTCAGAGTTAGATCTGAAACCAACACATGGTAATAACTGAATAGCATAGATAGGATTTTTTTTCTGCCTTTCAGGACAGAAAATCTCATTCTCCTAAGCCTCGCTTTTCATTATTTTGAAAGGTTTAAAGCTTTCATAGCATACAAAAATGATATAAGATGTAAATTACTTTTAGTGTAGCATTATTTCAAATAAGCACCCATTTAAAGTTAAAATAGATACAGGAAATCTGTTGCTACTGCACTGTATTATTTACTAAATTAGATGGTAAAATATGATTTATATATTCTCAATTAGGTAAGCGAAATTTGCAGAAGTCTTGACATGGAAAATATTTTCACAAATCAGTTTTATTTCGATGAATTTAATTAGAAAAAATTTTAAAGTTCAAAATATTATTCAAAATATACAATGTTCCACAATATTCTATCTTTCCATATAATTATTTTATACATTTTTAAAATTGGCATGTTACATCACCATTCATTGTATATGACAACAGGATTTGTTAACAATACTTAAAAATAATATTTACATAAAAATAAATAGATTGGTAATATGGTTTGGATCTGTGTTCCCACCGAATCTCATGTTGAAATGTAATCCTCAATGTTGGACATGGGGCCTGGTAGGAGGTGTTTGGGAAATCGGGGCAGATCCCTCATGGCTTGTTGCTATCCTTGTAGTAGTAAGTTCTGGTGAGATCTAGTTGTTTCAAAGGGTGTGACTCCTCCCCCCGCAGCTTGCTCTCTTGCCACATGAAGTGCCTGCTCCTGCTTTGCCTTCCACCATGAGTAAAAGCTCCCTGAGTTCTCCCCAGAAGGCAAGCAGATATCAGCACCAAATATAATGGTCTCCATCTGAGAGACTTTGTCTCCTCTGACTCACTTCATCTGAAATGAGATCTATAACAAGACTTCCCACCATCAGTGGCTCTGGTCACAATCTTTGCTATATAGGTAAATGTCTATGTGATACAATAAATAAATTTAATGCTCATAACTGCCTTGCCCCTCTGATCACAGACTTCATGCAAAAATCGGCCTTTGAATTTCTCATTGTGTTTTATCTCATGGTAAGTTCTTTAATAACACAAAGAATATATTTTAAATTTTATTTTGTAAAGCATTTTTTATTATTATCAATGAGTGGAAAAAATCCTGAATACCAAAGGAGATCTCCTTAGGTATAGATATGTGAGAAGATAATTTTAAGCAGAGAATAAAAGAAGAGAAAAAAAATCGGTTTTGAGAAAAATCCTTTTGTTTTCTGAATGCAGATCTACAAAGAGGTGAAAAAGCCTTTAGTGCAGTGAGAAATGACAGTGGTCGCAGAAAACGTGATGAGAGAGAGGAAAGGGCAAGCTCAGTGAGAGCCTTAGAGACTATGATAACCACATATGCTCCTTATTTCCTCCATCAGTAAAACCATCATGAGAATCCACACTACAATTTGCAAATGACTACAGAACATAAAGACATCAAAAAATAAACAACTGATTTTATATTAATATATGATCCTCAAAATAATTAATGATTATCTAAATCAACATTTTCACAGGTTGTTGTGCAATGCCCTAGAGCCATCAGCCAATGGGAAAAGGAGTTCATTATAGTAAAAATACTTAGGAAACTATTTTATTTCTATAACATTTCAATGACAGAAGCTTTAAGTTTCCACAATTTATTTAGCTAATTCAATATTTATTTTAGGAAAATCTCGTTTGGTTATTAAATATCGGATTATTCTTTTGCTTCTCTAGGTTTAAAGTTATTTACATTTGATATTTGATTAATTTGCACATTAAAAACACTAAGAATTTTTATCTTTCTTTGGATTTTTTGTATGTGTTTATGAGTTGAAATTTTATTGAAGACAATATGTGGGAAACTGTGTCATCTGAACTGAGGCCATTGAAATCTTGTGAACAGATGTTATTTGCAACAGTACTCATCCTGAAAAGGTATTATCAGAGTGAGAGTTCTATAGAAAGTGTACAAAGTCAAGTTCATACAAAGTTTAATGCTTATAACAGACCCACTGCAGAGACTATTATCCTTACTGTGTGTTTATCTGAGTCAGTAACGTTCTATGACCATGTGTTTTTGTAAAATGAATAAAATACATCAATGTACATTATAATTGTCCTTCTCTAGTGTTTGAAGGTATAGAGAACAATGGAACTATGAGAGTTGGCACTTTTTTATTGTCTTGCAACTAATATTTTAAAAATTATGTGTAGCAAGCTTGGCTACTCAATTCCCCACCACTTATTATTTATTATTAAAACACTGTCATTTTTGTCTTCTCTTTGAGAAATGCTAAACTGGTGTGACCAAAACATGAATTTAAAAGTTTTAACTATTAAATTCTATGCTTTTAAAATATTTGAAATTATTTCAGAAAAAAATTATAAGTTTTCTGATAATTTTAGCTTTTCTTGATTTGCTAATAAATTATACCATTTTGTTATGTAAGAGCAATGCAAGAAAATGAACTTGTCAAGTATTAATTTGAAAATTAAATAAGGAATTGGTCTTTGGAGGGTTTTTTCTTTCTCCTATATAGTTAAGTCACTGAAACTAAATGATTTTATATTTTTGCATTATATTCTACCACATTTAACTTTTACTAAGAGCAATACAATTAAAAAGTCAATATTTTAAAACATGATCCCTGTAAGATATTTTGCCTGAAAATTTACCTCCATTAGAAAAGTAAGCTTTCTTTTTATATTCTTAGAAAAGTTGCTTCACATTAGAAAAGATCTAAAGAAATAAATGCCAAGTGTTTCTCATTCGCTTTCAAAACTTCAATGGGGAAATAAATGATTTACTTAAATTTGTCTTTGTAAAAAGGCTTTATGGAGTATATACTCATCTCAGAGCTAGGACTTGTTACTTCAGACTATATAGATTGTCAATAGCACTTGAAACCAGATTTCACCCACCTTTCAGGAAAAAGTTTTTATACATTTTGGGGATGGTAAAGGCCATTACTGTAAGTACAATTTCTCTATCACTAAGGTTAATTACCCCAAAAGCATCAAAGTAAGTAAATTTTATTATATTAAAAATAATTATTGAATAAGCTTATATTAAAATACCACTAAGTCTACTCTTTATGTTCTCCTCTGCACAGAGGCAACTTTTTTATTTCAATCTTTATGACTGTTTATATAGCTATGATTTGAATGACTGTTCTTCTTCAACAAATTTTAAATTGTTCTCATGTCTCCCTTCTCATATGTTATTATTATTTTTCTCTAAATAAAAATGTATGCAAAAATTATATTGCACTGAATTATTTTAAACTAACCTTTGGCCATTCTTAAATTCAGAATGAAAAATGACTGAAATAGATGTGTAATATTTTACAATAGTATATTTTTGATAAAGTATAGAAATATTTTGGACATACTATTTTTAAGGTACAATCCTATTAATAAATGACTTCAAATAAAGCTCCTCAAAAACATTTTTGTACAATTTTTATTGTAAAAAGAAAGAAGAATTATGTTCTGTGTGAAACCTGTCTACATTGTTATAAAAGCTCTTGGCTATTTCTGAGAGAATCAACACTGAGAAGCCATTGAAAAACAACTTGTTTCCTAGGGATACTATTTTTACCCCTAAGATCCCATCATTGGCCTTCTGCTGTTCTTTAAATCACTTCACTGTGAGTTTCTCCTTTTCCTATTATGAATATATGTTGTAATTCAGGGCAATCTAATAATGTCTTATGGTATAAATCGCCATGTGTACATCAATGTAATCAATCATATTTCTATCTCTTCCTCCACTTTGCCTCTTACTGACTTCAAAATTCAACAATTATACCTCAAATATGTCATGTTTAATGACTCATTTAAGAGTAACATAATGCTAGAAATCTGAGAATTGTTATAAGCAATTCTCATTTCTTAATCACTCAAATGTTACAGTTTATGTCTTACTGTTTGTCATTCTGAGAGCTTCTCCATTTTACGCCATCTGTAATGCACAGCAGGCCTTCTTTATGCTTGCTTTAAGTGTCTAAAAGCCACCAAATAATTCACTCTACTTTCAGTTCCTTCCACTCTACAATTAATCTATTAAAGACTCCTGATGTTCTGTTTTAAAGTTATATATCTGGTTATGTTTTTCTCATAATAATAAAAAATAAAATAAAAGGTTAATGGGTCTCTAATATCCAGAGTACATATTTCAAGATCTTTAGTATAGTATACATTGTCTTTCATATTCATGCCCAAAGCTAACTCTCCAACTGATATTGCTCCATCAGCCCTTTTCAATTTAACCTTCAGAAAGTTCAGAATACTTTATATCTCTTGCTCTTATATCTCCATATAGTTGATTATATTTTACTTCTATGAATATTTTATCTCAAAATATATTTATCTCTAAAAAGATAAGTTCACGTTTCTCAGGTCATGTATTATCTTTGCAAAGCCTTCCTCTTTTTTCAATACACAGAATTAATTACCTTCACTGTACTTGCATAGCATTTTGTACATAGCCCAGCTAAAGTACTCATTACATTATACAGAGTGAGTCTATTATGTTTTTTATTTGTGGTACCAGAATTTATATTATTCATATCCATAGTTCATCACCTATCATAATGCTTAACAAAAATACACATTTATTAAATTAAAATGTTTAAATATTTTTTAAAGCTCATGAGGGGTATTTTGACATCTAAGTATAGTTATTGTTTATATTATCATTTAAATGCATTCTACATCACAAAGGAGGCAAATGTTGTTTTCATTAAAGACGTTTATTGTACATTTAGCTAATAATATTATAACTACTACCTGAATTATTTACTCCAGCCTCCAAAATTTATAAGTACATTTGAAAAAATATTTACTAAGTGATTTATTAAGCATTATAGTATTTTTCTCTATGCTAACAACATCATTGTTGAGTGGGAAAAAATTGCCAAAGAGTAAGAGAAGGCAGGCAAGAGTCTCAGACAGAAATGATAGATTTAGGCTGAACATGCCTCTAGTTAGCATTCTATACACAGGGAATATCTTAGTGGGCTGCCTTTCCTCTGAGCTCACTTGTTCTTCATTCAGTTTAGGACTTCCGGCCTTAGCCTCTCTGGCTAATGCAGCTTAACTAAGTTGAAAGGAAGTGCTATCATTTTTATCAGCAAAACTATCTCCTTCTTTTCTCCTCATAACAAACTTATGAGGACAAACCAATTTAAAGAGTCAAGAACATGAATTATTAAGGCATAAAGTAGAGAAGAAAAGGAATTAGCACACCAGTCCCTTGTTTCTAATTTTTAAATATTTACAAAATGTCTTCTCAACCTTGGATAACACTAAATATATAGCAAAGTGATCTGCCATTTAATATGCTAAGTAGCATTTGAATGTATTCCATTATAACTGAAAAATGCAACAGGCTTGAAGCAGTCCTGTCATTACAAAACTTAAGTTTAGATTCTTATTAAATACTTTAAATTTACAAGAGAGATTTCAAATAAATAGTGCATTTTTACTAAGCTAATAATTATCTGAAAATTTGAACTTTAATTTATAATTACTGAAAATGTTCTAGCTCTTTACTTTTTCTTATAGTGTGATATGCATTTTAAATTATTTTGCATTAACCTTTAAGTATACCATTTTGAAAATATTTCAATTTCAGATTTATGTTAATGCAAGCCCAATATTTAAGGAGTTCTTCATCTATTTCATATTGTATCATTACAATGTTCTTCCTCTATAGAAACAGAATGCATGCATCTTTAATGTAATATTGGTCAGTTCCACACATATGGAACAAAAGGCTGATTGAATGGACGTAGATTCTCAAGGATTTCCTCTCTTCTAAGTGTGACCTTTAAAAGCAATTTACCTCTTTCAGTTCAGTCTTAATGCACTAATTATCATATTACTCTCACTTTATAACATTTTCCTTTTTTATGCTTAACAGTGATTATATTTTCTATAGCAAGTTAAATGGCAGAGAGGAATAAAAGAAGAAAAAATTAACTTTACCACACTTCTCTAAGTCTGCTTTATTAATGTAATGAATATCAGTTTCATGTGCATATATCTATACCTATACTCATAAAATATATATATAGAAATATATTGCCTAAGGAGTTCTTATTTAATGTATGATGAAAATACGGATACAGAAAGGTGTAAAAAATAAATGTACAACTCATGAATCATGATAAGCGAATACCCATATACCATTGCCTAATCAAGAAATAGAACACTCTCTCCCTCCACTTGTTCAAAATTTTTTATAAAGAGAATAAATAAAATGTTCAAGCATACAGTAAGAAGAAAGGAGTAAATGCAATGCTTGATAGCAGAATAGGATGACTGTGCTTAACATGAATATATTGTACTTGGGTGATAGACACCCTAAGTACACTGATTTTATAACTGTGCATTATATACGTGTAACAAATTTTCCCATAAATTTACATGAATAAAAGGACAGAAAAACAGAACATTGATTGCCCCAGAAGCTGCCTCCTGCTCTGATCAATCACCATGTCCAGCCACATTCTAATTCATCACTATGCTGATTTCCAAGACTATTATTTTTGCTTTCTATAATGATATAGGAGTTAAGAAGAAATCACTTAGGCAGATAGTAAGGGTATGGGAGTCCTCAGTAAGGCTTTTCTTTTTAATGAAAAGCAGCCCCAAAACATTTTGTAACAATGAGCAGCCTGTAAAGTTGAGCTGCAGACATAGACAAGCAAGCTGGAAGCTTGCACGGGTGAATGCTGGCAGAAACTAGGGACTAGACATGTTCAAGAAGGCGGTTCCATCTTCTCTTCTCTTTGTCAGCCACGTGTACTGTAAGTAACAGACAAGATGGCACTGATTGGCTAGAAAGCCCATTTGTGTGATAATATTAGGGTGGGACAACCAGGCTTCCCCACACACTATGTAAACATCATACCTGATTGAACCAATCTGTGAGCCCTATGTAAATCAGACATCACCTCCTCAATCTGGACTATAAAATCCAGCAGGTTTGCCACCAGCCAGTCCTTTCTGCTTGGAGGCCCCTTTCTCTATAGAGAAAGCTGTTTCTCTTTCTCTTCTCTTCTGCCTGTTAAACCTCTGCTCCTAAACTGCTTGTGTGTGTCCGTGTCCTAAATTTTCCTGGCATGTGACAACAAATCCCAGAGTACATACCCCAGACAACATGGCCGCTTCATATTGGGGATATCATCCAGGATACCAAGGTACAACATTTATCAAAATGGTGAGTAGAGGAGCAGACTTCAACTCTGTCCCTTCATTCTGAGGCTCTTGGCCTCCATTTTAGAACAAAATCAAACCAAATACTGGGCCCCCTCGGACATTTAAAAACTATTCACGTGGTTGCCAGCCTTACAAGATTTGGGAGACGGGCTTGCTGGGGAGAACATGGGGAGGCTATGGATTGGAGAATCCCCCAATACCCATGAGTTGCTGGGCATATTTGCCATGTTTGAACCAGCTTCCCTTCATGGTGGACTTAGCCATCATGTGGGGCTGGAAGAAGTCCTGGAGCAACTGAGGATTTCTGGCCAGGGCTACCCCTCAGTGTTATCCAAAGGCTTCTGGATTGATCCCAGTCTCCGACTGCCGCAATTGGGTGTCGGCAACAGGATCTCCAACTTTTCTATCATAATTTCCTCTTTTTCTGTCTGTGACTATCATTTCTCTTATCCTCTCTGTGTACGCAATGTGTGGGAAGTTTTACAGTTCAGGGAAGTAATCTTGTTTGGCAAAGATCAGGGAATATCATAGTAAATGGGGATATAGCTCAAGGGAAGGCATCTTTGTAATTTTCTAGGAACAGAGGGTTCCCCTCTCAAGTGAAAGTCTCTCTCTCTGCCGTTGGTCCAGAGAGAACATGGCACTTCTAGGTCTCTCTCTGCCCTTGGTCTGGAAAGCACATGACATTTCCAGGTCTCTCTCTGCCCTTGGTCTGGAGAGCACATAGCATGTCAAGGTCACTCTGCCCTTGGACTGGAAAGCACATGGCATCTCAAGGTCAACAGCATAACCTAGTGGAATAGGGATCCTCTCCATTGTTGGTTCTTTAACAAAACACCCTAGCTTCCCAATTCCCTCCCTTTTTGTACCTGTCTACCAGAAACCAGGCTTTATGCTGTTTCTATGGTTGGAAAACTCTGCCTTCAACAATTAGGAGTAAAATATTCTCTGGAACCAAATTTTAGTCTTGATACTGTCCTATCAGCAGGAAAATAACCATTTGGTCCCTACATTCTTTTAAGGTACCTATTCTGACTGCAATTAGAATGGTACTTAATTAGTAAAGGGATTTTAAGTTCAGAAGTTAACTGGAATCATTCACTAATGGTAAACCCTTTAGCATGAGCCATAATAGAAGGATATAGAGCTCAAACCAGCACACTTTCTCCATTAAGGAGGGAAGTGCAACAGTTGCCCAAATGCAACTGTTACAAAGTCTCTCCCAAGATCCACTTTTCGGGGAGCCACACAGGCCACACAAGTGTAGGAAGTCAAAAGGAAATCATAGGCAGAAGACTAGAGTCACATATGTGAGGGTGAGTAAAACACATCACTTAGTTCCTCTGGTTCCATTGCTGGGGAAGTCACACTCACAACCATTAGAGGCACATTTAACAGGGTGCTGGGACCCCAGGAACCATGGAGGGAAAAGAGCAGGGGGGGACACCTCCACTCTTTTCCTCTCCACCCTGGGACACATCAAAAGGAAGGAGACTAAAGGGATGCCTTTTTCTCACTTCTCTTTATCATCTTTGGCCTCTTCTCCTCTGGAGTGCATCCTGAATCACAGGGTCTCCTTTGACCCTGAGACTTTGAGAAAAAGCAGCTCATTTTCTTCTGCACAAGGGCATGGTCTTCTTAACTTAGCAGGCATTACAAAATCAACCCAGCCGTTTTATCAATCATGTCAAGCAGGTCCAAAGGGAATGATTCCTCAAGACTAGAAAAGAAACTTCTGGAGGAACCATCTGAGAATCCCCCTTATTTGGGATCACCTCAAGTTCCTTTCTCATTGCAGGACTTTAGGCAAATAAAGGGAGACTTGGGCTTATTTTCTGACTACCATGATAGGTATATAGAAGTTTTACAAAGTTAATTTGGGTGTTTCACTGCACATGGAGGGATACTATGTTGCTCCTCCTCAGGGCAGGTAACTGAATAATGGAAGTTGGACTTTCCCGTGATATTCTCATGATAGTGAATAAGTTTGATGAGATCTGTTGGGTTTATCATGGGTTTCTGCTTTTGCTTCTTCCTCATTTTCTCTTGCCACCACCATGTAAGAAGTGCCTTTCACCTCTCACCATGATTCTGAGGCCTCCCCAGCCATATGGAGCCATAAGTACAATTAAACCTCTTTTTCTTCCCAGTCTTGGGTATGTCTTTATTAGCAGCATGAAAATGGAGTAATAAAAAAGGATTAAGCCTATTTTCTCCTTTTGCCTCCCCCAAACCCTCAAACAACAAAGAGGATTTGGGGGCATTACAGGATTTTGCAGGCTATGGATACCTGGGTACGGTGAGATAGCTTCTCCTCCATATCACCTCATAAGAGAAACTCAAGTGGCTAAAACTCATCTTCTAACCTAAGAACTTAAAGTTCAAAAGGCCTTTAACCAGCTAAAGTGGACCCTACTTAAGGCACCAGCTCTCAGCCTCCGTGTAGGAAGGTCCTTCAATCTGTATGTATCAGAAAGAACGGGAATGGCTCTAGGAGTCTGGTACATTTGCCGCTAGCCAGTCCTTTCTGCTCAGAGGCCCCTTTATAGAGAAAGCTGTTTCTCTTTCTCTTCCCTTCTTCCTATTAAACCTCCACTCCTAAACTCTTTGTGTATGCCCATGTGGTAAATTTTCCTGGCATGAGACAACAAACCCCAGGGTATGTACCCCAGATAATGTAGCCACTTCAATAATACTTTGGTAACTGATCATTCAATATTTATTAAGTATGTATATTTTGATGTCTGCTTTTGTTTGTTAAAATACTTGCGCCATGTAGTTATTACATTTAGTAATATTTTATCTATTCAACTATTGTTTGGTATTCCAGTGTAAAATATACCACAATTTATTTATTACTTTAATATCGTTGGACATTTGGAATGTTTCCAGTTTGAGACTTGGTATGTATTGAATTGTGTCTCTCTCAAGCTTATGTGTTGAAATCCTAACCCTCAATATTTCTGAATTTGACTTTATTTGGAAATAGAATTTTTACAAAGGTTATAAAGTTAAAATGAGTTCAATAACATGGGCCTTAATCCAACATGATTGTTATCGTTATAAAAATTGGAAATTTTGAGACAGATCCACACATAGGGAGAATACCATATGAAGATGAAGGCAATGAAGGGGTGGTGCTTCCACAAGCCAAAGAATGACACATAGTTCCAGCAAACCATCAGAAGTTAGGCAAGAGGCATGGAACAGATTCTTTCACAGCCCTCAAAAGGAAGCAATACTGTTCATTCCTTGATCTCAGACTTCAGGCCTCTAGAACTGTGAGACAATATATTTCTGTTGCTTAAGCCATCCAGGTTTTGATACTTGGTATGGCATCTCTAGCAAACTAATACTGGACTATTAAGAATAATGTGACTGCAAACATTTTTGTTTCTTTTATTTTATACATAAACATGAATTTAATTTGGTATATAAATAAAAGTAGAACTGATGTGTTATAGAGAATTTATTAATGTATGCCAAACTTCAGCAGGTAATGCCAAACTGTTTTCAAAGTGAAGGTGACAATTTACTACCAGGAGTGTGGAAGCATTTCAATTTATTCATAGTTTTATTATGAGAAAGTATTCTTAATATATTTAATTTTAGCTATTTTTTATGTGTTTTATAATATAGCATTATGATTTTAATAAACATTTCAATAGTTACTAATGAAGCTAACACCATTTTCTTATTTTAATTGGACATTTCAATACATTCTTTCATGAAGCTCCTTTTTATATTTATTACTCTTTTTTATTGTTTCTTATTTATTAATTTTTGGAATTCTATATATTCAAGAAATAAACCCATTTTCTCATGCATGTCTTCACATGCTTTCTTACTGTCCCTTGCATTATCATTCTCTTAATAGTGTCTTTATGAACAGAGTTTTTAATTTTAATGTGGTCTAATTCATGAAATGTATCTGTGTGTTACACCATAAAAACCACCTTATTTAAGAAAATTTTCCAAACACCAAAATCTTTAAGATAATTCTTTTTGGTAACTTCTAGAATGCATAATATTGTGTTTTTGGCACCTCCTTTTTTTTCAGTACATGATATTGTGGTCAGACTTCATCAGTTTGTATACGGATATCTAAATGGCCCAAAATGGTGTAAGTGCCATAGCTAACATTATGGAAACATCTTGCCAATTTAGAAATACACACACACACACACACACAGACACACACAAATTGAGATTTTTGTTTATAACTAAAATGAACCCACAGATCACCTTGATCAAAATTAATAGCTTTGCAATATTGTGTTTTCCAATCCATGAGCAAGAATTTTCCCACTTTTTTTTAGATCTTTTAACTATTTCTGTGACACCAGTTTTTTTTTTTTTAATTTCTGTAGTTTAGAAGGTACAGGTGGTTTTTGGTTACATGGATAAGATTTTTAGTGGTGATTCCTGAGACTTTAGTGCACCTATCACCCCAGCAGTGTACACTGTACCCAATGTGGAATATTTTATCCCTCACTTCCCCTCCAGCTTTCTCCCCAAAGTCCTAAAAGTCCCGTATATCACTTTTATGCCTTCGCATCCTCATAGCTTAGCTCCCATTTATAAGTGAGAACATACAATATTTGGTTTCCCATTCCTGAATCACTTCACTTAGAATAATGGCCTCCAGCTCAATCCAAGTTGCTGTAAAAGATGATATTTTATTTCTTTTTACAGCCGAGTAGTATTCCTTGGTGTGTATATATTTAACACATTTTCTTTATTGATTCAATCAATGGACACTTAGGTTGGTTCCAAGTCTTTGCAGTTATGAACTGTGCTGCTATAAACATGCATGTGCATGTGTCTTTTTCATATAATGACTTCTTTTCCTTCATGTAGATACCCAGTAGTGAGATTGCTGGATCAAATGATAGTTCTCCTTTTGGTTCTTTAAGGAATTTACATACTGTTTATCATAGTGGTTGTACCCATTTACATTCCCTCAAGCAGGGTAAAAGTGTTCTCTTTTCACCACACCCATGCCAACATCTATAGTTGTTTTGATTATTTAGTTATGATTATACTTGCAGGAGTAAAGTAGTATTTCATTGTTATTTTAATTTGCATTTACCTGATGATTAGTGATGCTGAGCATTATTTCATATGTTTATTGGCTGTTTTACTATCTTTTCTTGAGAAATATCTATTCATGCCCTTTACTTACTCTTTGATGGGATTATTTGTTTTTTACTTGCTGATGTCTTTGAGTTACTTGTAGATTCTAGATATTAGTTCATTGTTACATGCATAGTTTGCAAATACTTTATCCCATTCTGTAGGTTATCTGTTTACTCTGCTGATTATTTCTTTTGCTGTGCAGAGATGTTTTAGTTTAATTAAGTTGCCTTTATTTATTTTTTTTTGTTACGTCTTTTGGGAGGTCTTAGCAATAAATTCTTTGCCTAAGCCTATGTCCAGAAGAGGTTTTTTGATGTTATCTTCTAGTTTTGTAAAACTAGTTTTTGTGTAGAGGTATTTTAAATTTTGTTTGATTTGTTACTGGGAATTCTGTATTTTTCATAATATTGCAAATGCTAACTTATTTTTATCTATTAAAATTATCTGTACACACAAATAAATTTTTAAATATTTAACACAAATTCAGAAAACAAGTTAAAAATCACATATTATCCCTAATGTCTTCTGTATTTTTGAACTTTTTAAGGTAAAAGTCATGTATGTCATTGGTTAATTGTGATTTTTTTTTCAAACTTTAATTTCCTTAATTTGTTTTTCTTGCCTCATTATACTAATTAAAATCTGCAGTGTGATGAGCAGTAGTGTTAATAATGAATAGTCTTTGACTATTTTACCTTAAATAAAAATTTGCTATTGACATTTTACAGACATCCTTAATGAGATGAATGACTTTCTTTCTGATTCCTATTATCTTAATGGTTTTAATCATAATTATATGTGAAATGAGATGTTTTCCCTGCATTTGTTAACACAGTTATTTGGAATATTTAATCTTTGTCCTATTTTTGTTACTTTGCTTTTATTTGTCTAAATTTGAAGCAAACTTTTAATGCAAAAATCTAATTTTGTTTTGATGTGTTATTCATGTGTGTTTGTGTGTGTGTGTTGTTATTCCTTTTATACATTGCCAGATTTAGTTTGACAATATTTTGTTTAGAATTTTTACTGAGCTTGACCTTTAATCTTGGATCCTTATCCCTTATTTCATGTTCCTTTCAGGTTTTGTTGTCAGGGTTATTGACAAAAACAGAACAAAATTGGGCAGTTACTTTTTATCTTATATTCTGTGGAAGAGTTTCTGTGTTTGGCCTCATTTATTCCTTAAGTATTTGAAATGAGTCATGACTGACATTATCTGGCCCCATAACTTTCTTGTGATGCAGGGTTTTTGCTCCTTAAATCAGCTAATATCCAGGTTCTTGTCTCATGACCAGGAAAAATTAGGCAGGTGGACACATTGAAGGGTGAGGAGGATGGATTTATTCAGCAAAAAGAAAGCTCTCAGTAGAGAAAGAGGGGGCCTGCCAGCAGGCTCCCACTTCACAGATTGAATACCAGGCCACCACCCAAAAGTTGAAGAGGCCAGCTCTTCCCCCTGAAAAAGACAAAAATTCCTGATGGCTCCACCTCGTTCTCCCAGTGCACATGTAGGTCCATCGTCCATTGCAGGCATGCCAAAGCAATACCCTGTGCAGGTTCTCTCATCTGTCTCCCGCATCTATCATTCCCTTCTCTAAAGGGGTAGGTCTAACTTCCATTAGCGCAGGGATGAAGACCTATCTTAACTGCTTTCTGCTGACAGGATGCAGTGTTTTGGGAAGGCAACAGTCAGATCTCACTCAGAGGCCTAACTAACTGTCCCAGGGAAAAGGAAGCCCATTGTTTAAGGTTCTAGTTGCATGACCATTTGGAGTTTGATGGCCTGAAAAGAAGAGACAAACTGGGTTATTAGAAAGTATGAATCAAAATGAAAGAAAAAAGGGTGGGTAAGGACAATTCAAAAATCCTAAGGCTCACAACATGTCCAGATAATCGGTGGCTACAGTTGAGCTTGCTAAGATTTCAGTGCATGGAGCTTGGCTTTCGTTACCTCCCTTGGTCTTATTTTCCTAAAAACAAAACTTCTGGGTTATGGGCACCCTATTTACTCCCATCACCTGGCAGGATTTTTGGGATAATTACTCAGAATTAAAATATTAATCCAGATTTTTACATCACCCATCCCTTTTGTTCCTTTTGAGATGCAGCTAAAGATTGATGCTTGGTTCACAGGAATAAGCAGGGTTAGTTTGAGGTGTAGGCAAGAAACTTAAAAGCAACTCATAAGTCTAAAATTCAGTGACAAATGTATAATTTTTAAAACATAATTTGTCTCTCTCCGGTTCTCATTTTTGTTAAAAACCAATCATGATAAGACTGAGTTGTTTGCAAAATAGACTTTAGTCTTATACTTCGCCTAATTATTTGCATAAAGTGCAGGAAGAATAATTATTCTTACATAGGCTTCTTATATTGGCTTTGATGGAATTCTTTTCCACAATGAATCTCAGATCAGACTTTCTAAAGCTGAGCCTAGCCATGGTTTTGTACCCTCAAATACATGAGAGTTGGGTAAACTCCTCTTTTCAAGAGGTCCTAAGAATATTGGGTTCCTGGGCCTGGTAGAAAGTAACATTCTTTACTTACCACTGGTTAGGAGGCCTGTAGGGGGACCATGTGGACAAGATATGAAGCCAGTTTTCCCAAGGGGCTTTTATCGGCTCTGCAAGTTGAGCTTGATTCCTTAAAGTAAAGCATACCCTTCCAGTCAAAGCCTTGGTAAAACAACCAGTTTCTCCAACTGTGGCCTGTTGAAAAGAAAATGAATTCTTATTGCACTGATGCAAACAACTATATTGCCACAAGTCAAGAATACTCACAAATAGTTTCCAAATTCTGGAGAAGCCAGGCAGAAGGAGAAACAAATATGCTTCAAATTTTGTTCACAGGAATATAACTTACTCAATTATTAAAGACCCTAAATAGATCAAAATAAGTCTCCTTGACTCTGAAAAGAAAAACAAGGATGAGCACAAGTCAAAAAAAGATTACCTCCATTTTCTATTAGTTCCATCCATTCAGTTAACTCTTGCTTTGCTCAGTATCTGTGAACATTTCAGCTCTTCATGAATCCTGTATATTTTTCCTTTATTCCAACACCACAATCTCCAAAGTTATCAGAAACCTGCATTTGAGAGCACCTGTCAAATTTTCCAGCTTATTACAAACCACCCTTTGAAGAGAATCAAAGCAAGATGATAATTGTCTGTGAATAACAAAATGTTCAGGGTAGTTACTGTCAAAAACATGACTGACAAATAAATTTGGTGATCTCTGTGGTTTACAATACTTAAAATAATAACCTTAATTGTGATTGATAGCACATACTCAGACTCTACAATTTTAGAAATCCCATAGAGTTTTGGAACATATATTAATATTATTTACTAAAATATAACCTGAAGAGGATTAAACATCGTTTTGGCAATTCCATGTAACTAAACATGTTGAATAATCCTGTTTAACTCTCTTCTGGATGCTATAGGGGCCCTACATAGCATCCAAAACCTAGGGGTTAGGAAAGACAACCTTGAGGCTGAAATTTGATTTCGGGAAGCTCATTAAATGTTAGAGGTTTAAAACACTTGATGTTATGAAATAGAATTCCAGATTACCATAAATTATTTATTTTGCCAAAATTATGACTCAGAAATTTTAAAACAAGATAAAAACCTTACCAAAATGATGACTCAGAAATTTTGAAACAAGACAAAAACCCTTACCCATTAGCTTTCCAAACAATTTATCTCCTGCCTTCTTTTTTTTTTCCTTGGCAGCCTATCTGTGAGGCAAATGGAAATCTTTCATTATCCTTCACTATTAGATGAAAATCTTGTACAAGGGAGAGAAAGCCAAATTTTACCCACACATTAGTTTACTATTAATGTCAACCCTAATTTTCTAATGAAAACTTATAGGCAACTCTATCTAATCTTAACTAGTTTGACCATGGGTAAGATTCTTAAAATCTTTTATAACCCTTTACAAATTTTGCTAAAGAGCTTTTATTTCAATGCTCAATTTATAGAAAAAGCATATATTTTCCTTTCGAATTTAGTCAATGTTTGCACACAGAATTTCTTTGCAAGATTAATTTTTGCAATCCTTCCACAATTTGCTTAAACCTTTAGCTTTATTTTGTGTATTTCAAGCAATCCTCTAACCCTAGGCAAAAATTTACATTTCTGTGGCTTCTTATAATCTTCTACTAAGATTATATAATTAATAATTATTTACTAAGATTAAAGCCTATATTCCTAGGCCTGACCAAGTTGTAAAGTAGGCAAATTGAACACTTCTCAAAGGCAAAACAAACAGTTCACAACCTTAAAACATTGAGCAAACCTAGTATCTGACCTGCATAATTTAGACCACCTATTTACGTTTTATTGACATTCGCATTTTACTAGTAATCTTTAAAACTGTTCTTATTTCTCAAAGATTAGAGTCATACAGGCCAAAAGGAATTACAGCTTTTATTTTTCCTTCAAAAAATATTTGATCTATATGCTTATTTTCCTTTAGGCCAATTATTAGAGCTCTCTTTTATTATAGACACCACACACAGCACATATATAACCACACATACAAACAGAAGCAGATACAGTAGTTATAAGATTTTCTGGTTTCCAATCTCCTAATTGGACTACTGGCCTCTGAGTGGGACCCAGTAAGAGCAGGGCTAGCAAAGCATGCAGTTTCTAGGGCCTAATAAACAGGTATAGCTGGAAGACAAAAACAGATTTTGAGAGGTACCTATCTGCTCTTAATTCCTGGGGTTCCATGAGGAAAACAGAAGTTTCTCCCAAAATGTAATTCATGGCTCCTGTTCTTTCTTCCAAGGGAGTCCCAGGCCATCAGAAATTATCTTAGGGCCTCTCATGCATGCATGAAGAGTTGCAAGGCCAAATGGAGAAAAATAATTTAGTCTACTGAGAAAAAAAAATTTTTTTTTTCCAGCAAAACAAGATCTAAGAAGAGAAAAACAAAAAGGCCTTTTAAATAGACTTATAACTTGGATATCCACTTTTAATTAAGCTGAGTGCTCTTTAAGAAAATCTTCTTAAATCCCTTATTACCCTACTTTAGCCATGCTAAGTGGCCAATATGCCTGGCTTTTGAACTTTACCAAAGGTAACCTCCCAGGTGCTCAGCAAAAGGAAAATTCAAGGTGGTTAGTGGAGGGGAAGATAATCAACAAATGGTAAAGGGCATACAGATCTCAGACCAGAAAGGACTCATTCTCTAAGTAAGGATTGAACCCAGGCTGCCATTGTAAAATGGTGGAGGCTAAAATAAAGCACTGCCATGTAGTTACAGGTTACACTTCCAAGGACATAAAACAAGATGGAGATTTGCAGCTAAGTTTACCAACGACCAGTTTGCCAAGCTGGCTTGGGCAGTGGGCCTATGCATTCCAATCCCCCATCCCATCTTAAGGTTCCCCACTTTTGACCAGTCCACACAGAAAGACATGCAAAGCACCCCAGATTGGCTACAGCTGAAAACTAACCTCACAAATTCTTTTTCATAATTATAACTTTATGGAGAATATAAATGGTGATCCTCATCATTCCCTAGACCGGTTTGAATAGGGGAAGGGAGGCCAAAAGCCTGACTGGTAAGAAAAAAACTTACCTTTTGACAGAATGTCAGACTTCATTCCCTCCCCCTGTTCTCAATCCCAAGCCAACCATTTTAAGGCTTGGGAAATTAACTATTCCCTGTTTGGAGGATATGTCTGAGGGAAGTGTCCTGCAGCATGGGGACATAACCATGCATCTGTGAAAAGAGGACAGAGGAAGAAAAAAGAAAAGGCATTTCTTCAAAGGACTCAGGATGCATTGGAAAGACATGCAGGCTGAAGATGAATGGCTACTCATCTAGAAAGAGGGGAGCAAATGTCCATGGTTCCCTCCTCTTCCTAGCAAATACCCAGGGTACATGAAGGATAGAAAGTGAGGCATCCCTCTTTCTTTCTCCAGTCCTTATATCCTTGAGTCCTGGTGACCATGACAGAGTGCCACCACTCTGTCAAAGCGGTTTTCAACCATGTTTACAGGGGGTCTAGGGGGTGGCATTATCCATTCTTACCCACATATACCCTATCTCCTCTGCTATCAGTAACCTTTGAATTCTGAGACTTGAAATTTAGTTTGGGATAAAAATGTGTCTCAAAGGATAGCACAGACTCCTTATCATAAGCTGAATGGTAAAGTAAAGCTGTGGAATTGAGTCCTCCTTCAACAAGGCGGGGAAGAGTTTGTCTTGTGAATTGGGCTCCTAGCCTAGTAAAACGTCTTATAAGAGAGGGGAAAAAAAAAAAAGCCTCTCACTTAAAAGTTAACTCCTGACCTGGTGAAAAGAAAAAAAACTTCAATGCAGGGCTATGTTAACTGCTGACAGGGTGGAGAAAAGGAATTTAAACAAACAAACAAACAAAAACAGCTTAAATACAGAGCTGTGTTAACTGCTGACAGGGTGAAGAAAAAGAAAAATATGCCTGGGGAAGAAACCTCTTACTCTTATGCAAATGCGTTTCTCCAACAAGGAGAGAAACTTTAAATTGCTGTTTCTTCCCTAGGCTCAGACCAAGACCAAGCTGGACCCCTCAGATGGAGGAAGGGAAGACTCTGTGGGTACATGGCAGGAAATGCTGGTGTATTAGTCTGTTCTCATGCTGCAAATAAAGACATACCTGAGACTGGGTAATTTATAAAGGAAAGAGGTTTAATGGACCCAGAGTTCCACACGGCTGGGGAGGCTGAAGGTGAAGGAAGAGTAAAGGCATATCTTACATGGCAGCAGGCAAGAAGACATGTGCAGGGGAACTCCCCTTTATAAAACCATCAGATCTTGTGAGACTTATGCACTATCACAAGAACAGCACAGGCAAAACTCTCCCCCATGATTCAGTTACCTCCAAGTGGGTCCCTCCTATAACATGTGGGGATTATTACAATCCAAGCTGAGTTTTGCATGGGGACACAGAGCCAAACCATATTAGCTGGCCAGCTGGCAGTGTGGGTCCTGGGCTCTTGAGGCTGCTTTGGGCCTGAGCAGTGGCTGTGGCTCAGTCCCACCCTGCATGGCCATTGGACACCACTAACATATGCAGTGGACAGAGTCATGCTCCGCGGCCAGGAGGGAAGGGTGCAGGAAGCTGCTGCTCACCCATCCATCCCATGCACATGCCTGCAGCCATTGGGGTGGCCACTGAGGGCCAGAACACTGAGGGGTAGAACACCTCTAATATTGTAAAACAAAAGATAGGTGCCATCACAGTCCTGAAAAAAGAAGGAAAATGCCATAGAAAAGGCTGGAGTTGATCGAGGCCAACACTCCCAACTCCCAACAGCAAACGGGAAGGTGGGCCACTGTTTTCTCTACCCTCAGAAGAAGACTGAGGACAAGAAGACTCAGAAACAAAAGGGAAATAAATTTTTTGTTCCACATTTTACTCACTCCACTTCTCGTCCCCATATGGGCCACCAAAAAGATGCAGAATTTTTGTTCCTTAGTTCAGCTAAAATCCGGGTTCTTGTCTTATGACCAGGAAAAATTAGGCACATGGACACACTGAAGGATGAGGAGAGCAGATTCGTTAGGCAAAAAGAACGCTCTCAGCAAAGAAAGAGGGAGTCCTGCCTACAGGCTCCCATCTTACAGATTGACTACCAGGCCACCACAAAAGAGCTGAAGAGGCCTGGCTCCTCCCCATGCATATGGCACTAATTCCCGGTGGCTCCACCCCATTCTGCCCCGTGCACGTGCAGGCCCCCAGTCCACTGCAGGCATGCCCAGCCAAGACCCCATGTAGGTTCCCTTATCAGCCTTCTCCGTCTATCACTTGTGGGAAAGTTTTTAATAATGCATTCAATTTATGTAATATTTCCTATTTTCTTTGGACCATTCAGATTTTCTGGTTTCTTTGTTTGTTTGTTTTTGACAGTGTTTATATAGAAATATGTCCCTTTCATCTCAATGTTCAAATTTACTGATATACATTTTTTCATAATACCCATTTATAATCAATTCAATTTCTAAGAATTACTCTTTTGTTCCATTATGTGTTTTCTTTCCTTTATCTTTTATCAATTTTCCTTGCTCAGGTAATCTTATGTATTTTTGAAGAAACAACTTATATTTTCTTTTTCACAGGCAGGGTCTCGCTTTGTTGCCCAGTCTCTGCTTGAACTCCCAGGCACAAGGGATCCTTCCACCTCAGCCTCCCGAGTAGTTGAGACTGAAGGTGAACCACCATGACCAGCTTAGAAACAACTTTTCAACTGATTTTTCTATTAAATATTAAGTAAAATACCAGTCATTTTATTTGAAAGTATAATGTATGACTGAAAAGAATAGATATTCTCCATCTATTAAATATAATCATAAATATAATGAGGTCAAGTTTGATATTCAAGTCATTTAGTGCTGCTATATCTTAATTTCTGATTTTTATATGCTTCTTAGACCTTACTGCATAATCTATGCTAAAATATTCAACTCTGATAGAGAATTTATTAGTTTTTCTTTTTGCATATCATAAATTTTTGGTGTATGCATACTCAGATTATATTACTAGTTACACAAAATTTAGTTTTGTTTTACTCTATTAATACATTAAACATTTTTTATATATTTGAATTTGTAGTAATAATTTTTGCCTTAAAAATGCTTCTGATCTCGTTATCTCTACAACTTTCTTTTGGTTAACTTTTGTATGGCATATATTTTAACTATCTTTTTACTTGTATCTGCTAAAGAGCACACAGCTGGGTTTTGTTTCCTTTCCTGTTTGAATATTTGTGTCATTCATTTGAAGATCTTATTGCATTTATTTTTAATTACTACTATTTTGAGTATCAAATCTACAGGATTACTAGCTACTGTCTTCTTGTCCTACATGGGTTACTTTTTTACCCTCCTTCTGCATTTTTAAAATTATTTTTTATTATTGCAGTTTTTATCCATGATTAATATGAGAGTTATATATTCTTTCACTATTTTTTTAGATGCTATCCTGGTGATTCTAACATGGAGGCTGAACTTACAAAGTAAACCTTTTATGACACTATTATTATTGAATAATATAAATACATTTTAAAATTTAGTTAAATATATCTTCTCCCTCCTGACCTCACATTATAGTCAAGTTTATTAATTTTTATATACATAAAACCCTCAATGCCTTATTATTATTCAGTCAATAAATATTTATACTTAACAATATTTATTATTTAATTGCCTTACAGTAGTTTCTACATCTTGAAGCTGCTGAATGGTATCACTATTTTTCCTTTCTGAAAAAAATCCTCTGCATTTTTTTAATGTGGATATTTCAGTAATAAGTTTTCCCATTATTTGCCTGAAATGTATATATTTTGCCTTTATCTTTAAAGAACATTTTCATTGGATATAAAGTTTCAGACTGGCAGTTTTCACATGTAACATTACGAAGCTGTCAGTCTAACTGCCGCTTTGTGAAGTCAGTCTTCTCTTTTCACGGAGTTGACTCCTTTACACATTTTATCTTTGTCTTGGGCATTTCTATGTATCTAGGTAGGTATATTATTTGTGGTTGTTGATCATCATTATCACATTATCTTAGTGGCATACAACAAGTGTGTACTCTCAATCAGAGGTCTCCAAATGGTCTGTGCACCTATATTTAATATACTTCTCATCCTCTATGGATAAAGGTCTATTGACAGCATGTATACAATGTCATTCTCTGTGTCTTATAACAGTTTTGATTTAATGTCTATTTGTCTGTTATTAGTATAGCCATGACTGCTTTCTTGGGTTACTGTTTACACAGAAAACCTCTTTCCATTCTCTCACTTTCAACCTATCCATGGCTTTAGATCTAAAGTGCATCTCTTACAGATTGCCAATCTATGTCTTTCAATTGGGGAGTTTAGTTCATTTACGTTTAAATTAATTACTGATAGAAAAACACTTACTTTTGTGATTAACATGCTAAAAACATTTTGTTATTTGTTTTGGTATGTCTTATAAATTCTTTTTCCCTCATTTCTTTCATTACCACCTTTTTTTTGGTTTGTAGTTGATTTTTTGTAGTAACACTTTGATTCCTTTCTAATTTTCTTTTGTGTTTATTCCATAGATGTTTACTTTGTGATTATGTTATTGTTAATATTATATGTCAGCTTGTCTAGCCACAGAAAGCTCAGATAGTTGGTTAAACGTTATTTGGTTAAACAGATAGTTGGTTAAATATTATGATTCATGTGTGTGAGGGTGTTTTTGGATGAGATTAATATGGAAATCCATCAGTGGAGTAAAGAAGGTTGCTCTCCCAAATATGGGTGAGCCTCACCCAATCATTTGAAGAATTGAATACCATAGAAAGCTGATCATCCTCCAAAGAAAAGAGAATTCCTCTTGCCTGACTGCCTTTGAGCTGGTACTATTTTCCTCTTGCCTTCAGACTGAAATTGAAACATTGACTCATCCCAGGTCTTGGGTTGGCCAGCCTTCATACAAGAAGTACACTATTAGATCTCCTGTGTCTCAGGCTTGATGACTACAGATTTGGAAATTGTCAGCCTCCATAATCACACCATGTGTACCAATTCCTGTCATTTATGTGTGTGTGCACATATATTTATGTTATATATATATGCTATATATGCAATTTTTTTTCTTTTTGGGAAAAAGTACTTATTTTCTGTGTGGCAGTATTATGTTAACTGTGACTCTAATCATGTCCTTTATCTTTAAATAATTTTATAATCTTACTATCATGATAAATATTTGGACCTTATGATTACATAGGTCCGATAATAGAAAGAAGTCATACAAGTCTTTAATAAAGTGTATGCTATAACAACAAAGGAAAAAAGAACAAGAAAGCTGTGCAGACCTAAGCAGCTTCTAAATGCAGTTCACCGGCTCCCTTTCTTACTCTCATAAGATGGACTTTATCTCTGGATTTTGAACGACTAACATATGTACGAGAAATCTTCATTTCAGAAGAAATTTTTTAAAAAGTTTTCAGAAAGGTTTTTTATGCCCTACTGGCCACCTAGTCAAGAAATCCTGTGGCCAATACTTGGATAACTATTGGCCAATAGTTGGATGTGTAGATTGAAGTGTAAATTTTTAATCTATGCATCTCTAATGAATACAAACAAGCTGGCCCTGAGTGACACCAAGAGAGTTTTGAATTTTAAACAGCATTTTATAAATCAATAGCTAGCTTAATCCATTCTTACCTTGGTCAAGAATCAGTACCAGACTTCCATATATTCTTGAGGTAAGCAGAGAATACATCTTATGTAAGACTTAAAAACACTCATGCTAATTAAGTACTCTATCCCATATCCAGAAATTTGAATTGGGAATAACAAATTGATACATATAAAATTCGGGTCATGTTACAGTCATATGGGCTGGAAAAGGAAAATACATTTTATAGGCAGAAACAAATATGACACAGACAAGAGAAGCACACATGGTAAATTAAAAGACCCAAGATACTTTAACTGTATTCTCATTAGACTTCTTGTATATTCTGGGAGTAGAGATTTCTAGCTTCGTAACCATCTCTGCTTCTCATATTCTTCCTGGTCAAATGAATACTGAACAATTATGGCCAAGAAAATAACTAGGACAGTCTGAGACTTGGGTACACTTGGTCCATTTCTGCACTTTTTGAAAATGATATCTAATCTCTTCAAATTGGTGTGACACAGATCACAACATTTAGTTGAGTTCAGAAACTTGTTATGGGAAGTACGAATCATGTATATCTGAAATATTTGAAGTTTGTTCAGTTTGCTATATAGAGGTTAAAATGTGACTATCAGATTACTTAAACTTACTGATTTTTAAGGTGTTTTTAGAGTAGCATAGGTATATGAAAGTATAAAATAACATTTATAGGAAATTTGGTGAATGCTGCATAATTTGCAGAATAGGAGAGGACAGAAATAGACCCTTCAACTGGTGAAAGACATCATTTTTTACTTCCTAGTAGTTTATATCATTAAATAAGATACACAATAATTCAGAATTACTCAGTACTCATCCATCAAGGGCTCACAGACTCCCAGAGAAAGGTTCATAGGCTGTAATATTATTTCAGACAATAAAGGAAATAATAAAGCTAAGTAAGTTTTGTACAATTTTATTTGAATGTAGGAAGCAAAATAATATAATTAAAATAACATGTCATGAATGGGTCTTACTTTGCAAAAAACAAAAAAGCTTTATGTACTTACAATTCAAATGAATCATTTACTTCCTATAGGAAATTGATGGATCTGAATTTTTCCGTGAATTGCTGTTCTGCAAACATAATCCTTGAAGAGTTATTTCATATCATCTTTTCTAACAAAACATTTTATTCCATTTTACAACACATTGACAAGCCTCTCAAAATAATTAGTAAATGTTAGCAAAATACTCCAAAGAAGACATTCATTAAGAATAGAATTTAATTTACATGGAAAGATACCCATTAAATAACTTACACATTACCACATATCTTGAAGTACTCATTAGAGTCCATTTTCTTACCTTTAGTGTTTGTTCCACTTCATAGACACAATCTTTTTGAAAATTACCATTTGAGTGCTTATTCATAATCTGTATTTTATTAAATGTTAACGTAATTGATAAAGGAAATGAACCAAACCAAATTGTTCACAGAAAAAAAGACACATTGAGATTCTGTGAACACATTTCACTGAATTAAAAAAAAATGAAACTGTGAAACTTTTCATTTTGTCACAAAATTTGAAAGTATGGAGATGTGTATCTTTCATTGCTGAAGACTTTATTATGCACTGACATTCCTGTTGAGAAATCATATAATTATAGAGTGAATCAAGAACTCATATCTTTTTTAGAGTTTGCCAAGGGCAAGGGTTAGGGGAAAGTAAAAAAATGTATATAGAAACCACATGTCTATTAAAAATTAGCCCAGCGTTGTGGTGGATGCCTGTAATACCAGCTACTTGGGAGGCTGAGGCAGGAGAATCACTCTAACCCGGGAGGGAGAGGTTGCAGTGAGCCTAGATCATGCTAGTGCACTGCAGTCTGGGCAACAGAGTGAGACTCTGTCTGAAAAAAATATACATATATACATATGTATATATGTGTGTGTGTATATATATATATATGTATATATACATAATGTTGGTATTTTGATAGAGATTGCATTGAATCTGTAGATTGCTTTCGGCAGTATGGTTATTCTAGTAATATAAATTCTTCCAATCAGTGAGCATGGATCTATTTATGTACCATACGATTTGCTATTTCAGAGTGTACAAGTCATATATGCCTTAATTTAAAACACTTTATTGCTAAACAGCGCTAACAATCATCTGAGCCTACAGTGAGTTCAAATATTTTTATTGGTGAAGAGTCTGGTCTCCACGTATATATATGTGTATGTCTCCATATATATATGTGTGTGTATATATATATATATATATAGAGAGAGAGAGAGAGAGAGAGATAAAATATTATACACAGAATATGGCAATTGTGTTAATTACATATTTGCTACTTAAGACAAACAGAGAAACAGCTAAACATTCTAAAACTTAATACTAATAAATCACTATTTAAATAGGCAGGAATAATAATACCCTTATTTAAAATACTCTTGGTTTTTATGCACTGACACAAACCTAATTCAAACTAGAACGTGAGCTTACTCTCTATATCTCTGGAAAGTTAATTCTTACTCTATATTTACTATATAACATTGACAACACATAATGTTCTCCATTTTCAAATATACATAATATAAATAAAATATAGTCATAACTCCTTATACTGCACTTCACTTTATTGTACTTTGTAGATACTGTGTATATGGTAGATACTGTGTATCATATATATGAGATATATTATATATATAATATATATATTATATATATATAATGCTTGTGGCAACCTTGAGTCCAAAAAGTCTATATGTTTCATTTTTCCAACAGCATTTGCTCGCTTTGTGCTTCTGTGTCACATTTTGGTAATTGATTTACATACTTATGGGCTACACGTGATATTTTGATACAAGCATACAACATGTAATGGTCAAATCTAAGTAACTGGAATATTCATCACCTCAGACATTTATATTTTGGGGGGAAATTTTGAATATGCTCCTTAATTCCATGAAGGCTGAGAAGGGCGAGGAAGCTGCAAAGAAAAGTTTGAAGCTAGTGTAGGTTGTTCATGAGGTTTAAGGAAAACAGCCATTTAACATAAATGTTCAAGATGAAGAAGCAAGTTCTACTTAGAAGCTGCAGCAAGTTATACAGAAGATTTAGCTAAGATAACAGATAACAGTGGCTATAGTAAACAACAGATTTTTGAAGGTAGACAAAACATTCTTCTGTCGGAAGAAGATGTCACCTAGAGCTTGCATAGCTCGATAGGAGACATCAACGCCTGACTTCACGGCTTCAAAGGACAAACTGTCTCTCTTGTTAGGGGCTAGCACAGTTGCTGACTTTAAGTTGAAGCCAATGTTCATTTATTAATCCAAAAATCCCAGAGTCCTTAAGAATTCTGCTAAATAAACTCTCACATATAACCTGAAGGTGTTCAAGACTTTAGTGGAAGAAGTTACTGAACATGTGTTGAAAATTGCAAGTGAACTAGAATTAGAAGTGGAGCCTAAAGATGTGACTGAATTGCAGGAATCTCATGATAAACCTTCAACAGATGAGGAGTTGCTTCTTATGAGTGAGCAAATAAAGTGTTTTCTTGATATGGAATTTACTCCAGGTGAAAGTTCTGTGAACATTGTTGAAATGACAACAAAGGATTACATATCACATATACTTAGCTGATAAAGCAGCAGCAGGCTTTCAGAGTGCTGACTTCAGTTCTGAAAGTAGTTCTATTGTGGGCAAGATGCCATCAAACTTCTGGCATGCTACACAGAAATATTTTCTGAAAGGAAGGATTAATGGATGGGGCAAACTTTATTGTTTTCTTATTTTAAGAAATTGCCATAGCCAGCCAAATCTTTATCAACCACTGCACTGAGCAGTCATCAACATGGAGACCAGACTCTCCACCAATAAAAATATTTGGACTCACTGTAGGCTCAGATGACTGTTAGCACTGTTTAGCAATAAAGTGTTTTAAATTAAGGCATATATGAGTTGTATGCTTTGAAATAGCAAATATTATGGTACATAAATAGATACATGCTCACTGATTGGAAGAATTTATATTACTAGAATAACCATACTGCCGAAAGCAATCTACGGATTCAATGCAATCTCTATCAAAATACCAACATTATTATTATTATTATTATTATTATTATTATTATTATTATTATTACTTTGACACGAATCTCTCTCTTGTCCCCCAGGCTGGAGTGCGATGGCGCAATCCATCTAGGCTCACTGCAACCTCCACATCCCGCGTTCAAGCAATTCTTCTGCCTCGGTCCCACAAGTAGCTGGGATTACAGGCACTTCTGCATGCCTGGCTAATTTTTGTATTTTTAGTCGAGACAGGGTTTCACCATGTTGTCCAGGCTGGTCCCAACATTATTTTTTACAATATTAGAGAAAATAATTCTAAACTTCATATGCAACAGAACATACCTTGAATATCCAAGGCAATCCTAAGCAAAAAGAACAAACATTATCTGACTTCAAATTATACTACAAAGCTGTAGTAACCAAAACAACATGGTGCTGGTATAAAAATAGACAGTAGCTCCTGGATGACATTTCTTTAGACACACCATGGTTCAATTTTGATACGACTGTGTATGTCTAGGAACTTACTCATTGCTTCTAGATTTTCAAATTTATTGGCGTACAGTCACTCACAGTAGTCACTAATGATTCTTTGAATTTCTGCCTATCAGTTGTACTATCTCCTTTTCATCTCTAATTTTATTTATTTGTAACTTCTCTTTTTTTCTTAGTCTGGCTAAAGTTTTGCCCATTTTCTTTATCTTTTTAAAAACCCAACTTTTTGTTTTGATCATTTTTTGTATTTTTTTATCATTTCAATTTCACTTATCTCTGCTCTTAGTTTATTATAGCTTGATTTAGGATTTGGTTGACTTTTGCTCTTCTAGTTCTTTGAGATATATCATTATGGTGTTTATTTGAAGTTTTTCTTCTTTTTTGAGACGGAGTCTCGCTCTGTCGCCCAGGCTGGACTGCGGACTGCAGTGGCGCAATCTCGGCTCACTGCAAGCTCCGCTTCCCGGGTTCACGCCATTCTCCTGCCTCAGCCTCCCGAGCAGCTGGCACTACAGGCGCCCGCCACCGCGCCCGGCTAATTTTTTGTATTTTTAGTAGAGACGAGGTTTCACCTTGTTAGCCAGGATGGTCTCGATCTCCTGACCTCATGATCCACCCGCCTCGGCCTCCCAAAGTGCTGGGATTACAGGCGTGAGCCACCGCGCCCGGCCCTTCTTTTTTGATGTACGTGCTTATAACTATAAATTTCTTCTTCGTTCTGCCTTATTTGTATCCCATACATTTTTGTATGTTGTGTTTCTATTACCGTTTGTTTCAAGCAATTTTTCAATTTCTTCTTAATTTCTTCATTGACCACTGTTTATTCAGTAGCAAATTGTTTAATTTCTATGTGTTTGTATAGTTTCCAAAATTTCTCTTGTTATTGATTTCTAGTTTTCTTCCATTGTGATCATAAAAGATGCTTAATATTATTTTAATATTTTTAAAATTAATACCAATCTTACCCAAACTATCCCAAAAATAGAAGCAGGGGAAATATTTTTAAACTCTTTCTATGAAATCAGTATGACCTTTATAGCAAAACCAAAGACACATCAAAAAAAGGAAAATACAGGCCAATATCTTTGAATATTGATTAAAAGTCCTCAAAAAAATACTAGCAAGTCAAATTTAGCAACACATTAAAAAGGTCCTTCATCATGACCAAGTAGGATTTATCCCCAGGATGAAAAGATGGTTCTACATTTTCAAATCAGTCAATGTAATATATCATATCAACAGAATGAAGGACAAAAGCCATATGATTATTTTAATTGATGCTGAAAAATATTTGATAAAATTCAACATCTTTTCATAACAAAAACTCTTAAAAACTAGATATAGATGGAACATACCTCAATATAATAAAAGCTGTATGTTCTACCACAGCTAGTATCACACTGATGAGGAAAAACTTTTTAAATTTTTTTGTCAATGATATTTTGTAGACATCAGTATACAGCTCTTATACTCATTTTGTTGTATTTATTCCTAAACTTTATTATTTTTGATGCTATTGTACATTTAATTGTTTTCTTAATTTCACTTTTGTTTATTGCTGGTGTATAAAATTATATTTTTATATATTGATCTTGTATTCTTAAACTTGTTGAATTTGTTTAATAGCTCTAATATATTTTGCATAGAATCCTTGGCTTTTTCTACATACAAGATTATATCATGTGTAGATAGAAATAGTTTTACTTTTTATTTACTGTATGAATGCCACTTAAAAAAATTATTGGGAGGCTAAGACAGGAGAATTGCTTGAACCCAGGAGGCAGAGGTTGCATTGAGCCAAGATCATGCCACTGCACTCCAGCCTGGGTGACAGAGCAAGATACCATCTCAAAAAAAAAAAAGAAAAAGAATGTAACTTTGATATATCTCAGAGCTACGAGAAACATGATGTTCTTACTAAATTAATGTATTTTCGATTGCATGTGGGAAAGACATAACTTGTTGCATCCAAAAAACTATGATATTCTGAAGTTGTTGTTGTTAAAATGAATATATATGTATATACATATATACACACACTCACAGAGTGATTTTAAAATAGAGTTTTTGTGAAAGAGTAATGTGAAATACATATGTTCAAGTTTACATTTTAAAGAAAACATAATTTAAACTCATTCTGACAAAGAGGACCAGATTCTGTTTAGAATTAAGATGAGAAGATGTCTTATCTATTTATTTATTTATATGTATGTCATTATGCTTATGAACACCACCACTAAATAGTATCCCTACCCTAACAATGGTAGCTAAAAAGAAAATTGGAATCTTTATAAATGAGTAACTTCATGTCAATATTTTTGGCTAACATAGGCTTCAAGCTCAGCAGAAAAATCTTTTCTTTGTTCATTAATTCAGCAATTATTTTTTGAACTGCTAACGTGTCTAGCGTTGGGATAGAATCTGGTAACAAAACAGATGCAAATCTATATTGGGCTTACATGCTAGTAGATGGAAACAGTAATCACAGTGGGTAAATAATATAATACATAGTAGGAGACAAAGCTCTGGAAAAAATTAGAGCATAAAATGGAAATTGGGGATGTCAGGTTGGGTTTGGGAAGTTTGCAATTTAAATAGAGTAGTCAGGATAAGCTTAATGAAAAATTTGACATTTTAGAAAAGGCTTGCAAGAGCACAGGGAGAGTTCCATGAAGATAGCTATAGAAGCGTGTTCCAGGTTGAATAACTAGTGTAAAATTTGGAAGAAACATGAATTAGATGTTTTTAAGGAAAAACAAGGGGGAAAGTATGGCTTGGGTAGAGTGAACAAGAGTAGTAGAAGATGAAGTCAGACATAGTGACACAAAGAAGCCAGCTAGGAGGAAGGTGCAAAAATGCAAGTGAAAGATTTTGAGAGTTTAAACCAAGATAGTGAAAGCATAAAAAATGGTTCAATTCAGAGTTAATTTTCGTATGTCTATTACATATCTAAGTAAATTCATCAATGATAAAGGAAAAGGGAAAGGTACGAGATTTTAAATATAAGTTTGGAACTTAGGAATATTTAAATGCTTGAAACCGTAAGAGTGGATGAGGGCACCTAGGTAATTTATATAGACAGAGAAGATTTAAAAGCTGGAAAGAAGAAATTTGAAAAGAGAATGAGAGGAGTCTAGTGATAAAGAAGGAAAACAAAGATCACATGTTTTAGCATCCCAGTGAGAAAAGTGTTTCCAGTGAGGAATAACTGTATGCATCAAATATTGCTGACATGTGTAGTATCTGAGAATGATCTTCTGTCTTATAAGTATATGAACCATAGTTATCTATAGCTTACTCTTTTACTAAAAGTTGGAATATGTGCTAGTCCTCTAATATTAACTTGCTTCCAAAAAAAAAAAAAAACTGTTAAAAACATGATTTGCCCTAGGATCATTGTAAAAGTATTTTAATTGAGATATATTTTTAAGTAAATGGTCACTAGTGTGGTGAACACAAATGAAGTGTGGTATAAATATCTGTTTATTCTAATGTTTATTTTGGCATCTGCCTTAATAACTTGAATCTTTGTAAGACAGTAAACCATAGAAAGTTTTGAGTTCTACAAAATTTAGCTTATAAGAAAGCAAAATAAACTGATAAAGGAAATAAAATAATGTTGCTGCATTCACCTGTTAGGCACTGCATGGTGAAGAACTATGCTAATGTCAAGAAGAAAGATATCTCCTCTCTACTTCTCTAAAAGAGATTGTAAAATTATTTTCTTCTGTTCAAGAAAATTAGCAGTTATACAGTTTGACACAGTTCATAAAGAATTGCAGCAGAATATTTTACTTTCTCTCTTTATGCTTCTGCAAATTGAATTGGCATTTAAGGAAATAAGGAGCTAGCAAATAGAAGACAGCTTTCCTTATCTCTCAAAGTTTTACTTAACAGAGGCAGAGACCAATGAAATAATTTTTAACATGACAATGCATTTTCAATCCCTAGTAAATTTACAGTGTTGGGTAGTTATCTATTACATCATATTTGTTTTTGTTTTGGGACAACAATTCAGTAAAAAAGTTTTTAATGTTTTCACTTTATGAAGTGATAAGGACAAAGGGTTTAAAAATGACTAAGGACTAGTGAGGACTAGTGAGAGAAGAACAATAATACACTTAAGTATATATATTTTAACCTGGCAAACAAAGTAACAGGTGCCAACAATCAGGTGTTAATTGTGTGACTGTTAAAAATAAATGTTAAAATTTAAGTTTATAAATACATTTAAATAAATTGTCATGTCAATATTATTTGCAAATAAAATAATACTAAATTATTTCCATTGTATTTGCTTTAATAGAAAAAAACATTTTCAAGGAGAGCTCTTTACTATCTTATAATGTTGTTTGTTTTTGATAAAACTTGAGTAAACCCGTATTTTTATATATTAAATATGTTATTAAGATTGTAGTGGAAAATGTTGGAGAATCTAGATAAAATCCATAATTAGCTACCAATTCTGTATTAGTATGAATTATATTATTACAGTTTCCTTTGGTATTTTATGCATAAATGTATCTTTCATCCCTTCTTCCTTATTTTCTTCCTTTCCTTCTCTTCTTCCTTCCTTCTTTTTTTTTTTGTTTTTTTGAGACAGAGTCTCTCTCTGTCACCCAGGCTGGAGTGCAGTAGTGCTATCTCAGCTCACTGCAAGCTCCGCCTACCGGGTTCACGCCATCCTCCTGCCTCAGCCTCCCTAGCAGCTGGGACTACAGGAGCCACCACCACGCCCGGCTAATTTTTTTGTATTTCACCGTGTTAGCCAGGATGGTCTCGATCTCCTGACCTCGTGATCTGCCCGCCTCGGCCTCCCAAAGTGCTGGGATTACAGGTGTGAGCCACCATGTCTGGCCCCCCTTCTTTTTATATTTTGTTGCATTATAACAAACACAAAAATGTATAAGCAAAAGTTACAAGTGATAACCTTTATCTAAACACACTTATGGAATAAGCATCTAGATAAAGAAACAGGACACTTCTAGATGCTGAAAATTTCCTGTATTCCTTCAGGTCAAAATAACAACCCCCAGAAGAGTAAACGCTATTCTGACCTCTAACATTAGAGATTAATGTTTTTTGTTTTCAACTCTACATGGAAGAAATACATTTTCTGTACTCTTACTTTGCTCAAAATGTTATTTGTGATATTTATCCATATTGTTGCTGTTTTAGTTCATGCACATCCATCTCTAAATAGTGTTCCATTGTGTGAACATATCATAATGTTTTGATTCAGTCAAACCCATTTGGCTAGTCCACAGTGTTTGACTATTATGAAAAGCACTATTAAAAATACTTGCACGCATTTTTTAGTAAACATACATAAACTTAATGGATTGGCTATATACTTAGAGGTATAGTTGCTTGTAATAAAATGTGCATACGTTCAGCTTTAATAGAGATTGTCAAATATCTACTAACTTGTTGCAGTAATCCGTTATCTTCACTAACAGTATTGTCTGTCTTTTTACTATTAATGGCTCTGGTGAATGAGTAATGGTATGACCTTAGGGGTTGAATATGCAGCAAATTAAATTTTTATAATTTTTATTATCCATTTGGTGATCTCTTTTGTCAAGTGCTTATTGAATCCTTTGCCAATTTTTCTATAGGGTTATCTATTTCCTGTTAATTTGTTAAAATTCTTGATGTATTCTAAATATAAGACATTGGTTGGATATGCGTATTGTAAATTTTACCTCTAACTCTGTGAGTTACATTACCTTTTTTTTTTTTTTTTTTTTTGAGACGGAGTCTCACTCTGTCGCCCAGGCTGGAGTGCGGTGGCCGCAATCTCGGCTCACTGCAAGCTCTGCCTCCCGGTTCATGCCATTCTCCTGCCTCAGCCTCCCAAGTAGCTGGGACTACAGGCACCCGCCACCACACCCAGCTAATTTTTGTATTTTTAGTAGAGAGGGGTTTTCACCTTGTTAGCCAGGATGGTCTCGATCTCCTGACCTCATGATCTGCCCGCCTCAGCCTCCCAAAGTGCTGGGATTACAGGCGTGAGCCACCGTGCCTGGCCTAAATTACCATTCTTTTCATGGTTACTCTTGATGAAGATAAATTATTGATATCAATATCACCCAATTTATAAAAAATATCATGTGATCTGGGCATTTTAATGTTCTATTTGTCAAACATTTGCCTACTGCAAGTTCTGAAGATATTCTCCCAGGTTTTATTCTAAAAAACTTATTTTTCATGTTCATATTTAGAGCTACAATTCAGAAAACTTATACTTGGGTATGATACAAAGTAAGAGAGATGAGGTGATCTAAATTAATATTTGTTGCCCTAAATGGTTGAATAAATATCTCTTAATTAGAAAGATAAAATCTAAGACTATTGAGAAAAGTTGCACTATCTCTGTCCTACTTTTCATTATAAAAAGTAAGATGAGGGTACAGCTGTGAAGATATTCCATTTATGTATAATAGAGGTTGGGAGTAGGATTCAAGAGGACTCAAAGAAGACAAAAGAGAGATACAAAGTAGTGAGTTAACAACACCTGACCAAGGAAAGCTAAAGAAGGGGTTAAAAAAATAAAAACCCACAAAACATTCAAACTTGCAATACATGGAAAATTGCTTTCTGCATATTCCAAAATATAAAATATCACAGAGGCAAGATATGGTCCAAAAAAAAAATATGGCATGTTTGGTGAGGAAGTATTTAAACAGACCATTATCACTTAGTCAAGTGCTAGATGTTAAACCTTGTCAGGAATTTTCTGAGAATACCTCACTTTATGCTCAGGCACTAGCATAAGTCACATAACTAATCATAGAGCAATTTCTAGAAAGGGAATCAGAGTACCAATATTAGTTTAAATTAATCATCTGGATTGGTAAGGATATTAGGAACATTACAAGATGAAATAGTTTGCCTACATGGGGTTAATTTTTATGTTTATTAAATTTATGTCTGTATGCCCTGAGCCTATACTAGTTGTTTTTATGACTCTTTCTTGTTTTCCCTAAAGGATGTGATCCACTTCCAGGACTGTTTACTTATTTCACACTATCTATTAAATTAAGGTTGTTATCATAAACCCTATATAGACTTACATTTTTTGGTCCTCATCAATTTTCTGAGAAAAGTTTTTCTGTCTATAGTTATTTATGTATAAATTTCTTAATATGATTTGATCAATTTTTATTTTATATACCTTACAACTAGGATAATATATGGTTTAATAGTTATCATACCTTCTTAAATTTCCCTCTTGCCAACAATATATATTCATTTTATTCTTTTTTAAGCACTTTATCTTGAGTTATACTTTGTCTTCTTTCTTTTTGTAAGCAATCATCTTGTATGTGATTTTTACCTTTTTATGTCTTCCTGTTTCAGTGATTTTAGGATGACTCTTATAATGTCATATAGGTGAATTCTATGCTTTAGTTCTTTTAATCAATGTCACTGCATTTTTGAGTATTCTTTATACTTTTATTTTTTAACACTTTTATTTTTCTAACACTATACTTAAATAATGTTTCAATGACTCATTTACCTCCATGTATATTAACTTTTTTCTTAAAATTTTCACCTCTATTTTTAGCTTACTGTCCTAAAAATTGCAATGTAAACTTTCAGCGTGCTACCTGCTCTTCAGCAATGTCTATTTTCTATTAATATAATAATCTAATCATTAAATTTTAAATTCCAAATAATATTTTTTAAAATCTTTTTATGGATACAGTAACTTATCTTTCTGAGGACATTAATTATATGTATTCTAACATTATATCCAAGAAGTATTCATATAATCTAACATGCTTTTAATGTAATTCTATTTATTGAGTTGTGTAAGTCTCTTTCGTGATATTATCTTTTCTCGGTAATTCTTCTTGGTGGTGGCAATTTGTAGTTAGAATGCTAATATGCCTTTTTAATCTCTGCAAAACTTGATAGGAGGGACAGAAAGAGCTAGGAAGGCTTACATTACTGTTTGCCTATGGTAGGAATGAAGGAAGTATGGGGCGTTTTATTGTATATAAAACTTCCCTCTATTTCTTCTGGGGTCACCAATGATCCCAGACACTGTGTTAACATTTTAATTTCACCATCCAGTTATACTGCTTCTGCACAAAAGCACCTTGATTAAAGCTTGATGCCTGGTGGAGAAGGAAACAGCAGACTTCCTGGCTACCACTGTCGTGCTGCCACAACCAATTGCCCTATCCATTGATTTGAACAACCTCCTATTCAAAGTAGCTCCTGCCTCGTTTTTTACTTTCCTCTCCTATGTCTGTTTCGGACCATTACTTTCTTTTTCTATGTTATTCTTTTATTTTTTCAGCTATCCCTCATGAATCCTAGTAGAGAAAACTTTCTTATTTTTCAATGCATTATTTATTTTTTAAAATTACTTTCTTTAGTTTTGTTCACTTAAGAAAGAAAGAATAGGCTACAGTGTTTTCAGTCCATTATATTTATTGGAACTTCTAACATTATATGTAAGTCGTCAAATTTTGCAATATTTACTTTTACTTATATCTACTTTTTCCTTCCTGTTTTCTCTTTAGTTGTTATTGTAAGTGAGAACCAATAAACAGTGTTGATTACTCTTTGCTGAACCAAATAATGTGATCAGGCCCATAGAGATTAAAATATAATCCCAGGTTCCTAAACCTATAATGGTCAAAGAAGATATTCCAAGTTTTAGGGCCTAGAGGTTTCACTTTTTGTTTTCTTTTTTTTAGAAAGCAAGACACTTCAAAACTTAGTGGCTTGAAACAACAGCTATTTATTAAGTCTCACAAATCTACCAGTTGGCTGAGTGGTTTTGCTGATCTTGTCTGGGCTTGTTTCATGTGTCTAAATCAACTAACTCCCTAGTCAGCTGGAGGCTGCATGCTCTAGGTGCACTCAGATTGAACGATTCAGCGCTGCTCAATGTGGTCTCCCCTCTTCCAGGTGACTGGACTTGATGTGTTCTTGAAAAAAGTAAGTTGCAAAGAAAGAGAATAAAAGCACGTAAGTCTCCAGAGACCTAGGCTCAGAACTGGCACACAGTCACTTTCCTTCCATTGGTGAAAGCAAGTAACAGGATCAGCTCAAATTTAAGGGGAAAGGAAATAGATATACTGGGAAAAGTTACAAAGTACCCCCATCTCAATTTTTATTTTGACATTTTTCAAAGATATAGCAAAGGTGAGTGTTTCAACCTACCACTTACATTCTACATTACCCATATATCTATTCAGTTTTCCATCACTCTATCCACCCATCAGTTTATCTTATTTTTGACACACTTCCAAATAATCTGCAGATAGAGCAGTTTCTCTTTTCTGTAACTTCATTTAGCACTCAAAACAATATCACTATTTAATGTTACACTTTGACTACAAACTTATCTTTCTCCTTACAAGCTTTTTATGTATTTAATATTATCTTGGCTATTTCTGTGCAAACTAGTTAAATGTTACTTTGAAATTCTTCTTTTCTCTACATCACCTCAGTTACTCCAGTGGACAGTAATTGTTACTTACTGTGGTCCTCTGTTACGGTTTTGAATTTCTTCAAATGCCTTTTGAATTTAATGAAAATACTACATGAAATAATACTGGTGGCTACATAATTTTCTTCCACTTTTTCTTAAGTCTCTGCAATGAAACAGCTGACAGTAAGGTGTGCGTGAGTGGTGAGATATGTTAACTCCTATACTTCACTTTAGCTTATGTTGTCAGGGAGTGATCTCCAAATGCAAAAATATAAAGTACTCTATTCTTGGGGAACAATGTGAGCAATGGAAGGCTTGGCCTTTCTTAGGCAGATCCCTCAGATTCAAAAGGAACACATCTTGATTTAATATCAATCTCTATACAGGGGCCTGAGAATGGGATGAGGAGAGCTGCTGGTCTTTGTACTGCAATTTAATTCACTCTGATTACTTTCTATCCTCCCACCCCCACTCTTCCTCCAGTCTCTTTCTGATTAGTTATCATAGTCTTCCCCAAGACTCTATATATGCTCTCTGGGTTCCTGTCAAGAGGAAATCCTGTACACACCCCCTACTCCTCTATCACTGCTTCCTGGTCTGGGCACTCTCACTGTGCAGCTTCTTCTGCTCTGGTTTAGCCAACAATATAATCCATAGATTTTCTGAATTCCATCATAGCATCTGGTCTTTGTGTGAGTCCTCTTTCATTCCGTGTCTATTACGGGTATTTTTAAATATCTTTACTGTTGATACAGTGAGATTTGTGGGAAAGAGGATAGAAACATAAGCCAATCTCCCCTCTTGAAATGGACATCTATTATTAATTAACACTCATCAAAATAAATGTTCTTATTGTTATATCTTAGTTGGATAAAGATGAAAAGATAAGACCAAAATCCTGCTCTCTAATCACGATTTATTGTAACAATAATATTATTGTATTATTGTAACATTTTTTCTTGATTCAAAAAAGCTGAAGATGCTAAAATGGGACAGTTTGGGCCATGTTATTTTAAACAATTTTGTCATCCAACCAATATTCTTAGTATTTCCCCTCAAATCCTTTCACTAGTCTTCCTTTTTCATTATTCACAATGTTTATTTCAAAATCTTGCCTGTCTCCCCCATTCATCCTTACAAATTCTTACCTGTTCTTTACAGAGAAAGTAGAAGTTATCAGAGAGAAAGTCCTTTCAATTCTTGTCTCTTTTATTATGAACATGTATGCCTCTGTTTTATCCTTTCTTCTTTCCTTCGTGTCTTGAACATTCTCCTAATAAAGGTAAACCATCCATTTAAAAATCTGTTCCTATCACTTCCTATTATTTCTGGGACCTTGTACTGTTTGCTCTGTCTTCTTGCTCTATTCTTCTCGCTCAGGCTTCGATCTGTCGCCATTTCAATTTCAATACTGCTGATCTGGCAAAGGTCAAAAATAATCTCTTTGTTGAAACATACAATGAACACTGTTTAGTGATCATCAATTTTTAATTCTTTGCATTATTCGGACTTCTAGCCACTTCCATTTTGTTGAAACTCTCTCCTCCATTAAGTTATAGGACCTGATTCTGTTCTACTTCTCTTTCCACTCTTTCTATCTCTCCCTATCAATCTCTGTTCTTGGCTACTCTTCCAGTCTTAGTAAAAGTTAATGTCATATTAGGCCTCCTTCCTGGCTTCTCTTGTAATGTAATGTGTGTGTTCTCTTGCAATATTACTTGACTTCAATTATTGCACAAATCATTCCAAATCCATATATCATTGCCGAGTTCTAATCTGGTTACTAACATTTATATATAGTTTCTCCTAGATATATCTGCCTGATTTACCACTAAGCATCTCAAGCTGAGAATATTCCAAACTGGATGCATTGTAGTTATTATTAGTACTTATCAAATATGTTTTGCTACTATCCGTGCACCTGGCACCACAATAGATGCAGTTGCCCATGTGGAAAACACACTTGACTGTATCCATTCCCTCACTTCTTGAGTCTAATCTAACACCAAGGCATGACCTCCTGGCTTTATTTTTTAAATCTCTTGAACCCATTTTATTTTCCTCACCCCTCAATGTCACATCTCTCATCTTCCACTAGGATTAATTCCGCAAGATTCTAATAGATATCCCAATTTTCATCCTGACATCCAGACAGACTGAAATATCTAAGACAAAGGTGAAAGTAGATTTCCTCTCTGCCCAAAGCCCTATATTAGTCCACTAATATTTTTTAGCATAACAATTATTATATCAATTTCTTATCTTATCAATTTCTCCTTCTGATTCTTTCCTTTTGGAATTCTATCTTCCAAATACATCAAATTACTGATATGTCCTTGAATGCATCATGTTATTTCCCAGTACTTTGCAGAAATGCCACATGCACCTAAAATATGTTCTACTCTCTATCTCTGCTCACTCACACTCATCTAGCTCCTCCTTGACTCCTATAGAGCCTAAGTATAATATATACTCAATAAGTGAATAAAAGAATAACGAATACATTTTTCTATACTCTATTTTCCATTTCACCTTTAAGAGTTTATTTGGTATCAGTGCTCATTTAAACTTGAATTATTTGAGGAAATACCTGTCACAAATTGCTTTAATACCACATAGAAACTGTATTAAATAAATGGGAATATAGAAATTTTTTTTAATAATTTAAGCAGTAATTTGAAATAAATAGTTCAAATCTGAAACTTAATATTTTGCCTACTTTGTCCATTTTGCTGGCTTGAACTTTCCTTTTGTTCAGGGATTAGAATCTATTAGCACTCTTCAAGTCTCATTAAAAATAAATTAATCTTTGTGAAGCTCATTTTAACATTTATCTGAAATTAAACCGAAAAATGTAATTAGTAGAAATTCATGGAAAAGAGCCCAATTTTTATTATGTACCATTAGTAGTATAGTTGGCTTAAAAAACAAAACAAGAATAAACTCAAAAACAAAAGCAAACAAGGAAAAATAATCTGATGTCATTGGTATGGCCTTCACCCAGACAGCTACTGAGGAAGTTTCACAACCTTGGAAGTTAACGAAAATACTCTGGCTTTCCCATAAAACTCACTGTCTCACTGTATTTTTTTTTTTTTTTTTTTTTTTTTTGCTAAAAAAGGAATAATTCTCAATGAAAAATTTGAAACTAAATTTCGGCACAATAAAATGTCAAAGAGGAAAATAATCTATGAGATAATAATGAAAACTGCACTGCTTAAAAGAAAATTATTTCTGAGATAATAGATTCATTTTTACTTTATGGATACATGATAAATCTGATTATAACTGAGGTCATGTGTTAAACCAACAAAAAAAAAATTTCACTGTGAACATCACTGAAAATATTGGCCTCCTATCAAATGCTATCCTCTTAACTGGATCTATTCATCTATTCACACCACCTTTACTCATATGCCCCTAATTCTTCTCAGCCTGTTCTACTTTTCCACCTAGTACTTTAATGTTCTAACATTCTATAAGTATACATACTTATAATATTTATTTTTATTTATGTTACCTCACTAGTATGTAAGTCTCATAAAGGCAGGAAGTTTCATCTATTTTGTTTTCTGTTATAGCCAAGGACCAAGAATACCTGTCATATAGTACTCATTCTGAATAAAACTAGAGAAAGTCAATCATAAAGAATAAAATAGCAAAGAAAGTTTTTTTTTTTTTTGGTGGACAATAAAACAAGCAAATGGAAGTGTATTGGTCCTGGATCATGTCACAATCTAAACTGGTCAATCAGTAGAACTTGCCAGCACCCTCTGTCATTCCATGTCATCTCAACGCAGCCACAGAAGTAACTACATGTCCTAGTTTCTGTGCTTCAGCATGGCATGGGCATTTAATCTATTAGATAGGCAGGTCATTTTATTTTTGCTTATCTTTATTTTGAAATCTAAAAGTTAAATAGTAAAACATTGCAGATATAGTATATATGACTTCTAAGTTCTTCAAATTAAATGAAATTTTTACACAGCAAATTTAGACATAACTTACTTTCTCTCTTTCTTCTTGAAGGTGTCTTTGATTTATTGGATTTTAAAGTGTAGCAAAGCGATAAAATTGTGATTATTGAAGAAGACCAGGATTTCTTTGCTGTCCTTGATATGATGGACAGAAAATAAATCTTAAAAAAGCCCTAAAAATGCATAATAAAATTACCCACTTATTGATGCTTTTCAAGCTAATAATTATAAGCCTGAAAGAACATCAGTACTTGATAGATAGAATAACCCCATTATTTACACATCAACGTTTATTTGACACTGAACCAAACCAAAAGAGTGCTGTTGATGACAGTGTTTAATCTGTAATAAATATGTCACCCATATTTCATTATTGAAAATAAACAAAATATACTTTTATTTGTTGGTTAGTGCATTTTTTTTCTGAAAAATTTCCCAAACATTTTACTTCTTGTTATTAAAATAACTTTGAATATACCATGTTGAATTAAGACACCAACTCTCTCCTCATAAACCAGAGTGAGATTTATACAAATGAGAGGAACATTTCCAAATAGTACTTTGAAAATATCATAAAAAATAAAATTGGGCATTGGTACACTTCATAATGTTGCAAGTGGTGATAAAATAAAGACATAAAATTTGATACTTTTTCTTATATATAGAATATAATTAAAATAAGATATTTTGTGCTGCTATATTCTGCAGCCAATAAAATGGTGGCAGGCATGGTGGCAATCCATAAGCTCAGCAACATGGAGTTCCCCTCACCGAGGCCAACGTGACCATAGCCACTGCTGAGTACCCAATCTTCCAGCAGCATAGACCAACATCAAGTCCTGAAATGATACAATGATACCCTTCCCCAGGAGTGATCAGCCAGCTACCTGGTAGCACATTGATTACATTGGATGTCTACCATCATGGAAGGGGCAGTGTTTTCGTCTTAACTAAAATAGACACTTATTGTTGGTATGGATTTGCTTTCCCTGCACAGAATGATTCTGTGAAAACTACTATCTGCAGACTTACAGATGTCTTCTCCACTGTCATGGTATTTCACAGAGCATGACTTCTCATCGAGGAACTCATTTAACAGCCAATTAAATGTAGCAATGGGCTAATCCTCAAGTAATTCATTGGTTTTACCATGTTCCCTGCCATCTGGAAGCAGCTGGCTTGGTACAACGGTGAATGTCCTTTGAAGACTTAGTTATCATGCCAGGCAGGTGGCAATACCTTCTGAGGGCCTGGAGCAAGGCTCTCCATAGGGCTGTATATTCTCTGATTCAACATTTAATATATGGTGCTGTTTCTTACATAGCCAGGTTTCACAGGTCCAGGAACCAAGAGGTGGAAATGGAAGTGGTAACACTTACTATCATTCTTAGTGGCCTAATAACAAAACGTTTGTTTCTGTTAAGAGAAAAATGTTAGACAAATTAAATTTAACAGCGTTTAATTGAGTGAAGTGCAATTCCTCAGTCAGGCAGTTTCTCCCATCAGAACAGGTTCAGAGAGTTTCAATGGTTGTCTCATGGTTGGAGAGGATTTATGGACAGAAAAAGGAAAGTGACATACAGAAAATGGAAGTGAGGTACAAAAACAGCTGGATTGGTTACAGCTTGGTATTTGCCGAATTTGAACATGTTTTGAACAGTTGGCCACCTTTCATTGGTGAAAACTTGCTGGCTGGTACAAGAACAGAATACAGTGTGTTTACACACCCAGTTAGATTACAATTTAGTATGTACAGAGAAATACTTAAGCCAAACTTAAAATACATAAGGAGGCAGCATTAGGCTATATGTACTTCCTATCTCTATGACCTTACACTCTTCTGACCTGAAAGTCTTAGTTCCAAAGTGAGCAATGCTTCCACCAGGAGATACAAAAATGATTCCCTTGAATTGGAAATTAAGACTGCTACCTGGCCACTTTGTCTTCCTCATGCCTCTAATTCAATAGGCAAAGAAGGGAGTGATTAATACTACACTGACTTGGATGAGTGGATATAAGAAAGAGTATTTCTGGAATACAGAAGAATTCAGGGCATCTGTTAATATTACCATGCTCTGTGATTAAAGTCAATGAAAAACTACAAGCCACTTTCTACAGAACTACTAATGACCCTAGACTCTTCAGGAATAAAGGTTTGATTGCCTGTACCAGGTAAAGAATCATGACCATCTGAGTTGCTTCTTCAAAGAAAAGAGAATACAGAATGATTAGTGGAAGAAGGTAGTTGTACCTTCCACCTATGACCATGTGATAAGTTAAAGAAATGAGGCCTATAGTTGTCATGAGTATTTCTTCTTTTTTTTAAATAGGTGGGTATGCATGTGTGTGTAGCAAATATCTTTGTTTTCTCCCCTCTCTTATCCTCTTATGACATAACAAACGATGTACTCACTCTACATATCGTTACTTACATATTGTTATCTTAACATCATAGTATTTAAGTTACAACGTATCGAGGAGAATAATGAACATCCCCCACATACTTTTCATTCTCTTCTATAGAATAAATTAGTGCATTTTCAATTATATGCAGGACAGTTGTACAGGTATACATCTTTTTATCGTGCTTTATAGTGCTTTGCAAATATTGCATTTTTTACTATTTGAAAGTTTGTGGCAACTCTTTTCAGCAAGTCTATTGGTGCCATTTTTGCAACAATATGTGCTCATTTTGTGTCTCTGTGTCACATTTTAATGATGCTCTCAATATATCAAACATTTTGATTATTATTATGTTTGTTATCATGATCTGTGTTCTTTGATATTACTATTATAATTGTTTTGGGAGTTCATAAACTGCACCAATATATGATAGGGAACTTAATCGATAAATGCTGTGTGTGTTCTGACTGCTCCACTGACTGGCCATTGCCCATTTCTCTCTCCTTGAGCCTCCCTATTTCCTGAGACACAATAATATTGAAATTAGGCCAATTAATTACCCTACAATGACCTTTAAGTGTTCAAGTGAAAGAAAGTGTCACACATCTCTCACTTTAAATCAAAAGCTAGAAATAATTAAGCTTAGTGAGAAGGGCATTGTTAAAAACCAATATAGGCTAAAATCTTGATCTCTTGTGCCGAATAAATAGCCAAGTTGTAAATGCAAAGAAAATGTTATAAATGCAAAAAGAAATTAAAAGTAATACTTCAGTGAACACATGAATGATAAGAAAGCAAAATACCCTCATTGCTGATATGGGGAAAGTTTTAGTGGTCTAAATAAAAGATCTAATCATCCACAATATTCCCTTAAGCCAAAATCTAATCCAGAGCCAGGCCCTGATGCTCTTCAATTTTATGAAGCCTAAAAGAGGTGAGAAGTCTACAGAAGAAAAATTTGAAGCAAGTAGAGGTTGGTTTATGAAGTTCAAGTAAGAAGAGCCATCTCCATATCAAATAAGATGAAGGTAAAGCTGCTGATGTGAAAGCTGTAGCTTGTTATCCAGATGATCTAGCTAAAATAACTGATTAAAGTTGCTACAGTAAACAACAGATTTTCAATGTAGACAAAACAGTCATTCAGTGAAAGAAGATGTTGTCTCTTGCAGAGAGAAAGGAGAATCAACATGTGGCTTCAAAGCTGCAAAGAATATTCTGGATATCTTGTTAGGGGCTAATGCAGCTGGTGACTTTAAGTTAAAGCCAACACTCATTCACCAGTCCAAAAATCCTAAGGCCCCTAAATATTATGCTAAATCTACTGTGTATGTGTTCTGTAAATGGAACAACAAAGCCTGGAAGACAGAACATCTATTTACAACATGGTTTAATAAATATTTTAACCCCATTGTTGAACAGTCCTCAGAAAAAAAGACGCCTTTCAAAATAGTACCGCTCATTGACAAGACACTTGGTCATGCGAGAGCTCAGATATAGAAGTACAAGTAGATTAACGTTGTATGCCTGCTACCACAACATCCATTCTGCAGCTCATTGGTCAAGGAGTAATTTCAATGTTCAATTCTTGTTATTTAATAAATGCATTTCATAAGGCTGTAGCTGCCATAGATGGTGATTCCTCTGATGGACATGTGCAAAGCCAGTTGAAAACCTCCTGGAAAGAACTCATCATTCATTTTTTATTTTTTTATTTTTAAAATTATTTTCCTTAAGTTTTATTTTAACTTCGGGGGTACTAGTGCAGGTTTGTTGCATAGGTAAACTCTTGTGTCAGGGAGATTTGTTGTACAGATTATTTCACCACCCAGGTATTAAGCCTAGTACCCTCTCATTATTTTTTCTGAGCCTCTCCCTCCTCCCAACCTCCACTCTGCAAAAGGCCCCAGTGTGTCTTGTTCCCCTTTATGTGTCCATGTGTTCTCATTTTAGATGACGTTAAGAACATTCATAATTAATGGAACAACATAAAAATGTCAACATTAACAGGAGTTTGAAAGAAGTTGATGCCAACCCTCATGGATAACTTTGAGGGATTTGAACTTCAGTGGAGGGAGTCACTGCAGATGTGGTGAAAAATAGCAAGAGAACTCAAATTAGAAGTGCAGCCTAAAGATGTGATCAAATTGCTGCAATCTCATGACAAAACTTGAACAACTAATAGGCTGCTTCTTATGCATGAGAAAAGAAAATAGTTTCTTGGAAGGAATCTACTTCAGGTAAACACGCTGTGAACATTATTTTAATGATAACAAAGGTTTTTAATATTTCATAAACTTAGTTTATAAAGCAGCAGCAGGGTTTTAGAGTATTGATTCCAATTTTGGAAGAAGTTCTACTGTGGGTAAATGTTATCAAACAGCATGGCATGCTACAGAAAAATTTTTGTGTAGGAAAGAGTAAATCAATGTGACAAACTTTATAGTTGTTGTATTTAAGAAATTGCAACAGCCACTTCAACCTTTAGCAACCACCATCCTAAGCAGTCAGTAGCCACAAACGTGGAGGCAAGCCCTTTCACTAGCACAATGGTTATGACTCATTAAAGGCTCAGATGATCATTTTAAGTTTTTAGTAATGAAATAATTATTAACTAAGGTATTTACATTGTATTTTTATATATAATGCCATTTCACATTTTGTAGAGTACAGTATCATGCAAACATAACTTTCATATGCACTGAGAAATAAAAAGTTCATATAGCTTTCTTTCTTTCAATATCTGCTTTCTAGCAATGTTCAGAAATGAAACCTGCAATACTACTGAAATATCCATGTAACATGTTAAATGGAAATGTGACCATGTTGTTGTGTTTATATGGAGATTAAGTGTTGCTTGAGGAGACGTGTATGAGTACCAAGTTTACAAGGAGTAGATTCGTGATGGTTAATTTTATGTGTCCACTTGGCTAGGCCATGGTACCCAGATATTTAGTCAAACACCAGTCCAAATGTCTCTGTGAAGATATATTTTAGATACGGTTAGCATTTAAATCAGTAGACTTTCACAAAAACAGATTATCCTTCTTAATGTGAGTGGACCTCAGCCAATTAGTTGAAGGCCTTAATAGAAAAAAAGAAGGAACTCTCTGAAATTATACCTCCAAACTGGCTTTTATACTTAAGCTACAAAATCAACTCTTCTCTGGATCTTCAGCTTGTATGCACACAATTGGTTCTGTTTCTCTGAGAATCCTGACTAATACAAGAGATCATTCCAATTTTGTGTTTTATGAATGCAGAAAGAAATAGATGAGAGTAAGCTGGCTGATTTGTTCCCTTTTTCCCAGTTACCTGATCAATCTCATCTCCAGATGAATTACCCCCAATAAATTTACACACAAATAAGCCATGCTTCTTTGTGTTCTGCAGTTTTGCCTATTCTGCTACCATTCGCTCCACTCCTGTCCCTGAATAACATTCACTGGAATACTATTCTACCACTAATTTGAACACCTAATTTTTATTGTCCTTTAACATTCAGCTCGAAGAGCACCTGTCAGCATTTTTCTTTGACATGCCCTCCTTTAGTTGTGTTTGAATTACTTGCTATTCCTATAGATGTCTCGATAATTTTGCCCTGTCATTAAACTAAATTGTAACTACCTGATTTATTGTTTGTCTCCTTTTGTGTGTTGTGGTCTTTGTTAAATTGGTAAAATATGTCATTTCTTTAGTATTTTCCATGTTTATATTATTGTATAAGTATTTATTCTTACTAATGTTGAATGAAAATAGACTTATAAAATGATTTTATTCATTATATAGCTCTCTCTCCTAATTATATTGGTGATAACGTGGTACCCCTCCACTCCTGATCTTAATAGGCTTGGCCTTCCAGATGATATTTACATGTTTTATTCCACCACCAGTGAAGTAGAACTAGATTTTACTCCAGATAAGAAAGCATCTATTTTACACTATAAGATATTTTTTGTCTCCAAACCCTGACTAAACTGAGTCAAACAACTCACATTTCTCGGAAGCAAACAGCCAAAAGTCCAAAGTCACTATTGAATGATATTAATGTTAATGTTTGATCACATTTCTGATGTTGGAAAAAATACAATTGTCTACATTATCTGAATCTAATCCCAGGTATTCATGAATCTGTCTCTGTTCCAGTATTGGCTTGGGCTTTATGAAACTGTTAAAGTGTATTCTTTAATAAGTACTATTTGTTAAATGGCCTCCTTGTCAGTGGTCAATGGAGCAACTGGATTTTTTCTTCATTGCAAAAATCATCCATTTCCCATATAGCCTTTCTATTTTCACAGCATTTAGCTTCCTTGAACGTTTGTTTCATGCAGTCTTCATGGTAATATTGGAGGCACTGCCACAGTAAATGATGAAACTAGTGATAAATACAGCATTTTTTGAGGAAATAAACTCTCCTTTTATATACTGCAAATTTCTGCCTTCCCATGCACAACCAAGGAACACCAAGCATAAATTTGAAGTGATTATATAATTTTAGATCAAATTAGATAGAAAATGTGATATGTCAGAAAATAGAATTATAGCATTTGGGACTCTCAGACATAGAAAAACAAAGTTAAATTATATTCTTTATCAGCTCTATGCTTCTTACCTGATGCCACATCCAATGAATATCTAAATCTACACTTTCCTGTGATTTCATATCCTAGTATATAACAAATTTGTGAAACGAATCTCTCTGTATAGTGTGTTTTTCCTAAGATTTTTTCTCCTGTCAAAAAAATAGCTTGTAGACTCGCTTTCCTCAAAACATAACAAACCTGCTTTAAAAAATCATAATTCAATTATCTTCTAGGATATGAACATAAGGTAGGTGACCTTCAGAGTATTTAGAGAACTGTATTAATTCCCCAGATGATATGAACTGGACAAAAATGAAACTCACCATTTCAAGTTCGATAAAAGTAAATGTGAATAGAAGTATATTAAAGTTAATAGAAGTTAATTAAAGTATGTTAGTACATATTTCAGATTTCCAAAGATTGTTGCATACATTCTTTCTGAGATATTATTTAACATAGAGATCTCCGTAGAGCATTTAAACAGATATCTGACATTCAGCTATGTTGCCCAGTTTTAAAGATGCTGGATTAGATCTGAGTATTTCTGATTCTATAAATACTTATTTAATTTTTTAGGATTAGTTACAATCATATCACTGATTGATATTTTTATATAGCCGTTTTAGTGAGGACTCATAAAGCCCTACACGCTGGGGCTAAATACTCCTAGAATGTAACCTATCTGAGAGTAGCTGAGGCTATTTTGTACAACATCTTAGCAGTGCCTAGGACAACCTCTGGATGTAGTAGGCACACAGTTTATGAATACTTATTTTATAATAATGACAAATGGTATAACATCAATGTGACTACATTCAGTTGTAACTATATTATATATTTATAAGCATTAGATAAACAAAATCTGACATATTTTCTGTAGTATTTAGTCATTTCTAGGATTTTGTTTGGAGCCACTATGTAGAGAAAGCTGAATTTTGTTACAACAGAAAAAAGCAGGAGTCACGGAGTCTATTTTTTACCTTTACAAAGGTAAAAATAGAAACAAGCATGCCCAACTCTATATAAGTCTCCTATGCTTTGCAGAATACACTTCTTGCTTTCATTGCACGTTAATATATGACAGTCTTACTAAGATTTAGAAGCCAAAACAGTAGCTAATAAAACCTTAAAAAATTTTTACTGAGGGATATCAGTATTTTAAGTAAATTGTACTTCCCCTATACAACTTACAGAAAAGAGGACATCATCCCTCAAGTCCACTCAGTTAACTGGAATTCTCTAGATGAGATAATAAACCATTTTAGTTTACTCTTTTCTTCCTTCCCTCACAATCAGGAATCCAGGTCTGAATAATTCTAATCAATTGCATTTATTACCTTCAAATTAGACATTACATTGGAGTTATCATTATTGTCTATGTCAGGAATGACACAGATTTTTCTACTACCATAAAACTACAAAAATATCTGTTGGCATTGCACTAATAACGAATATGATGTAAGTAACCATAAATTAAGTAGACATTATTACTGACTTAGTTGAATTTGTCTTTCACTTGCCTCTTTAGCCTTAACTCTAATAATTGCCCTGAAGCACACTGAACCCTTGCAATTTTCTGTAATAAGTAATACTCCATTCTGCCAAAATGTCTTACACGTGTTCTGTCTGTACAGATTAAGTTCTTGAGTTCTACCTAAATTCCAACTCTCCTTTTAAATTACATTTTCAGAAACCAGTTCCTATCTCAATTCCTTACTCAGTTTTGTTTAAGCATCTCTCTTAGGGGCCTCCCAGCACCCAGTGCTTCTCTTATCAGAGGCATGATATAGGGCTTTGCACTGCTTCTTCCTCTCAAATCAAGCTTCTTGAAGGCAAGGAACTATATTGTATCCATCTTTATATCCATTTTAATAAACCTAGTCTAAACTCAGTCCATAAATAAATACTCAGTTTCTATGCCATTACTTCCTAAAGTTGGATTCTGGAAATGTTTTTATAGTATTCTAATAATATCCTAGAAATTAGTTAAAGAGAACATCTCATTATGTGATATTGGCATTCACCTTATTAAGCCCATTTAATTTCAGCCTAATATAAATTCACCTAGCAGGAGCCATGAATGAAATGTATCTGATTATTACTATTCTTAAATAAAAAGTTAGGTAAGAGCTAACCCAGCTATAGCTTTCATAAATTACTAATATTGCAAGTATTTCAAATTCTAAGCCACCACTTCAAATGTTAAAAGCCACTTGGTCCTATAAAAGATTTACCAAAGACCTAAGAATTAGGAAAAGCCTGTTGCAGCTACAGAATAAATGCTCTTAGTCTCATTCTCATTATTCAAACAACCTCAAATAATTCTTTAAGTCTCCCTATAATAAGTGGGAATGAAAAGGAGAGAGTATTTGAAAGTAAAATAAAAATGTTATTTTCATTTTAAACAGCAGTGTTTCATCTAGCCAATTTCATAATAATTTTCATATAATCTTGAGTATATTTTATTGAAAAATCAATATACATAGGTAATGTAAAAACAAAAGCCAGAGAAATAGCTGAATGTAAATGATCTAAAATAAATGTATTTATTTTTATGAATACATATTTTTCAGACCCCTGTTGACAAATATGCAATTTTCAAATACGCTAATTTACATTATATTTTCCTTCAAAGTCTATAACTTCCATACACAGCAAAGAGAATCATGGCTGAGCTACTAACAGTCATATGGAAAATGAAAGAATATTTGACTTCATTTAAAAATATTTTCACAAAAAAAATACTTCAACTTCTTTTTGAGGGGAGAGGGGCTAAATGTTTTATATTCGAATTTTTTAGATTGACAGAATAGTTGAGAAGATAATACAAAGAGTTCCCATAGGTACACAGTTTTTGCCTGTTGTTAAAATCTTACATTACTATGGCATATTTGTCACAACTAAAGGACCAATTCTGATACGTAATTAACTCAAAATGTATAATTTATTCATATTTCCCCAGTTTTTACTAAGTCCTTTTTTCTGTTAAGTTATCCTGTCTAGGATATCATGTTCCATTTAGCTGTCATGTCTCCTTAGGCCCTTTTTGATTGGGACAGTTTTCCAGACTAGTTTTGCTTTTGATAATCTTGACAGTTTTGAGAACTGATCAAGTACTTTGCAGAATGTTCCTCAATTGAGTTTGCTTATGCTTTTTCTCATTATTAACTTGGATTGTATTTTGAGTGGAAGAAGATCAAAGAGTTAAAGTGTTCTTTTTATCACATTGTATCAAAGGTACATTCTATCAAAATAATTTATCACCATTGATATTGACTTCGACCACCGGCTGAGGTAGTATTTCACAGGCTTCTCTACTGTAAACTTATTCTTTTCTTCTCCCTTTCCATATGGTGTTCTTTAGGTAAAAATCACTATACACGGTCCATACATAAGGGAACAGAAGTTATATTCCACCTCTTTGAGAATAGAGTTTCCACATAAAATAATTGAAATCAAACCAAAAAAGACATTAATTTGTTACTCCAATTATTTACTTTTTAAATCACTTATGTATGGCAGTATGATCTCATGGATACTTATTTTATATTTTGAGTTATAATTTAAAACAAATTAAAGAAATGTTACCCAAATTTTTCCAGGTCTAGCTGTAGGGAGTCTTTCAGATGGTACCTCTGTTGTCCCTGTGTCCCTTTGACGTATTCTTATGACTATGAGTTGTTGCTGCTGCTGCTGTTGTTGTTGTTGTTGTTGTTGCTTTAGCACATTATTACTTTCTGGTACAATAGGATGCTCCAAGCTCATCTGGTATATTTTCATCTTCAGTCCTAGGATCAATCATTTCTCTAAATGATTCTGGTTCCTACTATTGGAGAAGGGTCTTAGCAACCAAGATATGAATTCTGGATGTTGGTTAATATTTGGATATCATTGTTTCTAGGCACTCTCAGCTGATAGAGAAAAATACATGTTTATACTAACACACATATATACACATATCTATAAACATTTCCATATGGATCCATCTTTATCCATATTAAGATAAACATGAGTTCATACTGATGTTTCCAACCCTTATTCATTACCACATGGGTCACTCTAGCTTTCTCCCCTTGTTTGTCTTTAAACTCTCGCTTCAGCAGTAGCTTTCTCCATCTTCCATACATTTACTTGTTTCATTCCTGTATGCAAAAAGTGTATAGTGGTTTCAGAATTTTAAAACCATACTCCAGTGGGAACAGATGAACAACCAGAATACAGTGTTCATGTGCAGTTTATTTTGCCTTCAGTCTTAGAGGCTCCATTCATCTCCAGTGCTACTTAAGTCAGCAGATATCCTCCCTTCCCTTCAGTAAGGTTATTTCAATCATTTTTAGTATATTTAGATATTCTTGCTGCAGTATGAATTCCTAAGAATACTATGTGCTTCACCTAAACAACTCAACTCCTTCACCAAATCCCTGGCAACAACTGATGTGTTTACCAACTCTAACTCTACAACCACATGAATGGAATCATATGGCATATAGCCCTACAGTCTTATTTCTTTTAATGGTAATACAGATTTTAAGATTTATACATGTCTTTGCATGGCGTGATTGCTATCCCTTTTTATTGCTAAATAGCATTTCATTTGGTGGATCTACCAGTTTATCTGTTCACCTATTTAAGGTCATTTGTGTCGTTTCCATTGTTTAGTGATAGTGTATACAGCTCCTACAAACATTTGTGTATAGGATTTTTTTGTGGGCATAAGCTTTTAAATAAGTTGGGAGTGCACAATGGCTGAATCATATAAGATTATGTTGACTTCATATGAAGCTGCCAACCTGTCTTCCAAGGTGTCTGTACCATTTTGCATTTCCACCACTGAATGAAAACTCTTAGTTCCTGTTGATCCATATCCACACCAGCAACTGCTGTTAGTTTTTGGATTTTAGACATTCCAATAGGTACACAGTGGTATCTCATTGTTTAAATAGCAATTCTATCATGACAAAATATGTTGAACATCTCTTCATATGCTTATTTTCCATCTGTACATATTTTTGCTGAGGCATCTGTTCAGATACTGTTCTCATTTCTGAATGCATTTTTGTTTTCTTAATGTTGAGTTTTAACAGTTATTTGTATATTTTGGATACAAATGTTTTGTCAGATGTTTGTTTTACAAATATTTTCTTCCACTGTTTGATTTGTCTTATCATCCTCTTAACAGTGTATTTTGCGAGGCAGATTTTAAATTTAATAAAGTCAAATTCATCAAATTTCTTAGTTTCACCCTTGGTGTTATATATGAAAGCTTATCATCAAACCCAAAGCCACATAGAATTCATAGAATTTTTCTTATGGTTTCTTTTGAAAGTTTTATAATTTTACATTTTACATTTAGTACTATAGTAAATATTTACTTAATTTTTGTAAAAGGTTAAGGTATCTTTGGAGTCTTCTACATAGAATAACATATCATCTATGAAGAAAATATAGTTTATTACTTCTCTCCAATGTGTAAAATTTATTTTTAAGATTTTTCCATTACCTAGAGAGTTCAGTATCATAATGAAGAAAAGTGCTGAAAGAGACTATCTTTGACCTCTCATTGTAGAGGAGAAGCATTCACTAGTCATATATATACAATTATATATAATATAATGTAATTATATATTTAATATAACATTAAATATTATAAATTTATAATTAAATATTAAACATATATATGAGTATATATAATATATTATGCATATATACATATAATTTCTCTCCTGCTTGAAGAACATCTTAACATTTCTTTCAACAAAAGTCTACTAGCAATAAATTCTCTTCATTTTGTTTATCTGAAAAAAAGCACTTATTTCTTCTTCACTTTGAAGAATGATTTCACTGATTATAGAATTCCAGGTTGGTGTTTATTTTTCTTTCAACAATTTAAATATTTTACTCCACTGTCTTCTTGCTTGCATGATTTCTGACAGAAAGTTTGCTGTAATTCTTATCCTTGTTTCTTTACATCTAAGCTGGTTTTCTGTCTCTGGCCTTCAAGATTTTCCTTTTGCATTTTCTTTTCTGTAGTTTAAATACAATATGCGTAGGGGTGTGTGTTAGTATGTATTTGAGATTTATTCTATGCAGAGTATGTATTTGAGATTTATTCTATGCAGTTTTTGCCATATCCCATTAAACCTAGAAATCATCTCAACTATTACATTTAAGGGGCCTATAATAAGTTTGGACATTCTTAATCTATTTTTCCTTATTAAAGTCATGCCCTAAATAATGGACTGTGGGATGAAATTATACTTTTTCTTTTGAAACATATGCTTCCTTTGTTAGCTAAGGCCAAAAGCAAGTAAATGAAATTCATTTTACAAATTGTTGTCTGTACCTGTTATCTGAAGAAAGTAGAAGATCATTTACATATGGTATGAGAACTGAATCAAAGGAAATTTAGATCTTTTAAGTTTTGATTGAGGACCTGGGAAAAATAGCAGGGGCCTTCAGTGGACCCCTGGGCACAACTGTTAGGTATATTGTTGTCTTCCCCAGATGAAGGCAAAAAGTTAGTGATTCTCCTAGTCTAAAGGCACATGGAACAAAGGCAGAGAAAAGATATGTACAGTAAAGGTAGTAGCTTCAGGCAGAATTGATGATAAGATGGCATTTGGCTTTCATACTATGGGGAAGTGAAGCATTATAATTTTGTTGGTGACCCTGAGATCAAGAACAGGTCGATTTCTTCATTCATTTGGTTTCTTTCCTGGAACAAATAGTTTTCCTCCATTATTTGGCTTATTTTCTGAAAGGACAGGAAAGTAACAAGAACTAATGCAGTGCATGATAAAGTAAGTCTTCAGGTATACAAACTTCCATTACAGGTTTGATCCTTCCTTTACTTCTGGTTTTAAAGGATTTGGGCAAGTTTGGGTAGCACTTTAGTAGACTCTATTTGAAACTTAATGGGTTCCGCATCAATTATTTTTCTATGTCAGTGAAATTTTTAGCACCTTGTCTATCAGATGTGATGTCAAGATCTTTGGAGAATGTATCAAATGTAATAGTGAAGACAAAAATATGTACAAAGAAGACAATTTGATTATGAGTAGAGGAATCCTGAGTCTAAAACTTAAGAAATAGTCCTTCTGGTATAAATGTGCAATTTCGTTTACAACTTAAGCCATTCCTTATTAAATTTTTAGGTATGATATCACACAGCAGGAAGAAATATATTCACTCATGGACTGGAGGGTGATAGTTAATGGTTAGGAGACAGAGAAAATCTGTTGGTTATTTGAAATACCTATACCCAGTGTGGTATGCTTACTTTGAGTAAGAAGTGGAACAAAGATAGCAGTATTTAATATAAAAAGAGTTACACCTTTATAAATCAGAGATTGATAAGTTTGACCATCTATGTTTATAGTTAATTCACCTTGATTGTTTAAGTGTAAGGCAGGATCTGAGCTCTTTTTCTTTCTTGAAGTACCCTCTTTGATCTATAAAAAGACTTTTTTCATCCTGATTTCTCTTTTGTAATATGAGAGAATCTTTTTTGTTCCAGTGTTCCTCCTGTTTACAATAGCTACAAGTGTCCTGCTCAATAAGTGCTTGGTTCAGAAGTAGGCCACCTAGCTATTTAATCTGTAGAACAACACGTTTATTTTGAGTCCTGTCTGATTTTTGTTCTAAAGTTCCTTTAAAATGTTTTTCTTTTTTTTGAGTATTGTAGTTCAGATAAAAAGGCTATTTTTCATTTTAATCCTGTTTTTTAAAATTAGGTTTCAAACTTCAGGTTTAATTTTATTGACAAAGTAAGATGAAAGGACCACTTTTATATCAGCAGCTTCTGTAACACCAAAAAGTAGAAATTATTTCCCAATTTATCTCAAAATATTCTATAGTTCCATTTTCTACTTGTTTGCATGATTTAATTATGTTTCAATCAATTTTCATTAGAAATGTTTGAGTGCAGTTTTAAGAGCCTCTATTCTACCTTCTGAAACTTTTTTTGATCTTCAAGTATATTTTGAAAAGAGGGATCCCGGTTATCTCTTTCCAGGTCAATTCAATCAGCTTTTATGCTCAGGATTCGGTTTCTCAGGTTCTGATCAACATGTGTAGAAGTTGATCACAACTTCAGGTAACACTGGGTCATAGGCACTGAAACGTTCTAAATTATTCTATGAATAGTGGTTGATTTTATCTGGATTCAGGGAAATTCTTAATTACCAGTCTTAATTCAGCTGAGATAAAAGATTTAAATTCCTTATCTGCCTGCTACCTGGCGCATGGGAGGATGAATCTTTAGAGGCAACTGGCATTGGGAGATCTTAGAAGAGCTGTTGGAAAAGGTGGAGGGTCAGGACAAGGGGAAGGGGAGTAGAGCGGTGGAAAAAAGACAAATTAGAGCATAGCGAGAAGCAGGCGAGCTCAATATAGAAAGACAACTGGAGCACAAGTAGGGGCAGGATTCACCAAGGAAATGAATCTAGTTTGTTGTTGCTTAAGTTTGTCAAATTGCTTGTTAGATTTGGCCAAGGATTCTTTTCAACAAAGCAATTTTTTAATCAGGGTTATATTTGGAGAGCTCTGTGTACTAATACATATTGCTGTCCATTGGGGCCTGAGGAATCTTATCTCCTTCCTTTTCTAAGGAGACTTCCAAATAAACAATTAGTTCAAGTTAAGTGTTTCCCAGAGTGGCCAAATCAGTCTTATTGAAATTATGTCATTTAGAGAGACAGAAACAAAAATCAGAATTATAATGAGATAGAAACATGTAAGAAACAGAAGATTTTTCCTGGAGGATGATACCATTTAGAATATCCCATGAGAAGTGTCAATGCTAAGTCTAAAGCAATACTTATGTACTTAAACCCTCAACTCCATTGCTGGCCACCTCAGAACACAGACCTGACAATCTGGATCCTTAGCAGATGAAAAACCAGAAAAAAAAAATGTACTCTCTGTATCATAGCCAAGCTCTCAGACCAAATATCAGAAATAAAAGGAGAACTTTATCCAGTTTTACTGGTGACCCACTGCAGTTTGTTCACATGGATGCCAGTTAGGAGAGGACCACAAATATACCAGTCTGCAAGACCAGATTTAACCACAGGCTTATGCTTGGTTCTGAGCTGCGATTCAACTTGTGTTTCTCCTTACGACATGTAACACTGTTAGATAGAACAACACAAAAATAAAAGCACAAAAGAGAGCAAAAGTGGATATAAAGGAATTGCCTGATTCTACCAAGGATGTTAAACAAATTAGAACCAAAAAAAAAAAAAATCTAGCTACCAAAATGAGAATAAATAGCTATGGAATTTAAGGCAAAGAGAGTAAAGTTCAGACCTGATGCTGACGTGGCACATAGGCAGGGACCCCACAAGCCATGAGCAAAGCAGCAAGACACAAGCGACCTCTGTGAATGTCACACCTGTTTAAAGGCTGGAGTCCATGTCTAGAGGCAATGCAGACTGTATCTCTATGGAAGCTCCAGGAGAACTGGGGAAATAAATGAAAGCTACTCAAATAAGAACAGAGTCTCTTTATTGGGAGCTTGCTGTAATAAGGGAATCAGCCTTCATAATTTAGATTTGGCAGAAACTGAAAGGAGGCAAAGGAGAGGGAAGCCTTTACAGTGAGAGAGAGAAAGAGAGAGAGAAAAAGAGGAAGCTGGAGAACACTAATTAGAAGTAAGGCATTCCATGTGATTAGTTTTGGAAGCATATTTGGCTTAATCTGTTTTTACTGAGCTGGAAGCAGGGGCAAAGTCAACAATAGTTCAACAAGTCCTGTCTGTTCCTAAAAGAAAAGAAAAAAAAAAAGCTACAGAAGTTGTAGATTGACTTCCCCAGCTAGTTTTTACAGAGATTGTTGAGTCATATACAGTCATATACAGTTTGTCTATTGTACCTTTGTATATTTACACTCTTTCAATATTATCTAGTTAAGCTTCTGTCAAATTTGTTCATATTGCAGATTTATTTAACTAGAATACAGTTAAATATGTATATATTTCTGGGATAGATTAGTATCATCACACTACTAAACACTGCTATGTCATGTCTGATGTGGTTTGGCTGTGTACCCACCTAAAGCTCGTCTTGAATTATAGTTCCCATAATCCCCACGTGTTGTGGAAGGGACCCATGGGAGGTAACTTAATCATAGAGGCAGTTACCCTCATTTTATTCTCACTATAGTGAGTGATTTCTCACTAGATCTGATGGTTTTATATGAGCCTTTACCCTCTTTTACTCAGCACTTCTTCTTGCTGTTGCCTCATGAAAAAAAGATGTTTGCTTCCCCTTCTGCCATAATTGCAAGTTTCCTGAGGCCTCCTCAACCATGCTGAACTGTGAGTCAATTAAACCTTTTTCCTTTATAAATCACCCAGTCTCAGGTATGTCTTTATTAGCAGCGTGAGAATGGACTAACACAATATCAGTCAAGGTTCTCCTTACAAATAGAACAAGCAGGATATACAAGGAGATACACATATTTATTATGTTTTTTTCAAGGAATTAGCATATGCTTAAGGATTGGCTTATGGACTCCATAGGTCATTCTGGCAGCCTAGAACTCCCAGGCAAGAGGTGACACTGTAGTCTTCAGGGAGTTTATCTTCCTGAGGAAAACCTCAGTTTTGCTCTTAAAGCTTTTCAACTTATTGGACAAACCCCACCATATTATCAAGAAAAACCTCCTTTACTTAAAGTCAACTGATTGTAGATGTTAACCACATCTACAAAGTACCTTCACACCAACACATAGATGAGTATTTGATTGAATAACTAGATGCTATAAACTAACTAAGTATATACATAAAACTCACCAGAAATCTGCAACCAGGAATTTTCTTCCCATTCATTATATCGTCTCCTTAAAATGATAGTTTTATCATTTTAAGTTAAGTGTTAGTTGACTTTTTTGTAGGTTTTACTTTTTCCTATGTAATTTCTTTTGCAGATCTGATAGGGTTCTTTATAAATTGTATGACTGTTATTATAGTCATATTGAAAAGCAATAGTAATATAATTATGTTTTATAAGCCAGCCACCCTATTGCACTTTTCAAAAAAATTACCTTTTTATGAAAATATTTGCCTGGATGTGAAAATGCAGGCCCATCATTTATGTTGTATTCTAGTATTTTTCTTATTATATAAAGAAACATTCAGAATTTAAATTGTGACACGTACATTTATTTTTTTTCCATATGTATTGACACTTGAACATGAAGCAAACTTAAGTTTACCTGTATTTTTTTTTATTATTATACTTTAAGTTTTAGGGTACATGTGTACAATGTGCAGGTTAGTTACCTATGTATACATGTGCCATGCTGGTGTGCTGCACCCACTAACGCGTCATCTAGCATTAGGTATATCTCCCAGTGCTATCCCTCCCCCCTCCCCCCACCCCACAACAGTCCCCAGAGTGTGATGTTCCCCTTCCTGTGTCCATGTGCTCTCATTGTTCAATTCCCACCTATGAGTGAGAATATGCAGTGTTTGGTTTTTTGTTCTTGCGATACTTTACTGAGAATGATGATTTCCAATTTCATCCATGTCCCTACAAAGGACATGAACTCATCATTTTTTATGGCTGCATAGTATTCCATGGTGTATATGTGCCACATTTTCTTAATCCAGTCTATCATTGTTGGACATTTGGGTTGGTTCCAAGTCTTTGCTATTGTGAATAATGCCACAATAAACATACGTGTGCATGTGTCTTTATAGCAGCTCCTATTTAACATAGTGTTAGAAGTTCTGGCCAGGGCAATTAGGCAGGAGAAGGAAATAAAGGGTATTCAATTAGGAAAAGAGGAAGTCAAATTGTCACTGTTTGCCGATGACATGACTGTATATCTAGAAAACCCCATTGTCTCAGCCCAAAATCTCCTTAAGCTGATAAGCAACTTCAGCAAAGTCTCAGAATACAAAATCAATGTACAAAAATCACAAGCATTCTTATACACCAACAACAGACAAACAGAGAGCCAAATCATGAGTGAACTCCCATTCACAATTGCTTCAAAGAGAATAAAATACCTAGGAATCCAACTTACAAGGGATGTGAAGGACCTCTTCAAGGAGAACTACAAACCACTGCTCGAGGAAATAAAAGAGGATACAAACAAATGGAAGAACATTCCATGCTCATGGGTAGGAAGAATCAATATCGTGAAAATGGCCATACTGCCCAAGGTAATTTACAGATTCAATGCCATCCCCATCAAGCTACCAATGACTTTCTTCACAGAATTGGAAAAAACTACTTTAAAGTTCATATGGAACCAAAAAAGAGCCCGCATCGCCAAGTCAATCCTAAGCCAAAAGAACAAAGCTGGAGGCATCACACTACCTGACTTCAAACTATACTACAAGGCTACAGTAACCAAAACAGCATGGTACTGGTACCAAAACAGAGATATAGATCAATGGAACAGAACAGAGCCCTCAGAAATAACACTGCATATCTACAACTATATGATCTTTGACAAACCTGAGAAAAACAAGCAATGGGGAAAGGATTCCCTATTTAATAAATGGTGCTGGGAAAACTGGCTAGCCATATGTAGAAAGCTGAAACTGGATCCCTTCCTTACACCTTATACAAAAATCAATTCAAGATGGATTAAAGACTTAAACGTTAGACCTAAAACCATACAAACCCTAGAAGAAAACCTAGGCATTACCATTCAGGACATAGGCATGGGCAAGGACTTCTTGTCTAAAACACCAAAAGCAATGGCAACAAAAGCCAAAATTGCCAAATGGGATCTAATTAAACTAAAGAGCTTCTGCACAGCAAAAGAAACTACCATCAGAGTGAACAGGCAACCTACAAAATGGGAGAAAATCTTTGCAACCTACTCAGCTGACAAAGGGCTAATATCCAGAATCTACAATGAACTCAAACAAATTTACAAGAAAAAAACAAACGACCCCATCAAAAAGTGGGCAAAGGACATGAACAGACACTTCTCAAAAGAAGACATTTATGCAGCCAAAAGACACATGAAAAAATGCTCACCATCACTGGCCATCAGAGAAATGCAAATCAAAACCACAATGAGATACTATCTCACACCAGTTAGAATGGCAATCATTAAAAAGTCAGGAAACAACAGGTGCTGGAGAGGATGTGGAGAAATAGGAACATTTTTACACTGTTGGTGGGACTGTAAACTAGTTCGACCATTGTGGAAGTCAGTGTGGAGATTCCTCAGGGATCTAGAACTAGAAATACCATTTGACCCAGCCATCCCATTACTGGGTATATACCCAAAGGACATGTACATTTAAATACCATTAGTCTTATCCTAAACAAAGACAAAACTACACTTGAGGAATTTTGGTTAAAATTCTGGGAGTCTTTCTCTCTTTATGTTTGCTTTCCATTATATTTTCATATGTGTCAGAGGATGTAGAATAATGAAATTGATTGTGTTCTAGAAGAAGCATATCAAACTTTATATTACTGGAGACACTTTCTTAAAGTTAAGTGGAACAGAAAGCAGGTGATAAGGCTGAAGATAGAAGGATATAGACACCATTCCCTGAATATTAACTTCAGCACGACATGAAAATTTCTGGTAGATACTTGCAAAGGGTTGGAATTTTCTCTGAAGCAATGAGACTCAATTGTATGCTATGGGGATTTTAATTCCATTTGTTATGTTTTATTTACTCATAGCATTAAGCCTTATTTTGATGTATTTTGTTATCCTCAGATTTGCCCATTTTTTATTAGCATACAGATAGATGGATAGATGTCCCATATGTAAATTTTCCCACAATCATTTAAAAATGCTTTCACATAATTATAAAAAATATATTTTCTTTTTGAATAAGAAGAGACATAATAAAGGCCAAAGACTGCAGATTTTTTTGAAACCTAAATTTTTTTATTTTCATTGTGAAACACCCAAATTATTGAAAGGACATGTTGAGATTTTTTTACAGCGTATGTGGGGTAATATATTTACTAAACATTCCTTTAACATTGCAGGTCAAACTCATTTATGTTCTTTCAACATCATTTATTCATAAGAAAACTCCCAGACAAAATGGAATTCAATAATTATCTAACAAAATCAAACAGCCCTCCCCTTGAAAGTAGTACCACGGTAAGAAAAATCCCCAAAGTTAAAAATTCATGTTGCAGCACTGCCATTTCTACATGGTCTTGATAATAATACAAAAGTATGACCAAAGAAGGGAGCAATAGAATCCCTGTCTAGTACAGTTTAAGAAAATAGATTATGATGGAAAGCAACAGGCTAAGAATAAAGACTAACACATGGGGCAAAAATGTTTTGTGGGTGGTGGACAGGAGCAGATGGAGAAGGACACATGTGGTTATGTATTTTCTGAAGTACCATAAGCTAAGTATCACAGTGAAGAACAGAAATTTAAGCTAAACCTGTTGCTTTATTTGAGTGGAACTCTCTAAGTAAAAGGATTTTTTAGTATTATTGAAGTGTTTAATTTAAATGGCCCGAGGCCCGACCAGTTATTGAGAAAAAAATTAGAAAAGCTGTTCCTTCTATTGAAGCTATTTGAACAGGAATTCCAAACAAAATACCCATGAAAACTAACAAATTTTGACTGTTGTAAAGTCCTTGCTCTACAAAGAGGTATCCTCTGAACTCACAGTGTTTCAATGTAGCCCCCTGTTTGCTACACTTGAGTTCAATCCTTTTTAAGTTTTAAGATTTGAATCTGTGATTATAATCATGGATAAGATGCAGACAAAAAAAGTGAGCCAAACTGAATGCTGATGGCCACCAGGAAACCCATTGTCTGCAGAATCACCACAATTAGTGGTGTTTGAGTACATAGGTGGGGCTATTTCTTGGGTGAGAGGCTTCCAGAGACGAATCCCGAGTATCTCTTGTGTGGTGATGCTACAAATCTCAGAGGAATGATGCTGCAAATCTCATATGAAGATGCATAGCACTTTTCTGTGAAAGAGCCATCAAAACATGTTTGTTGGGTGTCTGCAGTACTATTCTGGCTCCATGAAAGGACAGAGAAAAATTGGTACCCTAAGTCTGCACTTTCATCAGCAGTCCTTCTCACCTCTACTTTGACTGAGGAATCATTCTAGAAAACCTTGCCAACCCGCAAGTTTGCGAAAGCCTTCTGAATTACTGAAGAATAAAGACAGATTTTTAAATAGGGTTTAATGATAAATGTATTCTGGTCCCTGGATTCCCATCAATCATGTAAAACATAGATGGTAAATATCAATCAGAAAATACACTTCTAAATGTTATTTTACTGAAGTTATAATAAATAATATATATGTATTTTTAATCTCAACCTATGTGCTCTCATTGCTTTGGTCCATTTTATGCTGCCTATAAGAGAATACCAGACTGAGAAATTTATAAAGAATGGAGATTTGTGTTTTATAGTTTTGGAAGGTGAGACATCTAAGGTCAGTGGGCTCATATCTTGCAAGGGCCTGCTTGCTGCATCATCCCATGGCAGGTGATAGAATGCAGAAGGACAAGAGAGGGTGAGAGCAAGCAAGAGGTCAAACTCGAACTTGCGATATCAAACTCTTATTCTTCTTGAGGGTGTAGCCCTCATGACCTAAACACCTCCTCTTAGGCCCCGCCTTCCAACACTGTTGCATTGGAGATTTCCAACACTGTTGCATTGGAGATTACCAACACGTGTTTTCAACACATGCCTTCTGGGGAAACATTCAAACCATAGCATTTATTTATAATCAACCCACATTAAAAAGGTCCAAATCAAAATGATTCATCTCCATAAAAACAAAAGGACTAGAATACTCAAATTAGACACATTATTTTTAGCAACAATTCCCAAATGCAGTCCTATCTTTCTGAAACATTTTATTTTTCTCTCCTTTCAAACATATGTCTTCTTTTGTTTGTCAATAATACCTTTTTCTATCCCTCTATATTATTTAAATCCCTCAAATCTCTGCCCATATTCCCAAAGAGTTATAACTGTTGAGTGACAAATCACTTGCACCTTTGCAGACACAGGTTTGTGCGTCTGCATGGAGCCCCCCTCCTGCTGACTGAAAAAGACAGAATCATTAGATTCTATTTTTCTAAATTATGTTGCTGTGCCTCCTGTCAATGAATCTGTTATAAAATGTAGGTAGGTCCTGCTGCCATAGCATAATTAACTGGTAGACTTTAACAGTAGGACCCCTGACAATATCAATTTAAAATGCTTTTAAATAAGCAGATCTCATATGAAAGATGCATAGTACTTTTTGTAAAAGAGGCATCAAAACACTTTTGTTGTGTATTTGCAGTGCTATTCTGGCTCCATCAAAGGGGAGGGAAAAAAATGGCACAAACTCTAAGTGTCCTCTCTGACAAAGGGAATCATATAGTCACCTGGCTTAGAATGTTTTCTAGTTGTGTTGAAAAAGAAGAGAGAAAACAAAACCCAAAAGCTATCAGGATGCAATCTCAGAGGGAAAAATTTCTACCATTAAAATTCATGGAATTTGCACTAGGTAAAGCAGGTGTGCTACTAAAAATTTTAGAGAATGAAAAAGGTGCTGCATTTCTAGTGGTGTTTTTCAATGAATACCTACTAAATTTGACTATTAATTTTTTAAAAAATTGTAACATTAGAATTTTCACCTATATTTTCCATGGTTCTTTAAACACAAATAATTAGCTTTACAGAAGAATACATCCATTGCTTAGATCACATGTGTGAGTTGAATAGCTGAAACTAGCTATAAATAAGCTTTTATGTGGAATATACATTCCCAAAATTCATTTGCAAACTTTGTATTTGTTTGCTACTCCCAGGATTTGTACTGATGCATTTCAAATCTCTTATAGGTTGCACATACATATATTTTATGTTAACACCCTTTCCTGTATGTTAATACAATAACAGAAAAGTAGAAATAATTTGATATATACAATAGCATAGTGCCACCTTTACAGACGTATTAAGCAACACGTGATTGCTTTATACTGAAAATCAGTTTGTTCTATATTAAAGAAGCCACAGGCATATACACGTCGTAAAATAAGTTGATAGAGTTATTAGGGAAAATCTTTCAATATTTATTAATAAGTAAATGAGTTATACTACAACAGTAATAAAACTTATTTGAATCCAAGCTTTGCCATTTAATTAATGTCAGTGATTCCAACTTCACTCTAAGAAGTATATTAATGTCCCTAGAAATTGGTTCTTGCTTTTTAAAAACATCTCTAGTGCTCAGCATGAGACCAATGTCGTTCTGATTATTTAGTAAAACTTTTAGATTGATATGACCTATTCAAGCTAGGAAAATAAAACCAATATATCAGATAATGGTTTCAATTAGATTAGGAAAATAGAAGAACAGAACTACATCCTTTTTTCTGACAGAGAATTTAATGTAAGAAATTGGTTGAATTCTATTGTAGGACTAACAAGAGCAGGTCATACCTCTTGGGTCCAGAGAACAAAAGGAAGACGTTGGGATTATTAGAACCTAGAAGCTTATAGAAGGGACCTCTCAGAGCTCAGCCTCATATTTCTGAAAAAGAAGTGCCACATGTTGATATTAGTGTATCCCAGAGAGTGCATTGAAGCTGGTTGCGGAAATATAGAAAAACCAAACCTGAAAACTGGAACCAACTGCCTCTAATGAGACTGCTAAAACAATGGGAATAGAAAGGGGCAAGTCTGTTCTCACTCCACCTGCCTTTGGGCATCCCTCAAGTGCCCCCTAATGGCAGAGCCTAAGCATCACAGGCAGAATAAAGCACGAATAAGAATACGCAGTAGCTGAGTTATCAACACACTAAAATACACCCCAGTTTTGCTAAGGATACGTATTCATATTTATTGTCTATTCTACTCTCGAACATGTCCTAGTATGGATGAAAAATAATATGGGCACTCTCTAGACAAAGCTGTTTATCCAAATTTAATCAAATAAAGCCGCTGTAGTAAATAAATTTAGAAAATGGCCACTTTCAATTTCTTTAGTTCTGTTGGTACTTGCTGCTTCTCACATGAACAACTGCAGCCTAAGTTCCCTCTCTTTCAATCTGGGCTGATTTTAGTAATTTGTTTGATGACAAGAACATGGTAATAGTGACATTTTGAGACTTCTGGGATTAGGTCATAAAAAGCCTGGGTCTCTTGAAATGTTTGCCCTTGAGACACTCCCTCTCCGAACTCAGCCACCATGCTGTGAGATGCCCAAGCCACATAAAGAGACAATGTGTAGGTGCTGCAGCAGAGAGCCCACCTGAAGTCCCATAACAGTCAGCATCAAGTATTATGTAATAGACTTTTTGGATATCCAGCTAGGCGAAGCCTTCAAATGATAGCTCCGGCTGACATCCAGTTACTCCCATAAGATACCCGGTGGAGAACTGTTCAGGTAGGCTAGTTTAACCCTCATAAATAACAACAACAAATTGTAGTTTGGCCCATTGAGTTTTAGGGTGTTTACTTACCTAGCATACATAACTAGAATAGCCCACCTATATAGTTTTCCAAGGACACCCGCTATCTCTATCCTGATCCAACTAATTCTTGTTTTCCTCCTCAGAGTTTTCTGTAATTTTCACTTAGCTTTTCAACCAAGTAGATTCTAAGCATTTGAGAGGAAAGGATCACGTCCTAGTTTGCCTCTGTATCTGCCACTTGATAACCGATTATTAACTAGGTATAAGATGGTGTTATTATAAATGCTGCACAACCACTACCCTGGAAAACTGACATTCATGAATCTGCAGGTTGACCACAGTTCAGCTTATCAAGGCTGGGATTAACCACACAGCTCTGCATCAAGATGCAGTTTGTTTGGACTTGAATTCAAGCTGTGGGCTGAGTTTAAGTCTGCTCCACGTGTGTTTTTTCTGAGACAGAGACTAAAAGGTAACAGCCACTGATGTCATTCTCTTCTCATGGAGGATGACTGGAGCACAAGAGCCATGTGAATATATTACAAACACATTCAGAGCTTCTACTTAATCATACTTGCCAACATTCCACAGGCCAAAGAAAGTCACATCGTCTATCATATCAATGGGGTGAGGAGGTGCATTTTGCCTAAGTGGGAGCACAGGAAGTAAATATTTGCTGGACAATAATCTGAATAATTACAAGATCATCAAGAATGTCTCATCACTGATTGTAAAGTTGAGTTAACACCCTGTAACATTTGTATATAAACATAGTGATAGTTATTATGTGTTAAATACATATCTAGACTTGCAAATTATTTCCAAGACCCAGGGAAAAGTATAAATTTGTATTTCCAGAGTATACACAGAAACCAAATATTTACTGTAAAAATATTTATTTGTATGGCTATGATAATTAAACCATGTAAGAATTATTATTTTTCTTCAGTTAAAAATAATGCAAAAATAATAGATCATGGATTTTAGAATATAGTGAGAGAGTAGCTGGCATCCTAAATTTGTATTTTTATGTACTATTTATTGTTATGACTACTTATTTAACTGAATACTGGTCAAAACTTAAAGGTAAGTACTTTAAAGCACTAGAAGTACGCCTTGTAAAAAGTAACAGTGCTGGGAAAAAGGGTACTTTAAGAGTGCACCACTTTTCTTCTGATTTTGTAAGGACTGCATTCTTTTATAGCAAATCCACTGACTTCTTAATGCCTTCCAGATATACCTTTAAATGCACTGAGTTTAGATAGTATGGACATCCAAATTTGTCCCAAATGAACACTTAGAAACACAGGAAGCATCAACCATACCTGCGCAGAGTGAATATTATTAAATGGAATAAATCATCAACTACAAATGCTTTATATTTCCTGCTGTAAATCACTGATTAAAGTTAGAATGATGCATTATTTTAATTCAAAGTGAATAGTGGAGTTGTGACTGAGATTCATAGGATAACACGTGATAAATACCTACACTATCAAGGTAAGGAGATGTGCCCCAAAGTATGAAAACAAGTAACTATAGAAAAAAGTATAAATTTTATTTCTGTGCAGTTACATTTATGGATCTAAATATTTATAGACTGTTTTGTCAAAATATTGAATTTTTTTAGTAAAAGCATTATTGAGATACTAAAAGCCTTATTTCAGGCAATAAAAAGTATGTAGTCCTAGTCTCCATGCTTTTATGACTTTATTTATATTATGATCTAAAACAAGCAAAACCAATCTATTGTGAAAAAATTTTAATTGACGTAGTCTGCGTGTAAAGCATTAAGTAGGAAGGTGCATTTAGGAACTTTCAGGTGTGGTGCAAATGATCTATATTGTGAAAAAGTATGGATTTTGTGTCTGTGTATCAAACCCATTGAATTGTACACTTAAGGTTAGACATTTGGGATGTGTCCAGTAGGGTCTACAAGACTACAGCTACCATGAATATTTTTGAACACTTCTTGAATATGTACATCATATCTATTGATTATACCCTGAGAAGTGAAATTTCTGGGTGTATTAGTTCTATCAGTTTGCAATAACAGACTATCACAGACTGGGTGGCATAAACAACAGAAATTGATTTTCTTAGAAGTTCAAGATCAAGGTGCCAGCAGTCTTGGTATCTGTAGGGTCTTACTCCTTGGCTTGCATAAGGCAGTCTTCTTGCTGTGTTCTCACATGGCCTTTTCTCTGTGCATGCACATTCCTGATCCTTCTTCCTCTTCTTATAAAGACACCAGCCCAAATGCATTAGGGACCCACCTTTATTTAACCTTAACTTCATCTTAATTACCTCATTTAACCTTACTTACATATTTAGGCTCTGTCTCCAAATATAGTCACATTGAAGGGCTAGCACTTCAAGACATAAATATGGAAGGGACACAATTCTGTTTATAACACTGGGTCACAGTATATATATAAAGGAATATCTCTAAATTTCTAGAGGTGTTTTTTGGTTTGGAGCAGACATAGGTACCTACATGTCCACCACTGCTACAGTGGTGTTGCAATGACTGCATTTGCTATAACAATACGGTGTGCCCCATTGTCCAAACTCAAATACATATTACTGTTTCACAGTTTGTTTACCTTGGAATCTATCCATTTAGAAAACAAGACAGCATGGAGATGCTGCAATCAGCATTAATATAGCCAAATACAGGAGAAGTTCTGAATCTAGGCTCAACCTTGGCTGCACATCAGAATTCCCTGGAGAGCTTTTAAAATTCCTATGACCATTCTGAACTCCAAACATATTAAATCAGATTCTCTCAATGTGATAACCAGGAAACAGCATTTTTTATCTCCCCAAGTGATTTTTCATGCCACTGTGGTTGAATACCACTGATCTACAGCTTCAAATAACCACAGTACACACGAGGACAATTTTATTAAGTCGATTATTTACTCACAATTATTTTTAGCCTCTTGCTATATTCCTCTCTTACATGCCAAGCACAGCTGGTACTTATATTAATGATAAAATATTTTAAATTAACAAGCTACATATGAATATGATATAATACATTCAAGGGATAAATATGTCTTATTAGTTAGTGAATCTTATATTCTGTGTAAGAAATGTGTCACTCACAGGTGATCCCAAGACTATTAAATATGAGATAAATTTTAAATTCACATTTAAAACTAAAGTATAATTTAGTTCAATGTTTTGTTTTTAGAGAAGGAGGTTATGCACAAGCAAGAAAGGAAGGTTGAAATGACCTCTGTAGCACTAAGTTAGAGTCAAGGATATCAGTATGAACTAAAGTTTAGTTTAATATATGGACCGATAGCTAGATATCAAAACAATTATGTTTTCACATAGATTATTAAATTTATACATAATAATTTGTTTGTGGTTAAGGTCTAAAAACAATGACGCTCTAGCAATAAGCACACTCAGTGTCTAGATGTTAGTTTCTAAATACCGTTCTCAAAAAAAAGAAACCAGAGCTCCTTGGAGTAGTAATTGATTCCAGCTCTGAGGCATAGAAAATGCAACATGAACCTGGTACATTTTGTAGGACCAGAAGGTAAGGAAGTTCTGAAAATACAAAGTGATGAGGACACGTTAGAGGACAAAGGAACCAACTGTAACCAATGGCCAAAGCTGGAACAATGTAAGCAAGAAAACAAATAACCTAGTATTAAAGTATAACCAATATAAAATAAATGTATATAATATAAAGGACTGAATAAATAATTAAATGGTAGAAAAGAGATAAATCTTTCTTACAGAAGAATTACCTTTAATACATGTAGAAGCTGCCCTTTCCAGAAGTGAAGTTCTTAGGTACACACACACACACACGCGCACACACACACGAGATTGGGCTTGACTTAGTAACTGGCTTTCAAAGGATAGACTAAGTAAGGGGAGAAACGAAAACTTTACAAGTGGAAAAACCTGGCAAGCAATACTTTAACCAAGTGATGAAGCTTAACATTCCAGTGATATCATGTGGATATTATGTAGCCCCTGATATGGTATGAGAAGGGCAATTCACCTCTGTGGTATTCTTCCCATAAACCCATAAGTTGAGTATAATCATCAGAAAAACATTTTAAAAACAACTAGATTGGAGGACATCCTGCAGAATACCTGGTCAGTATTGCCCCAGATATTGAAGGTCTTAAAAAAAACAGAAAAGACTGAGAAAGTCTCACTGACCAGAGGAGACTGGAAAAACATGATAACTAAATGCAATGTGGCATTCTAGATTAGTTCTTACAACAGGAAGATAACATTAATGGAAAATTGGTAAAATTGAAATTAACTCTGTAATTTAGTTAAAATACCAAAGTTGATTTCTTCGTTTTGACAAATGAACCACAGAAGTATACAATGTAAACAATGGGAAAAATCGGACATAGGATATACAAGGCCTCTTTGTACTATCTTCGTATTTCCCTCTAAAACTTAAAAATTATGTTGAATTAAAGTTTCTAAAAAATATATAAGTGATTGGAAAGATATTCCTCTATTTATAAAACATTGATAAACATGTTTAACTATCATAGACACCACAGAGAATTCTTCTTTGCTGCTATTAGAGTATACTTAAAAACAAATAAAATGTGATAGCCATTAAAATCTAAACAGCTGTTCTACAATAAATAAAATTGTATCTTATGCTATTCCCAATACAGCTGTTTAAGGAATCTGCTATGCTTGTTCTGTGTATAAATCAGGCATTAAAACAAAAAAACCCGTTTAGGTAAATGTTCCTTTAGAGTCTTTTTTTTTTTTTTTTACTATTATGTGTATCTGAGAATCTCAGTACACTGAAAAAAAAGAGAGGAAATCAGTTGTATGAATTTGTCTTGTCACAGATTTATTAGATGGAATTTTATTTCTCTCAACACTTCTTGAAACTGATTACAATTGTGCAATTTACTTCTTTGGAAAAAAGTGTTTAGCTTAATATTGCTACTGTTTCAGCATATATTGTTTCCATGAAATTTTATTTATGTTTTCGAATTTACTTGAGTTAGAAAATGTTCAAGAAATTACATTTCAACTCTATTTAAGTTTTAATTCTACTAAACCACAGTGGGCCTAAGGATTGTGTGAAAGAAACTGCTGCATAAAATTTCAGACTGCAGCTCCTCAAGAGCTAGATATAAAGTGTCAACTGAATGGGCTCTTTGAAAATTTAAAGCAAGAAGATGCTATAACCAGAGTTTCAGAGACCCATAGACTTATAGCAAATTAACGTTACGGTATTATACGTAGAACATCTTTTTTTTGTCACAAAGGGGATAGAACAAAAACAGTTCTAGTTTTTATTTTTGTTTTTGTGGGCACACATGTATATGTGCTCTTCTGCATACTTTACATTCTTTTTGTTTTCATTTGCCTCTTTTGCTGTTTTCTATGCCTATTTTCAAACAGGAGAATCACATTTCATTTTCTAATGATCAAATAGCTGGTATTTGATCATTAGAAAGGAAATGACATGTTAGAAAGGAAATGACAATTAACTAAAAGGTAAACTCGATCAACTTCTCAATAACTGCCTTCATTTCTCTAAACATCTGCGGTAGACTGTTACTTTGATGATTTCCCAGTTAACCATTCTGCCCCTATTTCAAACCTTATGTATTTCACCCCCCACCACTGTAACTGTTCGACATTTAAAACAAACAAACCAAAACTAAATATTAGAAATAACACTATGCTAGTTCTTGGCCTAGCCCTTGATTGGCCTATTAACTTTTTTCTTATACCTTATTTTCTTTAGGATGCTTGCTCTTTTGCTCCTTCTTGAAATCTAGCCACCATGCTATGAGGCCACCCAAGCAGCCAAGTGGAGAATCGTGGTCGTGAATGTCAGCCCAGCTGCCAGTTGAGTCTCCAGATGACTGTAGCTCCCCACCACCCCATCACCCCATCTCACACTACATGAAACAAAAGAACAAGCCAGTCAACCTACTGAATCATGAAGAGTAATAAATTGATGTTTTAAGACAGTAAATTTTGAGATGGAATCCTTTGTAGTAATAGATAACTACAACTTCATAGTGAATACTTAGATGTATGGAAGAACCATTATTATACATGCCATTTAGGATGATTGCTTCTATTATCAGTGAGTAATTGAGATAGGAAAAGATAATTGACAGTCTGGAAACAGCACCAGGAAAGGGTGCAATAAGTTAATTCCTCTTATAAGATTATATCCCTTCTTAGGAGATTTAGGAGGTCTTTAATCCATTAATATGTAGAACCATAGTCTAGCTCTCTGCTACTCAACATATAGTTCCTCAATTGGCAAAGTTAGTATCATCTGGAAGCTTGTTAGAAATATAGACTTTTGGGATCCACAACACACCTACTAAATTAGAATCTGCAATTCAGCACAATCCCTGGGTGACTAGTTTACACACAGGTTTAATAATAAGTGATTTGATAAAGGTGAAATCACACAATTATCTGATAGTATATTAATTTATTGTCTGTCCCACCCAAATTTTGCTTTTATCCAAATAAATCCCTCCTCAGACACAGATCTACCTAAGACATAAACCAAAAACTACTCAGACTTCCCTCACTCTGTCATTTCAAATTAAAAATATAAATTGTACCTTTTTAATATACGTTATGTTGTCCTAACATAATGTCATCACATTATCACTTGTCTAATTAATTCAAGTGGTCCGTATCACCCTTAGAATGTGAAAGTGTGGCCCCTACCATGGGTCTTATGCCTTAGGGGCCCCATGCTTTAGAGGCTTTTGTTAAAATGTTTAGATCCTCCTCTGGTGGCTGGGATTGACCGGGTCAGTAATCCCATCCAGCACAGTGCCTAGAGACTAGACTATTGCCCACCTAAGCATCAGTCAGTTTTCCTCTTCAACCCTAAACGTACCCTGCTCCTCATCCCACATCCCTCACAACATGGTGATATGGTTAGGCTTTGTGTCCCCACCCAAATCAAATCTGAATTGTAATCCCCATAATACCCACATGTCTAGGAAGAGACCTGATGGGAGGTGATTGGATCATGGGTGTGAGAAACACACTCGCCCATCCAAACCCAGAGAATGGACTTAGAGGCACTAAGAACAGCAAAAGTGAGACTTTTTAATAACCATCTTGCAAGATCGGGGCCGGGGGCAGGCACACACAGGGCAGTCATAACAGGTAATTTATTTCCTAGCACACAAGTCCCTCCCCCAGTTCCTCACTGGTTGAGTACTATGGGGTTACAATCTTCCTGGATATCACCTAAGTTTCATTATCTCACTTATAAGGTTGTTCCTGAGTCCCCTTTCCTGATTAAGTTTCAATTTTGCAATAACAAAACTTGTTTCCCTTTTATGGGCTGACCCCTCCTCTACATTCTGTTTGCTTATTGTGACCTTCTAGGTGCATGAGCTCTGTGGTTTGTTACATTCGCAGTCTGGCCACCAGTACTTAGATGTATCATGCCTTGAAAATGGACCATTTAAAATGTTTTCTCACAATGGGGATGGTTTCCCCCATGCTGTTTTCATGAGATCTGATGGTTTTATAAGGGGATCTTCCCCCTTTGCTCACTCTTCTCTCTCCTGCCACCATGTGAGAAAGTCCAAGCTTGCTTCCCCTTCACTTTTCACCGTGATTGTAAGTTTCCTGAGGCCTCCCCAGCCATTCAGAACTGTGAGTTAATTAAACCTCTTTTTTTTTTTTTTTTTTTTTTTTTTTTTTTCTGAGACAGAGTCTCTCTGTCACCCAGGCTGGAGTGCAGTGGTGTGATCTCGATTCACTGTCACCTCCGCCTCCCAGGTTCAAACAATTCTCCCACCTCAGCCCCCTGAGTAGCTGGGATTACAGACAGGTGCCACCACACCCGACTAACTTTTGTATTTTTAGTAGAGACAGGGTTTCACCATGTAAGCCAGGCTGTTCTCAGATCTCAAGTGATTCACCTGCCTCAGCCTCCCAAAGTGTTGGAATTACAGGTGTGAGCCACTGCATCCGGTCTAAACCTCCTTCCTTTATAAATTATCCAGTCTTGGGTATTTCTTTATTTCCCATGTTAGAATTGACTAATATAGTAAATTGGTACAAAGCTAGTGGGGCACTGCTATAAAGATACTCAAAAATGTGGAAGTGAATTTGAAATTGGGTAACACGCAGTGGTTGGAACAGTTTAGAGGGCTCAGAAGAAGAAAGGAAGATGTGGGAAAGTTTGAAACTTCCTAGAGATTTGTCAAATGGTTTTGACCAAAATGCTGATGGTGATACGGACAATGAAGTCCAGGCTGAGGTGGTCTTAGATGGAGATGAGGAACTTACTGGGAACTGGAGCAAAGGTCAGTCTTGATATGCTTTAGCAAAGGGACTGGTGGCATTTTGTCCCTGCTGTGCAACTTTCAACTTGATACAGATAATCTGAAATTGGAACTTGTGTTTAAAAGGGAAGCAGAACATTAAAGTTCTGCTATGGAATTTTGGAAATTTGCAGCCTAACGATGTGCTAGAAAAGAAAAACCCATTTCCTGGGGAGAAATTGAAGTCAGCTGCAGAATTTTGCATAAGTAACAAGGACCCAATGTTAATCACCAAGACAATGGGTAAAATGTCTCCAGGACATGCCAGAGACCTTCCCAGGAGCCCCTCTTAAGGCCTAGAGGCCTAGGAGAAAAAATAATTTCATAGGCTGGGTCCAAGGTCTTCCTGCTCTGTGAAGCCTCAGGACATGGAAACCTGTGCCCCAGCTGCTTCAGCTCCAGCTGTGGCTAAAAGGGGTCAATTACAGCTTGGGCCATGGCTTCAGAGGGTGCAAGCCCAAAGCCTTGACAGCTTCCACATGGTGTTGGGCCTGAGAGGGCCCAGAAGTAAAAAATTGAGATTTGGAAACCTCTGCCTAGATTTCAAAGGATGTATGGAAACACCTGGATGTCCAGGCAGAAGTCTGTGGCAGGGGTGGAGCCCTCATGGAGAACCTCTGCTAGAGCAGTGTGAAAGAAAAATGTGGGGTCAGTTCCCCACACAGAGCCCTCACTGGGGCACTGCCTAGTGGAGCTGTAAAAAGAGGACCACTGTCCTCCAGACTCCAGAATGGTAGATCCACCGACATCTTCCACTGTGCACCTGGAAAAGCCACAGACACTCAATGCCAGGCTGTGAAAGCAGCCAGGAGGGGGGCTGCACCCTGCAAAGCCTCAGGGGTGTAGCTGCCGAAGACCATGGGACCCTACCTCTTGCATCAGTGTGCCTCAGAATGTTAGATATGGAGTAAAAAGAAATCATTTCTGACCTTCAAAATGTAATGACTGCACTCCTGGATTTTGGACTTGCCTTGGGCCTGTAACCACTTTGTTTTGGCCAATTTCTCCCTTTTGGAATGGGACCATTCATCCAATTCCTGTACCCTTATTGTATCTTGCAAGTAACTAACTTGCTTTTGATTTTACAGGCTCCTGGGCAGAAGGGACTTGCCTTGTCTCAGATGAGAGTTTGGACTTGGACTTTTGAAATTATGCTACAACAAGTTAAGAATGAGGGACTATTGAAAAGGCATGATTGGTTTTGAAATGTGTGGACATGAGATTTGGGAGAGGCCACAGGCAGAATGATATGGTTAGGCTTTGTGTTCCCACCCAAATCTCTACTTGAATTATAATCTCCATAATCCTCATGTGGCTATAGACCTCTAGTGGTCTCTCTAGTGGTGGGAGGTGGCTGGATCATAGGAACATTTTCTTCCATGCTGTTCTCACGTTAGACTGAGTTCTCACAAGATCTGATGGTTTTATAAGGGGCTCATCTCCCTTTGCTCCTCACTGACTCTCTTGCCTGTCACCATGTAAGACATGCCTCTTCCCCTACTGCTATGATTGTAAGTTTCTGAGGCCTCCCCAGCCATGCAGAACAATGAGTCAATTAAAACTCTTTCCTTTATAGATCACCCAGTCTCAGGTATGTGTTTATACCAGTGTGAAAACAGACTAATACATGTGGGGTCAACCAGTTACCCCCAAAGAGTTTAGGGACTCATGACTTTGGAGTCATTCTGGGGCTCAAATTCCAAAGCAGATTGTTCCCACTAGGATGTAAGGTATTTGTTTCATGGGATCATGTGAAATGAGGCTACCAGAATGGTGTTGATAAACTGATTTTAGTGATTCTCATGCATTTTGGTCACAGGATGAATTCAGGGTACCAGAGCTTAGAGGATATCATCAGCCTACAAATGACCCTTAGCTTAACTCTGTGTAGGCCTGTGAATCAGCTCCTTCCTGTCATCCTTCCCATGCTGGTGCCACCTCCAGTCTACAGAACATGAAGGTATCAGGAGTGGTATCAAGTGTCATTTGCCCTATGTCCACCTTCCTGCTCTCTGCTCCCTCAGGTCAGTTATAAGCAATGCTACATAAATGATACCATTCTCACTCTGGCCACAGGCCCCTTTCCTATCTTCCCCACTAGGAGCAGTATGTGAAAAGCAACTTTCAGCAACTTTGAAAGAGATCATAGTCTAAGAATTCACTGATAAGAACCTAAAGAATTCAAGGAAGACATAGTTTTATGTTTACACCATAAAATGATGGACAGAGGATTTAACATGACCAGAAAAAATCATCATTCATATTTTGCTGCATTGTCCTTGCAAGACTTGCATTTGTAGATCCAATCAACTAAGCAGAATAACAACGTTGGAACAGTCATTGGAAGCCAGCATTTGTGATAAATGATGTAGTGCCATGACTCATGATATAACCTGCATTAAATCGATGGTGTTAGAGAACTGCAGTGATGAGAAGACCTGTATTGTTCAGTTAAACGTGTCCCCAAAACCATGGTGTTTGATATGGTTTGTCTCTGTGTCCCCACCCAAATCTCATCATGTAGCTCCCATAATTCACATGTGTTGTGGAAGGGACCTGGTGGGAAATAATTGAGTCATGGGGTTGGGACTTTCCTGTGCTGTTCTTGTGATCGTGAATAAGTCTCATGAGATCTGATGGTTTTTAAAAGGGGAGTTTCCCTGAACAAGCTGTCTCTTTGCCTGCTGCCATCCATGTAAGATGTGACTTGCTCCTCCTTGCCTTCCACCATGATTATGAGGCCTCCCCTCACAATCATAAGTATCTATTTTCGCTCCTTTATTTTAAATAACTATGTCTTACCAGAAATTCTGTTCAATCAAATTGTTCATATAGACAGAAGCTTTGCAAAGGATATTTGCCTTTTTCTAAAGTACAGCCCTGCTCACCTAATTATCCTGATTAAAATCCTTCTAAAGTCCTCTTCCATAATGGATAAAGTTCAACCTCTTAAATAATTCAGAAAGTCAATGATGGTCTGACTTTCTCAATGTGTTTATCTCTTCAACCTGAACAGCTAATGTCCTGGCCTCTCTCAATAAATAAAAACTATATTTAAATACTAATTTTTGGATTCATATACTATACTATATCATATAGTTATGCTTTTCATGCCTGAAAAGCCATTCTCAAATTTCCTATAGTTGGCTGATTCTTACTATCCTTAATCCCATACTATTCCATATCAGCTGTCCACTAGCCTGAAAATTTTCTTAAAAATATTTTTAGAAGATAATTATTTTATTCTTTATAAAACAACTCCTTTATAAATAGAGTGTTTATAGATAAAGAAACAAACAAATATAGAGAGAAACAGAGACATTCATATGCACCAGAGATTGGTCTCTCTTATATGTCTACCACAAGAGATTGGTCTCTCTTATATGTCTACCACAACTTCAGATGCAAACTCCACAAGGTAAAAGACCATATGTTATTTATAACTATATTTACTGGCATGGTGATTGATATACAGATAGAATTTTAAAAATCTCATTGTGGTTTTGACTTGCATTTCTCTGATGATTAGTGACATTTAGGAAATGTCTATTAAGATCTATTACCCATTTTTATATCAGATGATTGGTTTTTTGGCTATTTAGTTGTTTGAGTTCCTTATATATTCTGGTTATTAATCCCTTGTTGGTTGAAACATTTGCAAACATTTTCTCCCATTCTGTTCCTTTCACTCCAGTTAAAATGACTTTTATAAAAAGACAAAAAATAACATGCTCGTGAGGATGTGGAGAAAGGAAAATGTTTGTACACTGTTGGTATGAATGTAAATTAGTATAGCCACTATGAAAAAGACTATGGTGGCTTCTCAAATGACTAAAAATAGAACTACCACATGATCCATCAATTCCATTGCTGGTTATATATCCAAAAGAAAGGAAATCAGTATATTAAAAAACTATCTGCACACCCATGTTTATTGTAGCATTATTTACATTAGCCAAGATATGGAACCAACCTAAGTGTCCATCAAAATATGAAGGGATAAAGAAAATGTGGTGCATATACACAGTGGAATATTTTTCAGTTATAAAAAAGAATGAAACCTTGTAATTTCCAACAACTTTAATGGAATTGGAGGACATTATGTTAAGTGGAATAAGCCAGGCACAGAAAGACAAATATCACCTATTCTCACTCATATGTGAGAATTAAAGAAATTCATCTCATGGAGGTAGAAAGTAGAATGATGGTTACCAGAGGTTGGGAAGGGTCTTGGGAAGGCAGGGATATAAAGGGGTTGGTTACTGGGTACAAAAATACATTTTATTTCTTAGGTAGAAGGAAGAAAATCTAGTGTTCAATAGTACAATAGGGCAACTATAAGTTAATGACTTACTGTATATTTCAAAGTAACTAGAGAAGTGGATTTGTAATGTTCTCAACACAAAGAAATAATAAATGTTTGAGGTTATGGATATCCAAATTATCCTGATTTGATTATTACACATTATATGCTTGTATCAAAATATCTCATGTACCCCATAAATATGTAAAACTATTTGTTTATATAAAATTAAAAAAATAAATCTCAAATAAGTTAATATATACCTTTGATTGGATTGTCTAAAATTTATTTTGGTAACATTTATTTTTATTGCTGATGCCAGATATATGCATATTATTTTAAAAACTTGAAAAACGTAGGACATGAAGAAAATGAAAATCATAATTCTTTCATATTTATGGGAACGTATTTTCTCTTTATTTGTAAAAATTATGCTTCTTTTAAAATCTCAAACATGAGGTTGGTGTAAAAGTAATTGCAGCCTAATAATTGTTTAACAATTAGAAAAAGAATAATTTTTTTTCACTCTAGTCTTCTACCAATAAGATGGAATGGTAAAAACTGGAAGTAAAGTCATCCTAAAAATTGGTTGAAGTTAAATACAAATATTTATTTTAAAACTCTTCCTGTTTTTATATTGTAAATGGGAGTAATTGTGGATGAATGGTACAGTCCTAGGACATTATTTTTGCCCAGTGTAATTCAATGCATGGAGTGAGAAAGAAGAAAGAGAAAATATCAATGAAAATTATCTGCATAACAATGTAAAATGCTATCTCCGTTTTGGGCAGAGTATATTCTATTATCTCTCCAAGAAATGTTTATTTTCCTTAACACAAATTTTGACTATAATATTACCAAGAAAAATTATTGTTTTCACTTGGGTTTGTATATTTGCATGTGCACATGACAGTATATGTGTTGCCCAACAGTTTTTCCTAAGAACCCGGAAATTCAATGAATGAATGAATGAACATACTTTCACAGGATGCTGCTTGAGTAAACTCAAAGAATGTTGAATATAATGTGGCAATTCTCACCATAGACAATTCTGCCAAAACTTTCCCTGTGACCTGAAGCACTACCCTACTTCAACCCTGTCTTGCCCTTGTGGATTATGGTAACTAACATTGTATGACTGGAGGAGTGATGGTAGAGAGAGGATTAGGGGAAAATCTCAGGGTGAAACTGTTTCCTATGGGAAGAAGTTTAGGTTCTCCTAAAGCGGGTGAGCAGGCATGAAAATGCTCATAGAAGGAATTTCAATTTTGAGAGACAAGATGAGATACTACAGTTTACCCATTAGGACATCCTGCATGAAGATTCTTGCTTTTTTTTTTTTTTTCTCTGATCCTGGAGTTCAGAAACAGTCATAGCTAACATTTAGCTTCCAGTTTTGCCTTGTTTTTTTTTTCTTCTTGAAATTCTATCTAGTTATTTTCAAAGGCATTATTAAACATGCAGCTTTGTGGTCAATGCAGAATTAATAGATGAAGCTTTAGAAGAAGTGAGTCAGCTTGGCAGTGTCAGCACTGGGTTGAAGGAGGACAGTATTGTTAGAATTCCAAGTGGTAATCTCTAGCCTAATGTTTAAAATGTGACACTTTATTGTAATTGCTTCACTTATTCCTTAGAGAAATAAAATATTACAGATATTTTTTAAATTCCCAGAATTCTATCCCCATTCTATTTCCCACAGATGTAAGTAAGTAGCCTCTGTTGAAGCTGTGCAAATTACTTGTGTGCTTCCTTTCAGATTAGTACTGGACAATACATTGTATCTATAACAACATCCAACATTATTCAAGGTTTTTAAGTTTTACTAAAATTACATGTAATATTTTTGTGTTTCTGTGTTCACTCATCATTCTATGTTTTGAGGTTTATCCACATTGATATAGTTGATACAGTCTATTTTAACCACAGGATTGTGTAGCATTTTATAAACATCTTACAATTTATCCATCTCTCAGCTGTGGACTGTATCGTATTTACATTCTTTCCTAGTACAAACAGTGATGAGATGAATATTCATATATAGATTACTTTGTGCCCATGTAAGAGGTTATCTATGGCATATATTTCAAAATGGAATTGCTAAATTGTATGTTATGTGAATTTTCAAATGTAATTAACATTTCAAAATTATTCTCCAATAGGAACAATACCATTGTGGATGAACACAGAAAGGGGAGGGGGGGAAGCGATGTATTTTTGTTTCTTTGTGGGTTTGCTTTCTGTTTTCATTTTCTTTTTGCCTTTACCCAAATAGGATAGAACAGAGGTTCTCTAACAAGGTTGCACATTATAATAGCTAAGGCACATTTAAAAATTACCAAATCTTTGTTCCATGCTCCGATATTTTTGACTGCAATTAAACAGGAATTGGTCTTGGCCATCAGTATGATTTTAAAGCCCCCATTCCCCAGAGGATGCTAATGTGTAGTCAAGGTGATTAACCATTGCAACAGGTTTTCAAATTTTAGCTAGTATTAGAATTACCTGGACCAAAAGGCTTGTTAAAAGATAGATAGTTTGGCTCCATGCCCAGAGTTTCTGATTCAGTGCTTCTGGGGTGGGCTTGAGGGTTTACATTTCAAACAGTTTCTCAGGTGATGCTAAGCTGCAGTATAGTGCCTACACTTTAAGAACAACATCCCCACAATAAACAATGGGGAAAGAAAAAAGCAACCTTGACAGCTAGCACTAAGAGCTAGGCTATGATGTTCCTACAATTTCAAACACAAAAATAATTTAAAGTTACCCTGTACCAATAATGAACAAGATAAAAACAAAATCACTGTATAAGTGTGCCTCAACAGTCAAAAAGTAGAATTCAGCATGAACCACAAAAATGGTCAAGATTCTCCCACTCCTAAAATATGTGACTGTGGTTTCTTTTTCCTGTTACAACTTTAGGCCATCTTCATTCTTTCTGCCTCCTATGTAAAGATTAGTAATATCCAATCATATATTTGCTACCACTTTCATACATGACCCAATCCAGCAAAAACTCCTAATATAAGCCAAAATCACCAAACCAAGCCCAGATCCTGTAACAAGTCCCCCAAAACATGTTCTGAAACATCCATGCAGTAAGTAATAAAATTATCTTTGTTTGACTACAGGTATGTTACTGGTGGTGTGTCTTTGGTGGCCAATGATAAAAGTTACCAATAAAGTGGGGGTGGGGCTATATATATACACACACACACACACATATATATATATATATATGCACACATACACACTTGGAATACTACTGTACCTACGTTAAAAACTTATTTTACTACTATAAACAATAGACGTATTCATTGTAGAAATAAAGAGGATACATTCACAGAAGATAAAGAAAAATAATTGACCAGCTATCCTGACAAAAATGTTGTCAAATTAAGAATATTATTTTCTTTAGATCTTTCCAGTAAAAACATTATATAATTAATTGGTTATCGAACTATTGATAACACTTTTATATTTTTCACTTAGAATATGTTATAGATTTTTCCCATTATTCTATTGGAATTAACTAATTTATAATATCAACACTGATATTAACTAGTATTAATCATAATACTAATTTCTACATTACATATTTTAACCAGTTCCAAATTTTATGTTTCAGAGCAAAAATTCAATAGACATTTTCTAAAGCATAAATAACTAACTTCAAATTCTTAATATTTTCCATTATTATTTTATTTTTCAAGATGTCTCTTTCTTACAGGATTTTAGAAATATTCCTGTAGAAGAAAAGCAGCAACATGAATTGAAGCTATGCCCACTGAACTTCTCCCTTTAAATTCAATAAAATATTAAATTTCATTGCACAAATTTTGTGATCGTATTAAAGAAAAATGTGTTTTTATGTCTCTATATATGCATACATATATTTTGTTACATATGCAGAGGGTTTTCTGTACTGACATTTTCCTACTGCTGATATTTTCATCTGTGTGGCAAAAATTTAGGTTAAAGATAACAGCTCCTTTGTTTGTATACATCTGTGTAATACTGGAGTAAGCACTGCTTGCATTTGGTATAGTTGTTTTGATAAAATGCTGGTTTGACTTGCTATAACAATGTTCAAGATTTTTACAACTATTCATCGGTGAAACTTTTCTATTGATTCCTACTTTTTACTCTGTTATCATATTTTGATAAACATATTAATTTTGTAAAATTATTGGAAAGTTTTTATGTGATTTCCACAAGCTAAACAATTTACAAAATAGTGAATTTCTATTATTTGTAGGAAAGAAACCTGTTATATTGTCTTAGTTGAGATTAGCATACTTTTTAAAGATTATTTTCATAGCTTTTAATTTTGATATGAATAATGTTAACATATTCCATGTTTTGTAAAATAATTTAAGCACTTTTCTTTGAAAATGTCTACGTGTATATACCTCCACTTCATTAACAATAATTGAGACATAATAAACACATTAATATATGTATTGATGATTCCCAGAAGCTTGGAAATTGTTTTTTCTAGATTTAACTTGTTGCCAAAGAGCTTGAGTTTCTTCCCTTAGACTGTCACTTGAAGAATAGTCATGTACACATACTTTTAAAGGAATAAATGTATTTCTTTTTATTACATATTGACAAATTATAGTTGCATATATTTATTAAGTGTATGGTGGTGTTATACTTTTCAATGCAATATGAAATGATTAAATTAAGCTAATTTCTACATCATTACTTCAAATATTAAAATTTTTTATGAGAATATTAGAAATATATTCTCATAGCAATATTGAAATGTATAGCACCACACGTTCTTAATAGGCTAAAAACTCCCATGAAGAGAGCTCCTCTGTAATCAGCACCATTTAGAAGCTATTAAGGAAGACAGAAGCCTACAGCTTCATAGACATTTGGTATGAGGTTTTGTTTCATTTTGTTTCATTTTTAATACAATACTACTTCTAAAGAAGGATCTGAAAGTTTCATAATGGAGTTATTTTACCCTTCATCATCAAAAACAATTACCCTGAAACAATAAATCATAAACCATGCTACTGGAAACTTTCCCAACTCCAAACTAATAGAAGTGGCTTCTGGGTGTGAAATCTGGATTGACTCCTCTATGAAATTCAGGTGTGCATGTGTCTTTATAGCAGCATGATTTATAATTCTTTGGGTATATACCCAGTAACGGGAGGGCTGGGTCAAATGGTATTTCTAGTTCTAGATCCTTGCACATGTACCCTAGAACTTAAAGTATAATTTAAAAAAAAGAAAAGAAATTCAGGTGGACTCACTCACTCCTCCCTGGGCACAGGCAGTCATCCCTCGCTCAGTTCCTTGGATGGCCTCATTCTTCTGTGGATCCTTCTTTCTTGGCCCTCTCTTCCATGGACTCATCAGTCACTTTTTCCCTTCTACTCTCCTTACCTTTTATGGCCCAGCCTGCCCCTACTCTTATCATTACAGTTTCAGTCATTCTGTTCTATTATTGCATCACCTTTTTTGGACAGAGCTGGAAAGAGCTTCTGACATATGACAGAAGTTATATAAAGAGAACTGAAAGACAGATTCTCGTGTTAACTTCAAGTTAAAATTCTTTTATAATAGTTGTTGATGCTGTCCAGAATGGCAAATATTAACACCCCATCCTGTAGGTGTACTCCTTTTCCCTCAGCCAGAAACCTCAAGCATTTTCTTTAGTCTTTTTCTGTTCTGGTCTTAGGTCTTATGTAATATGTATATTAATAGTCATATTAATATACCTCTATATTAACTTGAATAACAGTAGTGCACATATTACTGGGTATCATATTGTTTTGATCCACCAAGTATACTTAGGGAATGAATGGATTCATAGATCCTAGGAATTGCTATAGGAATACCCATCTAACGATTTCTGTCTGATGCCAGAACATTAAGAGAAAATTGTCGTTTTTTTAATCTATTTTTCAGCATCACTCATTCTCTTACACAAATGATAGACACAAGAAAGCTACAGATCAGCCATTTCAGACTTCTTTCTTTCATTAGATGAAGAGGTTGGTTTCTGATGAGATGCTTCTTGTTTAGCTATTGAAGTGGTATGATTTTTTGAGCAGGAAAACTTTAAGATCATCTTGCATTTCAGCCTTTAAATATATTAATACTTCAATTTTTAAAATGGCAATCAAAAAGGGTTTATTTAGAGCAACTTTGTCAGAAACACGAGGCAATTTATCCAATAAGGGTTTCTCACTTCTCAAACTAGTAGAAGAAAAAAATTAAATTAAATTGAATATGTGTTCTACCCATGCCTTTGTTTTCTTGAGTATTTATTCCTTATATAGCGTAAGCCCCTCCACTATATTACTGGCATGAATTAATTTTGTTTTTCCACTTTAGGGAGCTCATTGCTGTTACTGACATCTGGCCCTTTATTTTCTGTAACAAATAATAAATTTAATATTCTTTTACTGATCATTAAGTGATTTTTTTTTCAGATGAAAGTTTTTAATGCTGGCCTAACACATGCTGTTTATTTAAGAGGTTGTTTATTTGGTTTATATAGGCTAATAAATTTTATGTAACAATGTTGTTTTTTAATAATTACAAATATAAGTTTGGCCAAAATCCAGTTTGATTAGAAAATAAGTGAATGTATTAAAATTTTTTATTTTTATAATTTTATTCTTATTATAGTAAAAATAAACATTTATATTCTTATTCTTTTATTTTATTTATTCAAGTCTACCTTAAAACATCTATAAATGTAATATGATTAGTAAATGTGGTTTCTATGATTTTTATAAAAGTGAACTTCATAAACCTTATTGTTTTTTATCAGACATGCTTTTTAAAAAGAGATAGCATAAACGGAACTTAATTTGTCAAATAAGGAGGACTAGATTGAGTATCCTCAGTTTTGTCCTTCATCAATAGGTCCAATTCATGCAAATGTTTTGAAGCAGTAATTGCAAGTTTATTGAACACAGCTCTAAGTGTGCTTAAAGTCTTCTCTACAGGAAAAGTAGGCAATTACAAATAGAAATTTCAGAATTAAACAACTTGGTCTAAAGTTATGTGTTCATGTTAAGCCAAGTATCTATGACCAGAAGATAATAACGAAACCTCTTAAAAGTATATTATTTTGATGTACTACAACTTCTGAAAGACTTCTGAAAAATGACAAAGCATTTCTAGATTTTTTAAGTAGCTTGAAGTAAATTAGATTGACCAAATACTTCCATCACATGTACTTAAGCATAGTCATACTGAAATGTTTGGAATTTGTTATTACATGTTACTTTCAACTCTCAAAACTAAGACATTTGAGAAACTTTTAGTCTTAACTTCACATGCTTTTTAAATTTCTTATTATTTAAAAAATTTTTGAGCTAAAAAAGAAAGACAAAAGTATAAATGTCTATTTATACATACCAGGGGCTATGATAAAGAAGCAGGTAAAAACTCCCTCATGTGCCCTAGACAACTGCTGCCTGAAAAGTTTGATTTTACAACGTGATTGAAGTGTATTAGTCCATTCTTACACTGCTATAAAGATACTATCCGAGTCTGAAGAATTTATAAAGGAAAGCAGTTTAATTGACTCACAGTTCCCCATGGCTGGGGAGGCCTCAGGAAACTTACAATTATGGCCGAAGGAAAAGAAGGGAGCTCTTACAGGGCAGCAAGTGAGAGAGAGGATGTGACAGCGCAGGAAAAATGACCATTTTTAAAATCATCAGATCTCCTGAAAATTCACTCATATCATGAGAACAGCATGGGGGAAACCGCCCCCATAATCCAATCACTTCCCCACAGGTCTCTTCCTTAACACCTGGGGATTACAATTCACGATGAGTTTTGGATGGGGACACAAAGCCTAACCATATCATGAAGTTTTTCTTCACTAAGCAAGATAAAATAAATAGTGAACCAAAGTAAATAGGGTTGTGTTTCTCAAGAAGTTGTCTTAATACTAAATAAGCTAATGAAAATTAGAACTGACATCGCACATGACCTTGTTGGGTGGACAAGCCAAAGCTAGTAGGGGGATAGGACTGGGAAATGCTATAAAAAGACTTAGTTATGGACACAGGAATGGGCAGAAGGCTTACTCAACACACGGGTTTGTTCACAGGACTTGATTCCCCACTTCTGAGAATACACTGAGCATGGGAATGTGATTTGAAAGATGCTAATGCATGGTCTGAAAAGAATTATTTGCACTGTATGTATTGTCACCCTCATTTATCTAGAGGGAATATGCCCCAATTATGAGAGCATTTCATTATGATTCCAAGGCGGACACTTAGGGGAAATTGGGGGTTTAGCTCACTTCCTTTTCTGAAGACCCTGGTCACATCATTATGCCTCTTTCCTTTCATCTCTCATTTTTGGGCTTTTTTTTTTTTTTTTTTTTTTTTACAGGCACTCCACCATGAGCTAAAATACAGTTTCTTATTTAATGCCACACAAAAATTTATGTGGTAGATACTATTGTAATCCTCACATAGAGAAAGAAAGTCAAATTAGAAAGGTTACATAATTCACCCAAATTTACCTGGATAGTACATTTCGAGGGGACAATTTAGTCCCCAGACTGCTTGATTTGAGTTCATGCTCTTAACGAGTACTCATTTAGTCCTCATAATTCATCCTCAAAGGAGGTCAAATTTATCCTAGATTTGAAGATGAGAGGACTAAGACTGCAGGAAGATAAGTGACTTGCCTGAGTTAGTAGAATTTAGAGGTTATGTAGAGAGCAGCACTTTCCCCCTCCTTTACTTCCTGCCAGTCTTTTTTTGGTCTCTCATTTTTTGTGACATTGATTGAACTACTCACTGACACTCACTGACTCCTTCACATTCAGTGACTGTTTAGAAATATCTTTTCAGGAGAAAATAAAAATATAGCAAAAGTTTTAAAAACTGTCTTCATTGTGTCACTGTCCATGTTCATCTTATTTTACAAGTTGCTCAAACTTAGTCCTCAATTTTGACCAATTATTTTATGTCTCATATTTCTTCAACCTTGGTGGGCTATCTTTCTATTTTATGGATTTCTGATGTCTTAGGATGAAATCCTTCGATGTTGGCTTTTTCATATGTGACACAGCATTTTTGTATATCCACTTAATCCACTTAAATACTTTACCAACTTTATATCTTCATAATCCTATTTTGGTCACTTACTTGTGAGTTTGGTTTTGTACCAGAATTCTTACTTGAAAGTAATCACTTTGGTTTATTTAATCTAAAAAGGAAGTAACTGAAAAAATATAGGGTAGTTTCTAGAAACTCTGGGATAGCAGTATACCTCTGGGACCACTCAGAAAAATTAAGAGGCTATTCAACTAGACCCAGAGCCGAAGGCACTGCTGCTGCTGCCACAGAGCACAGGACATTGACAGCCCCCAGGATGCAAAATGACTATGATCACAGCAATTGCAAAGATTGGGGAGTTGGAGAGAACATAGCCAAACCCAGAATAATTCTCTGTTCCTATGAGGAATGCACAATATTCAATGAAACCCACAGAACATGTCATGATGTCATCATAGTCACCAGGGAGCGGTCAGCAAACTTTTTTTGTAAAGATAAGATAATATTTTAAGCTTTGCAGGCCATATAGTCTTTGTTACAACTATTCTACTCTGCCTCTGGAGTATGAAAATAGCCACATAAAATACATAAATGAATGGGTGTAGTATGTACCAATAAAACTTTATTTTTGTAGACTGAAATTTGAACACTGAAAAAGTAACAAAACTTTTATATGCCACAAAATAGTCTATTTTTTTTCCAGCTGTTAAAAAAACAGGCAGTGGGCCAGATTTAGCCTGCAGGCTGTAGTTTGCCAACCACTGCATTAGATCATTAAGATTACTCATCATAGTGCGGACCTTCTAATGCATTTACATAAAATACAAATATCCACACACCTCAGGCTCAAAATTCTGTGTAGATAATGGTCCAAACTTGCCCCTTCCAAGTTTGTGATCAATCCACAAAAACCATTAGGTGTACAGATACTTCCTTCAGGTTAGCTTTATTTTTAAATATTTTGGAATTTTCTTTTTCTTTAAACAATTAGTGTTTAATTTATGAGTAATAAGTTTAAAAAGGAGATATTTCAACTACTAAAGTCAGTCAGAAAATTATTTTTTCTTTTGTTTACAAGTGAAGTGATTTTAAAAATTACTTTCAAGGGAGTTTGGTTCTATCTTATAACCTTAAAAGAAAAAAAAAAACACCCTCAAGTGTTTCACAGCACATCACATTTAAATGAATTTGGCCATCCAGGAAGAACACAGACATCATATCAGTTAATTGAAGTTATTTACAATCAGACTTCAGTTGAGTGTAAGACCCAGAGCTACCAACATGCATAGTTAGAATTTTCAATGAGCCATTTTTAAAATAATTACTCTATTTTCAGCCACTACACTCAAAGGTGACTACTCCATCACCTTATCTGATTACCAAAGTATGCAGCGCCCACCTAGTTTGATCAGCGAAATGCAATTTTTAAAAATCTGTTGTTCTTAAAATGGGGGCGTATATTTACCAATTTATCATTAATGACCCTTGAAGGTGTGAGAGGATCCAAAGGTTTATTTTCCACCTAATGGCAAAGATTTTTGAATATTATGAAATGTTACATTTTTCATATAGCAGTTGTTGATAAGAATAAGTACTATGATATTCCAGCTGAATTTTGGGTAGCTCACATGGGTTAATCTGACATGTGGATATAATCCTAAAGTCATTCTATTAAAGCCAGCTGAGATGAATAGTGAGCTGGTTGCTCTGAGGCCTGCTCTAGGTGTATCTTTTTCTTTTCATTCTTTACAGTAACCTATGGCTGGTGCCAATGTATCGCATGGTGGTATCTGTGATTCCGACTCAGTTTCTTCCTCACCTCAGTAAAATGGTCATAGGGAATGACCTATGAAGCCACAGCTGTTCACTGAGAGAGAGTCAATAGTGTGGAAGGATAGATATTTGAAAGATCCTGCTGATGTAAACTGCTTACACTTACTGGTGCTCTACAGTAGAAATGCTAGATGTAATCAAGTTAATGGCTAAGTGGATGTAGCATGATGAGTCAGTCACAAGTTTATCTTCTGTCTTATAGTTGATCCTTATGTGAAGTCCCAAGCCAAGGTATATCTCTGTGAAGCAGAATATTTATTTACCCAAAAAAGTTTGGCATTATTTCAAAAAACTTGGAGCTTTCTCTGTGATTTTCTAATTGTGTTTTCCACAGACTCCATACAACATCACCAATCATCCACAGAGCTTTCAACTATCATAAGATCCAGTGAGTCATAGCAAATAAGTTGTCACAGCTTGTAGTACAGCCTAGATCCATTAAAGAGCCTTCTGGCCAAAAAGCTAGCAGCATTTTCAGGTACCAGGTAAATGAGTACAAGTCATGCTCAAAGCAAATGGGCACTGCAACCAAAGTCAAAGATATCTACTTAATGTTTTTTTCTCTTCTTAGAAGCAGAATTGATTACTCACTTTTGTGGTGATATCCCTATATGCCCCATTATACTGAGCAGCAGAAACTTTACTGAAATATATCTTACCAAGGCAAATTTATTCCCGCTACTTCCTGCTCTCTAGTTCCCATGATCAGTATATTATTAAAATAATCAACCAGTATTGTGTCTTGTGGGATAGTGAAATTGTCAATGTCATTGCAGACTAAATTGTGGCACAGAAGATGATAGTTGTGATTTAAGACATAATAGTGAAAGTGTGTTGCTGTTCTTATTGGGTGAAAGAAATTATTTTCAAAGTTCAAGTCCTACTGTAATAGAGAAAAAAAAGGTGACATCAATTGTTTCATTTAAGGTGTCTAACATGGTACTGATTTGTTTCACCAAGAATACCACATTTGGAACTGGATCTACACTTAAAGTCACCACCAAATTAGGTTTGAAATAATCCATCATCATTTTCCATGTCTCATTTGTCTTCTGTAATCAGCAAACTGGAGAATTAAATGGTAATATGATACATATAATCATATCTGAATCTTTCAAGCCTTTGACAATTACACTAAGATTTGCCATTCCCTCAGGAATGTAGTATTGCTTTCTCATTTATTACCTTGATAAAGGGGGAAATCTAGGGACTTCCAAGACCTTCTAACCCAATAGTCTTTATTTTATTTACCTATGCAGTCAATGTGATGATACTTATTTTGTCACTTTGGAATGACATTTATTATGTATTTATTTATATCATATACTCAAATACTGAGAGAATGATCATAGGATTATTTGAGAAAATAATGAAATGATTCACAGTATGTATTTGTAATGTTATTGTAAGAACTTTTCTAAAAAATACCTGCACACCCCTTTCTTCAAGTACTATGAATCTATAAAGAAACTCAGGGCTTAAAATCAGGAAAACAGCCTTGGATTATAAGCATGATGACTTAAGACACTTGTCTTTTCCCACAGTTGGGAATTAAATAAGAACTTAACATATTGTATATATACTGTAATCCTAGGCGTCCCAGATAGTCAAGGTCAATTATTACATTAGTTTGGGCCTCCTTATTATCATACATGTTCTGCTGAGCATTATGTTAATTATGAGTGAATAATGATAGGGAAGCTCTAGAAGTATGCAGAAGTGAGCTTAATTATATTTTAAGATGGAAAATTTGCAAAGATATTTATAAAACTGAAGCAATATTCATCTCAAAAAAATAAAAAGAAAATATTATATTTGAATAACAAGAATATTAGAATGTAGTAAAAATATATAAATCATTAAACATCAATAAATGGGGGATCTAATTTGTGGATATGAGATTGGGTATTGCTCTCTTCATTAATAATACGACCAGAATGGATTTGCTATTGTTCTTTATTCTTTGCATCAATAGCTGCTAATCTAAAATCCTGGATGATTCCTTCTAAGTGATTAAAGCTAGGTTAAAGTTCTTGCCCATGTTGCAAAGGATCTGGAGGGGGCAGGGCACAGGAGGAGTTAGGGGGATAGCGGGGAAGTACTGAGAGGACTTGAGAATTAAAGTATCTTTCTTTTTGTTATAATGGGTAGCAGCCTGTTTTTTCCTACAACAAACTTCTAGAATGTAAGTTCAATGAAGGCAGTGACTTCACCGCTGCATACACAGTCTAATATTCACACATAGAGTTAGCACTCCACATATACATGATTAATTTGTAAGTGAATGAATGACAATAACTGCCTAAATATATTAAGGATTTTCAGATGCAGGAAAGCATAACAATGATAACTGTCACACACTGTTTTCAATTTTGTTATTTTCTCTACATTAAACAGTCTTCTTGATTCTTCTGAATTTATCTGTACTCCTACCCCAATTACCATTTTCCTTGCCCACCTTGATTTAGTTTAGCAGCCAAAAAAATATGGACTGGATATTTTGGCATAATAAATTTATAAAGACTCCCAGCTGTAGAGATTACAGTGTATATAAGGCATCTACTTATCTGATTTTTTAAAATAAAAAATAAATGATATTTTATAATTTTTAAGTAGAAAATGTTCCTCCTAGATATCACTCCTAGTCTTCAATGAATAAGCATGAATGAAATAATAAAATAATATTTCAATATATAGCATACAAACATTTTGGTGCATTTATTTTTCTACAAATTACAAACAATTTAATCAACTATTACTTGCTTAGAGACCATCAATTACATGAATATGTCTCAAATTTGCATTATGTTTAAGCAGTTAAATCTTTTTGTATGTTTTATTTTATGTTCTTATTCATTATGTTTTAAAACCAAAAAAGAATACAAAAACAATTTAAATAATGTAGAAAAAAGACATATTAAATATTAGAAAATTTTAAATAAAATAATGTCATAATCCAGCTGAGAACTTTGAGATATTGTATAACAAATATTCAGTGGTTAGTCCTGAACTATCACTGAGTTTTTAGCATTGTCACTATTATACTACTCAATTCAACAATGCAAGTTATCCCTGCACTATGTTTGCCAAGATAATAAAGGCTACCCATCCCACCTACATAAGTTAGGAAGAGTAAAGAAAACAGCACATATTTTACATCATTTGTTTCTATTTAATCACAAAGAAGAAGGAAGAATGACAGAAGCAAGCTGAAAACAACTTGATTTCACAAGACAGCTATAACAATATCATATTAGGTAAGCGTAAATATAAAGTGATGGTATAAGTTATTCTGTGTACTTATCTACTCAGCCAGTTCAACAAAAAGAGACACATCAATCCCCAACAGTTTTTCTGATGGCACAGTAACCACTTTTTAAATCATTTGCTCAATAGGTAGGAGTTGTTGGATAGGGATGGATTTTGCTTGTCTGCTTGAGATCTTGCACCAATATCTCCTCCTCACAGAAATACAGTGAGATGCTAACCTGAGTCTCAGCTTCTGGAAGCAGAAATAGAGGGTCGGGAAGAACAAAGCTTAGTTACAATTAGTGAAATCTCTCTCTTCGTTCTTGTGGAAATATTCTTTCCCCTAAACTTCTGGACATTATTATTTGCATGAACTTTTAGTAACAGGCAAAATAGAAAACCAACATTCCCCATTGTATGCATTTTTTAAAAAGCATAATATGAAATTGTTCCTAAACTACTACAATAATAACAAATAGCTAATATTTATTTACTATGAATGTTTTCAGTGCCAAGTCTTTGACCAGGGCTTTCCCACCTAATCCTCACAATAGCAGTAGTTAAATGATTAACTATATTTCCCATCATATAAAAACTGAAAATCAAGGTTGAAACAGTGCCTAATGCCACACAACTAGTAACTGATAAATCTGAGTTTCAAATACAGTCATTCCAGCTCTCAAGCTATTTCTATTTGGAAATCTAACTTTTGAAAGTATAATGTAAAACTTTATCTTAATTATGATATTGTAATTATATCTATGAAATCATTGAACTTTACTATGTGTGGGACAATATGATAAATGCTTTACACAGATTGTCTTATTTAATTATTAAACAAAGCTGTGATGTCATTGTCACCATTTTATGGATGAAGTAACTGAATGAACACTTTGAAAAGTGAATGACCCAAACACAAACAAGTGAAATTAGTTGATGCTCATTAAATCAGTTGAAGCACCTAATGAAGAACAAGAGAATCCCCTTTTCTAAGAAGAGTGAAGAAAATGCAGTGGGAAGGTGAGGAGTCTGACCTATGCAGGGAAAATCAGGAGAAAGGCAAGAGCCTAGAAAATGGCAAGGATAAATTTTGTCTCATGACATGTCAAAACATGACAATTTTGTCTTACTCCAGCCTGTGCCTGGTGCCTGGTAATGCCAAATGCCTTTAGCACCGATTAGATTACTAGCCAATGTTCTATTCTTTTTTTTTTTTGAGACAGGGGCTGTCTCTGTCACCTAAGCTGGAGTGCAGTAGTGCAATCACGGCTCACTGCAGGCCTGAGCGATCCTCCTACCTCACCTCCCTAGTAGATGGGACCACAGGCACACACCACTACATCTGGCTAACTTTTTAATTTTTTTGTTGAGACGAGGTCTTACTTTGTTGACCCAGCTGGTCTTGAACTCCTGGGCTCAAGCCATCCTCCTGCCTCAGCCTCCCAAAGAGCTGGGATTACAGGCCTGAGCCATTACACAGGCCCAGCCTATGCTCTATTCTATGAGTTACTGAAGATCATTGATATCCAAACACGTTTCTTTTTCTGTTTTAAAAGAAAAAGCACAGTGGCTTTTTATTAAGCTGTGTTGAGGGGATCCAGAGTTCATGTGTAATCCTTTATTATTTCTGAGGGCTAATAACATATTTTCTAAAAGATAACATTTATGAGAGGTATTTGAATATGAATGACACATATTATCTATAGCACTCTGTTATTGCTGCCTGTGTTCAGTCAACAAATATAACATATTTCTTAAGATACAATGAATTCTCACTTCAAAATAATAACTAGCATCTGAAATGGACTTTTCTAACCCTATGATAACCCTTTGACATGTGTAGCATTATTATCAAACTTTTATAAATGAGGCAGTGGTATCTGAGAGTAACTTGCTCGGTATTAGAAAAATATTAAGTGGCAAAGCAAGGACTTGCGCCCTTTTCTTAGAAGACCCCATGCTTTATGCATGGCATGATCCAGCTCACTGCAGAGAGGAGAGGTTGGACTCAAACAAATAAATGCTGAACTCTCTGTCACAGTACATGTCCAAATGCAGGCAGAAAAACTCCCTGGCAGAGAGCTGTATGGACTGTAGCTGTAGATGAATTCAATAGTTTCTAAAATGTCTTTGTGAATCATAACTATCTCAGTGTCAGCTAAATGTTCTGTGTCTTTGTGACTCTTGTGTCATGAGATTGAAAACTCAATTGTAATGCATCTTTATGTAAAAAAAAAAAAAAAAAAAAAAAAGTGGTTTGGCCGGGCACGGTGGCTCACGCCTGTAATCCCAGCACTTTGGGAAGCCGAGGCAGGCGGATCACGAGGTCAGGAGATCGAGACCATCCTGGCTAACATGGTGAAACCCCCGTCTCTACTAAAAAATACAAAAAATTAGCCTGGCATGGTGGCGGGCGCCTGTAGTCCCAGCTACTCGGGAGGCTGAGGCAGGAGAATGGCGTAAACCTGGGAGGCGGAGCTTGCAGTGAGCCGAAATCGCGCCACTGCACTCCAGCCTGGGCGACAGAGCGAGACTCCGTTTTGGAAAAAAAAAAAAAAAAAAAGTGGTTTACATTATGCTATCACATTTTAGAGTTTTTAATGAACTTTTACATTCACAATGCCATTTTGTTTTTGCCACAACCCTGTGCAGTAGAGAAGACAACTGTTTCAATTTTTTCATAATAAAGTAATAACAATCCCTGCAAGGAGGGGAGTGACTTGGCCAGATTTCCATAATTAAAATCCATAGAATTGAGTTAGGCTTTAGGTCTTTCCTCTGTATTTTCTGCCTGTGTGATTTGTACCTGCTACATTCACCTTTCCCTCGCTTACTTTTGCCAGGAATAGAAGAAAAATGTCTTTAAAAGCTACATTTCCCTCTACATGTCCAGCGTCTATTAAGTGTCATTTTGTTATCTCTAATTTTTTACATGCTCTAAAGCAGAAAAATGCAAACATTAGCTAGGTAATGAACTGTTTTATCTCTGTTGCTATATAGTCTATGTTCTATTTGCCTCCTTTTAAATTTGCTGCTTCAGTGCTTTGTGGAGAAACCTGGTCTTAATCTATAAGAGCAGGCTGCCAGCATTTAGTTGGAAAACAATTTGCTTCAGCCTTTGCATGGCTAGTGTTTTATTTCTGAAATGGTATTGATGTAACACTTATACCATGTTGATAACTCAACTGCACTGACAAGAGAAGTTAACCAAGGAAAGAAAGGACAGCCAAGAGTGTTGGAGGCACGGCTGTCTAATCAGGTGCTATGACAGAACAAGCTGGAAGCTTTGCAGAATGGAAGGCTCTATAGAGAAGCAGCTTGCATAGGATGGGGGAACATCTGTAGCTCTGTGGCCTTTATCGCCTTTGATATATTGCCATATTCTCCTATACACTCTGTGATATGCCCCTTGGGGTTAAAAAGACATAAGGGCCCTAGATAGGGGCAAAGCTATTTCTATATTATTGAAACTTTCTTTCTCTCAGAGGAGAAAATCTGTTTACTTTATTGTTCCAAGAAAGGACATAAACACACATGAACACAACCTGATTCTTACCTCCTCACGGCACACATAAGCTTCTAATCCTCTTAGCTCTACCCACTTCTTTCAATATACCTATATGCCAGCTCTACGGTGTGGTGCAATGCCATTCTAAGTTAATGAGGGGCAAAGAGTCTCCCCGCTTTTTTTTTACACAAATGAAATCACCATTAAGCACTCAAAATTGTAATTTAGCAGATGCCTGGAAACTGCAGTTGGTAATAAAGGTAAACATATGGGCAGTTGCCTCCAGGGATGTAAAGCTTCAGATGCTGTGGGGAGCCTTGAAAGCAGAACAAATGCTGTGCACAGTAGAGAGACCCTGAGTTGTCCCAGGCTCATGTTGAGTCATGCTTTTCTGAGGCTGTTATGTTTCCTGTAGTTTAATATTTTACCAACAAATAACCTTATGGACAGGACAGCAGCAGAGCCTAAGATAAATAAAAAGAAGAAACATTAAAGCTAAGTAGAAGTATGTGCCATTTTGAATACTTTAAACAAAGCAAACCAGAAAACCCAACTCTAAAAGGCTAATAAATGAGGACAGGCATTATTTCACTGAATTGGAAATTCAGAAGTAGAACAGTCTCCAAAAGCACAGCAATCAGTGGCATCATTCTGTCTCTCTGCTCTGACTGCCGCAGCACCAGCTTTGTCCCAAGGCTTCAGAATCTCCTTCCAGCTCCTCCTCTTCCATGGTGGCAATATAATCTCTGTGGCAATCAGCGAATAAAATAAAGCAAAAAAAATGTGTCATCCTCACTGAAGAGCAAAGCATTGCTTAACTGTAGACAACTTCATTTGCAATTAGTTAATTCAAAGGAACATAGAAAACAATAGGTTCCTACCATGGCCTTGCAGGTGGGAAAATAAGTTTTGGAGGACATTTACTCTGTGCAAGCACATTACTTACAGTTCATTAATTAAAATTTTTAGTAACTTAGCAAAATACATATTATTAACCCAGATGATATAGATGAGACAACTGAGGTAAAAAATAGAATTAATAACTGGTCACAGATATAATAGCACCATGAGAAACATTTTCAATCTCAATAGTTTGGATGGAATTAATCAAACACTACAAAGAAAAGAAACCTATTCTTGTCTTTAAAAAAGATTCATTTAATTAAGGCTACCAAAGACCCCTTATTGGTATATACAAGTTAGGAAAAAAAGATAGGTTTTTAGTAATGAGCCAAACTCAAGGAGGGATAATTTAAGCTGGGAACTAAAGAATGGGTGGGATTAGGATTGGCAGATATAGAATGAAGGGCACCTGAAGGTACACATTAGCTCAATCAAAGTCACCAAGTGAGAAAGTAGAGATCAGGTTTTGTAAATGAATAGTAATCTGGTCTGTTAAAATACAGGACAATTACAATGAGCCAGACATTTCTTATGCTTTACTTCTAGTCTATCAACTCTTACTTTGGTAACAACTGCAGCAACTAGCTCCATGTACTTTTAGCCATCAGAGGACAGCCTCTTATAAGTGTAAATCAAATATGCCTGCCAAGGTATCTACTGTGAGCCTCTTTCTTTCTGTTTGTGGCTTCTTAGAGATATGGGAATGGAATAACTGCAGGAACCCTAAATACACAGAAGCCCTTGGCACACAGATGCTTACAACACAGAGGTATAGAAGAGTTAACCAGTACAGCAATCCTTCAATTAAGCACTAAAGATGATGACTAAATGCTTATCCTATTCATTCTTCCAGTTCATGGATTTTAGCTACATGCTATAAAGTTTCTCATGATTATAGAACTCCTATAATCATGTGGTCATGATCTCCAACTCTAATCTGCTTTCTGCTTTCATCCTATTTCAGAATTTACGTATTTATTTCTCCTACTAATTGTTTGAGACATAACAGTTTTTAAATATTTTGGAAAGAATAAAAAAAGCAAAAGCAAGAAAAATGGTGATGTCATTTAGAGAATAGAAATAAGCTAGAGGAATATTGAAGAGAAAATAATGGGTTTGTTTATAGACTTACTAAGTTTAAAATGTGAGAAGTTTATTCAAATAAAGCTGATAATGCAAATGCAGATTTCTATTCATACTAGAATTTAAGAGAGAAACAAATATGTGACAGTATCACTGAAAAACAGGTGATGTGATAACACAGCATCTAATCATTAGTAGAAGATTATATAGAGAGAAGGCCCCCAAAATCTGAAATAAGGCAAATAATCCTCAGAGTATTGAGAAGATCTAGAACTGCATTACATTGGTTTTCAAGAGGGAGACAGTAATCAACAGGTACAAATGTTAAATAAAATCAAATACAGAAGGATTACAAATATCTTCTAATTAAAGATTAAAATGACTCTAATGATGCAAGAGTACAATTTAAGTGATAGAAAAATTACTTATATTACAAAATTTTACAGAGTTAGACAAAAATAAGAAAGTAGAACTATATAAATACTGGTCTTTTAAAAGTTTATCACTGAATGCATAGAAATATGGCAAATCAAGGGACAGCAGTTTTGTGACTCTAGAAAACAAGCCTGTTTGACATCTGATATGGTTTGACTGTGTCCACACCCAAATCTCATCTTGAATTGTAGTTTCCATAATCCCCTCTGTCTTGGGAGGGACCTGGTGGGAGGTAATTGAATCATGGGAGCTATTACTCTTATGCTATTCTCATGATATTGAATGAGTTCTCATGAGATCTGATGGTTTCATAAGGGGCTTTTCCCCCTTTTTCTCAGCACTTCTCCTTCCTGCCATCATGTGAAAAAGGATGTGTTTTCTTCTCCTTTCCCCACAATTGTAAGTTTCCCAAGGCCTCCCCAGCTATGTGTAACTGTGAAGCCATTAAACTTCTTTCTTTTATAAATTACCCAGTCTCAGACAATTCTTTATAGCAACATGAGAATGGACTAATAATACATCAAAGGAGAAAGATTTAAAATAAATGAAAAAAAATCACAGATTCAAGCAACAGACAAAGCTAACATTAGGCTATGTTCCAAAATGAACTGGATGATGAGTAGCTCTCAACACAGAAATGGGTATGGAAGGTCAAACATGAGAAAGTCCTGCAGATAAAAAGAGTAGAAAAAGGGACAAAATATGTAAGCAAATTGTTTATTGGGAAAAGAAAATACAAATGGTTTTTAATCATATTCAAAGTTATAAAGCCTAAATTATATGAGAAAGGAAAATGCAATGTGCATTGAAATACCAAATATCCATTATTGGCATGCAAAGATCAAAATATAAAATGTGAAGGAAAACAGGTACCTTCATATGCCTCACATATTATAAATCATATTCTTCATGGTTGTAAATTGTAATGTATTATATACTTTAAAATAATATTTGGAAATATTTTAACAGTAATTCTCCTTTTAATAATCCATCTTAAATATACACCATCATAAACACTCAAATTATATATATCTATATCTACCATATATATTTACATAGAGAGAGTAGTTTATTGAACATTGCTTGTAGTAGCAAATACATAGAAAATTAATAAATCAGTTATGGCACAACTATGCTAAGTATTCCATGGCAGCTCTTACAAAAATTTATTAATAGGGCATGACTACCAAGAGACATTATTGAATGAAAGCAATTCCAGATGTATGAAATGTGCTATTTTTCACAGAGATGCATTTGTGTATATAAACCAATGAGCCTAAAATATCCCTGAAAGAACATGCAGTCTGCCTACATTTTTCTATGTTGATGGAATTTGGAGAAAAGGCTTAGTTTCACCATACGCCCTTTTGTACTCTTGGAATTATAACCACATAATATCAATTAAGTTTTGCACTGGATAGAAATTATAACGAGAGGCCACAATGTGTTTGTTTCCTGTTGGTTGGTTGGTTGGCTGATTTTTAAAGCACAGACTTTAAGGAAATGAAAAGTTATTGACAAAAGGATCTAAGAATGCAGAAAACACTGAGCTCGCCTTTAACATCTTATTGTAAAGATTACAAAGAAATGTAAGGAATACTTATAAGACCAAAAAAATTAAGGAAGCTAAAAAATACAAATTAAAGATACTATAGCTATGAACATTAATCCAGTTTAAGTACTAGTTCATTTTTGACAGATACTTATTCATTCTAATTGTTGTCTTTTAAAATTTTTTTCAAAATCACTTACAATTTACCATACTCACTTTTATCTTTCTTTCTTTCTTTCTTTTTTTTTTTTTTTGAGACCAAGTCTCTCACTGTCGCCCTGGCTGGAGTGCAGTGGCGTGATCTTGGCTCAGTGCATCCTCTGCCTCCCAGTTCAACCGATTCTCCTGCCTCAACCTCCTGAGTAGCTGGGATTGCAGGCGCCTGCCACCACGCCTGGCTAATTTTCAGTATTTTTAGTAGAGACGGGGTTTCACTATGTTGGCCAGGCTGGTCTCGAACTCCTGACCTCGTGATCCACCTGCCTCGGCCTCCCAAAGTGCTGCGATTATAGGCATGAGCCACCACGCCCGGCCCCTATAGTCACTATTTTCTACAACAAATCTCTTAAAGATATTCCTCCTATCTAACTGAAATTTTGTATCCTTTAACCATCTCCCAGCCCCGGTTAAGGACGATTCTATCCTCTACTCCTCTAAGTTTGACTTATTTAGATTCCACATATAATTGAGATCATGCAGTGTTTGTCTTTCCGTGCATGGCTTACTTTACTTAACATAATGTTCTCTAGCTTCATCCATGTTATCTCAAATGACAGAATTTCATTCCTTTTTAAGGCTAATTCATATTGCATTGTGTATCTGTACCACATTTTCTTTATTTATTCATCAATTTATGGACACTTTGACTGATTGATTCCATATATTGGCTATTGTGAATAATGCTGCAACAAGCATAGGAGTGAAGATATCTTTCAAAATACTGATTTTATTTCCTTTGGATAAACAGTAGTGAAATCGCTGAATCACATGGCAGTTTCATTATTAATATTTTGAAAAGCCTCCAGATTTTCATAATGGCTGTACTAGTTTACATCGCCACCAACAATGTGCAAGGGTTCCCTTTTCTCCACATCTTTACAAAAACTTTTAACTTTTTGATAAAAGCCAGTCTGCTAGGTGTGAGGTGATATTTCATTGTGGTTTTAATTTGCATTTCTTTGATGATAAGTGATATTGAGTATTTTTTCATATACCTAACAAATTTGTATGTATTGTATTCGGTGCATATATATTTAGGATAGTTAGCTCTTCTTGTTGAATTGATCCCTTTACCATTATGTAATGGCCTTCTTTGTCTCTTGATCTTTGCTGGTTTAAAGTCTGTTTTATCAGAGACTAGGATTGCAACCCCTGCCTTTTTTTGTTTTCCATTTGCTTGGTAGATCTTCCTCCATCCTTTTATTTTGAGCCTATGTGTGTCTCTGCATGTGAGATGGGTTTCCTGAATACAGCACACTGATGGGTCTTAACTCTTTATCCAATTTGCCAGTCTGTGTCTTTTAATTGTAGCATTTAGTCCATTTACATTTAAAGTTAATATTGTTATGTGTGAATTTGATCCTGTCATTATGATGATAGCTGGTTATTTTGCTCATTAGTTGATGCAATTTCTTCCTAGTCTCGATGGTCTTTACATTTTGGCATGATTTTGCAGTGGCTGGTACCGGTTGTTCCTTTCCATGTTTAGTGCTTCCTTCAGGAGCTCTTTTAGGACAGGCCTGGTGGTGACAAAATCTCTCAGCATTTGCTTGTCTGTAAAGTATTTTATTTCTCCTTCACTTATGAAGCTTAGTTTGGCTGGATATGAAGTTCTGGGTTGAAAATTCTTTTCTTTAAGAATGTTGAATATTGGCCCCCACTCTCTTCTGGCTTGTAGAGTTTCTGCCGAGAGATCCCCTGTTAGTCTGATGGGCTTCCCTTTGTGGGTAACCCGACCTTTCTCTCTGGCTGCCCTTAACATTTTTTCCTTCATTTCAACTTTGGTGAATCTGACAATTATGTGTCTTGGAGTTGCTCTTCTCGAGGAGTATCTTTGTGGCGTTCTCTGTATTTCCTGAATCTGAATGTTGGCCTGCCTTGCTAGATTGGGGAAGTTCTCCTGGATAATATCCTGCAGAGTGTTTTCCAACTTGGTTCCATTCTCCCCGTCACTTTCAGGTACACCAATCAGACGTAGATTTCGTCTTTTCGCATAGTCCCATATTTCTTGGAGGCTTTGCTCATTTCTTTTTATTCTTTTTTCTCTAAACTTCCCTTCTCCCTTCATTTCATTCATTTCATCTTCCATCACTGATACCCTTTCTCCAGTTGATCGCTTTGGCTCCTGAGGCTTCTGCATTCTTCACGTAGTTCTCGAGCCTTGGTTTTCAGCTCCATCAGCTCCTTTAAGCACTTCTCTGTATTGGTTATTCTAGTTATACATTCTTCTAAATTTTTTTCAAAGTTTTCAACTTCTTTGCCTTTGGTTTGAATTTCCTCCGGTAGCTCGGAGTAGTTTGATCGTCTGAAGCCTTCTTCTCTCTGCTCGTCAAAGTCATTCTCCGTCCAGCTTTGTTCCGTTGCTGGTGAGGAACTGCGTTCCTTTGGAGGAGGAGAGGCGCTCTGCTTTTTAGAGTTTCCAGTTTATCTGCTCTGTTTTTTCCCCATCTTTGTGGTTGTATCTACTTTTGGTCTTTGATGATGGTGATGTACAGATGGGTTTTTGGTGTGGATGTCCTTTCTGTTTGTTAGTTTTCCTTCTAACAGACAAGACCCTCAGCTGCAGGTCTGTTGGAGATTCATAAAGCAAGTCCTGAGTGACCTACAAAGAGACTTAGACTCCCACACAATAATAATGGGAGACTTTAACACCCCACTGTCAACATTAGACAGATCAACAAGACAGAAAGTTAACAAGGATACTCAAGAATTGAACTCAGCTCTGCACCAAGCAGACCTAATAGACATCTACAGAACTCTCCACCCCAAATCAACAGAATATACATTTTTTTCAGCACCACACCACACCTATTCCAAAATTGACCACATACTGGGAAGTAAAGCTCTCCTCAGCAAATGTAAAAGAACAGAAATTATAACAAACTCTCTTTCAGACCACAGTGCAATCAAACTAGAACTCAGGATTAAGAAACTCACTCAAAACCGCTCAACTACATGGAAAGTGAACAACCTGCTCCTGAATGACTACTAGGTACATAACAAAATGAAGGCAGAAATAAACATGTTCTTTGAAACCAACGAAAACAAAAACACAACATACCAGAATCTCTGGGACACACTCAAAGCAGTGTGTAGAGGGAAATTTATAGCACTAAATGCCCACAAGAGAAAGCAGGAAAGATCCAAAATTGACACCCTACCATCACAATTAAAAGAACTAGAAAAGCAAGAGCAAACACATTCAAAAGCTAGCAGAAGGCAAGAAATAACTAAAATCAGAGCAGAACTCAAGGAAATAGAGACACAAAAAACCCTTCAAAAAATTAATGAATCCAGGAGCTGGTTTTTTGAAAGGCTCAGCAAAATTGATAGACTGCTAGCAAGACTATGAAAGAAAAAAAGAGAGAAGAATCAAATAGACACAATAAAAAATGATAAAGGGGATATCACCACTGATCCCACAGAAATACAAACTACCATCAGAGAATTCTACAAACACCTCTACGCAAATAAACTAGAAAATCTAGAAGAAATGGATAAATTCCTCGACACATACACCCTCCCAAGACTAAACCAGGAAGAAGTTGAATCTCTGAATAGACCAATAACAGGATCTGAAATTGTGGCAATAATCAATAGCTTACCAACCAAAAAGAGTCCAGGACCAGATGGATTCACAGCCAAATTCTACCAGAGGTACAAGGAGGAACTGGTACCATTCCTTCTGAAACTATTTCAAACAATAGAAAAAGAGGGAATCCTCCCTCACTCATTTTATGAGGCCAGCATCATCCTGATACCAAAGCCGGGCAGAGACACAACCAAAAAAGAGAATTTTAGACCAATATCCTTGATGAACATTGATGCAAAAATCCTCAATAAAATACTGGCAAACCGAATCCAGCAGCACAACAAAAAGCTTATCCACCATGATCAAGTGGGCTTCAACTCTGGGATTCAAGGCTGGTTCAATATATGCAAATCAATAAATGTAATCCAGCATATAAACAGAGCCAAAGACAAAAACCACATGATTATCTCAATAGAAGCAGAAAAGGCCTTTGACAAAATTCAACAGCCCTTCATGCTAAAAACTCTCAATAAATTAGGTATTGATGGGATGTATCTCAAAATAATAAGAGCTATCTATGACAAACCCACAGCCAATATCATACTGAATGGGCAAAAACTGGAAGCATTCCCTTTGAAAACTGGCACAAGACAGGGATGCCCTCTCTCACCACTCCTATTCAACATAGTGTTGGAAGTTCTGGCCAGGGCAATTAGGCAGAAGGAAATAAAGGGTATTCAATTAGGAAAAGAGGAAGTCAAAGTGTCCCTGTTTGCAGACGACATGATTGTATATCTAGAAAATCCCATTGTCTCAGCCCAAAATCTCCTTAAGCTGATAAGCAACTTCAGCAAAGTCTCAGGATACAAAATCAATGTACAAAAATCACAAGCATTCTTATACACCAATAACAGACAGAGAGCCAAATCATGAGTGAACTCCCATTCACAATTGCTTCAAAGAGAATAAAATACTTAGGAATCCAACTTAAAAGGGACGTGAAGGAACTCTTCAAGGAGAACTACAAACCACTGCTCAATGAAATAAAAGAGGATACAAACAAATGGAAGAACATTCCATGCTCATGGGTAGGAAGAATCAATATCATGAAAATGGCCATACTGCCCAAGGTAATTTATAGATTCAATGCCATCCCCATCAAGCTGCCGATGACTTTCTTCACAGAATTGGAAAAAACTACTTTAAAGTTCATATGGAACCAAAAAAGAGCCCGCATCGCCAAGTCAATCCTAAGCCAAAAGAACAAAGCTGGAGGCATCACGCTACCTGCCTTCAAACTATACTACAAGCCTACAGTAAACAAAACAGCACGGTACTGGTATGAAAACAGAGATATAGATCAACAGAACAGAACAGAGCCCTCCGAAATAACGCTGTATATCTACAACTATCTGATCTTTGACAAACCTGAGAAAAACAAGCAATGGGGAAAGGATTCCCTGTTTAATAAATGGTGCTGGGAAAACTGGCTAGCCATATGTAGAAAGCTGAAACTGGATCCCTTCCTTACACCTTACACAAAAATTAATTCAAGATGGATTAAAGACTTAAATGTTAGACCTAAAACCATAAAAACCCTAGAAGAAAACCTAGGCATTACCATTCAGGACATAGGCATGGGCAAGGACTTCATGTCTAAAACACCAAAAGCAATGGCAACAAAAGCCGAAATGGACAAATGGGATCTAATTAAACTAAAGAGCTTCTGCACAGCAAAAGAAACTACCATCAGAGTGAACAGGCAACGCAAAAAATGGGAGAAAATTTTCGCAATCTACTCATCTGACAAAGGGCTAATATCCAGAATCTACAATGAACTCAAACAAATTTACAAGAAAAAAACAAATAACCCCATCAAAAAGTGGGCAAAGTATATGAACAGACACTTCTCAAAAGAAGATACTTATGCAGCGAAAAAACACATGAAAAAATGTTCATCATCACTGGCCATCAGAGAAATGCAAATCAAAACCACAATGAGATACCATCTCACACCAGTTAGAATGACAATCATTAAAAAGTCAGGAAACAACAGGTGCTGGAGAGGATGTGGAGAAATAGGAACACTTTTACACTGTTGGTGGGACCGTAAACTAGTTCAACCATTGTGGAAGTCAGTGTGGCAATTCCTCAGGGATCTAGAACTAGAAATACCATTTGACCCAGCCATCCCATTACTGGGTGTATACCCAAAGGACTATAAAATAGACTTTTTTCAAAAGAATACATACAAATGGCCAACAAATATATTTTAAAAAATGCTCAACATCACAAATTATCAGGGAAATGCAAATTAAAACCACATTAAAATATAACCTGACACATGTTACAATGGCTATTATCAAAAAGGCAAAAGATAAGAGTTCGAGAGCATATGGAGGAAAGAGAACCCTTGTGCACTATTGGTGGGAATGTAAATTAATACAGCCATTATGGAAAATAATGTGAAGGTTACCAGAAAACTAAAAATGGAATAACCACATGATCCAGTAATCCCACTTCTGGGTATATATCCAAAGTAATTGAAATCAGTATACCAAAGAAATATCTGCATTCCCATATTCATTCCAACATTATTCACAACCACTAAGATATGAAAGCATCCTAGATGTTCTTCATCGGAAGAATGGTTTAATAATAAATGTGATATATATATACACAATAGAATACTTTTTAACCTTACAAAAGGATGATATACTGTCTTTTGTGACAATGTGAAAAAACCTGGAGGACTCCTAAGCATTATGCTAAGTGAAATAAACCAGGCACAGAAAGAGAAATACTGTTGGTCTCACTTATAGGTGGAATCTAAAAAAATTGAACCCATAGAAGAGAATAAAATGATGATTACAAGAGGTGAGGGAGTTGGATGGAGAAAGAGGAGATGCTGATCAAACGGTAAGAGGTTTGAGTTAGACAGGAGGAATAAGCTTTAGTAATCTATTGAATAGAGTGGTGACTATAATAAATAATAATGGATTATAATTTCAAAATTGCTAAAAGAATATACTTTAAATGTTTTCAACACAAAAATATGATAAGTATGTGAGGTGATAGATTTGTTAAATAACCTGATTTAATCATTCCACATTGTGAACATAGATCAAAACATCACATTATACCCTATAATTATATAAAATTATTGTCAATTAAAAATAAAATTTAAACATTTTAAAATAAAAAATATTAATTTTGTCTGGCTTTGAACTTCATACAAGTGGAATCACACAATATATACTATTTTATGTTTTCATGTTTTAAAAAATTTGACCAAAATCATATATATTTATCACATACACATGCTATTTTGAAATATGTACACATTGTGGAATGGCTAACTCAAGCTAATTAAATATTTATTACTTCATTTACTTATTTTGTACAGTGAAAACACTTAAAATCTGGTGGTTTTCTAGAATATAACGCATTGTTATTAACTGTATTAATTACCTTGTAGAATAAGTTAATTTAGCTTATTCCTTCTATCTAATTGAAATGTTATCTCTTTTAACAAACATCTCCACAATCCCTCAACACCCACCGCCCCCACCCAGCAAGCCCCTAGTAACCACCATTCTTCTCTCTGCTTCTATGAGTTCAACTATTTTAGGTTCCACTTATAGGTGAGATCATGTGGTATTTGTCTTTTTGTGCTTGGTTTATTTGCCTTATTATAATGTCCTCCAGGTTCATCCATGTTGTTTGTTTTAAATAACAGCATTTCCTTAAAAAAAAAAAAAAGAAGCATACTGTGTTGTGTATATATACCATGCTTTTGTATCTTGTGTTTGCATCTTTTGCAAACATGGTATTTTTGAGATTCATTCATTGTTATTTTCCTCATAGCTACAGTATACTTATTCTATGAATATATCACAATTTATTTTACAATTGATGAAAACGTGAATGGGTTCCAATGTGCAGCTATTACAAATCAAGCTGCCACAAACATTCTTGTATATGTGTTACGTGATATGTGTATACACTTTTGTAGCTATGTATATTTAGGGATGAAATGTTTTAGTACTAAGATATGCGTAGTTTTAGAAAATACAATTTTCCAAACAGGTAGAATCAGTTTACATCATTGCAACTTTGTAGGATTTTGCTCATTTATAGTATTACCACTAGTGTATGAGATTTCCCATTGCTTCACATTTTGTTAATATTCACCATTCCCTGTTTTAATTTTTAATATATCTATTCATTATGTCCAGGTTTTTGCCATTCATTTGTGTGTGTAATGATGTTTCACTGTGGCATTTTCATGATGACTAAGGAGGTTGAATACATCTTCATATATTTATTAACTATTAATATCTAATATTCATAAAGTATCTTTTGAATTCTTTTGCTCACTTCTATTGGATTATTTGTTTTTACTTTGATTTATAACTTTGTGTATTCTAAGCCCTTTACTGGTTATGTGCCTTGGAAATATATTTCCTGTTATATGGATTATATAGAATGTTATTTAGCTATTAAAAGGAGAAAATCCTGCCATTTGTGACATGAGTGAAGCTTGAGGGCATTATGCTAAGAGATATAAGTCAGACAGAAAAAAACAAATACAGTATGATCTCACTTACATGTGGAATCAAAAAAGGTCAAACTCAGAAGCACAGTAGAAGGGCAGTTTCCAGAGGTTGGAGAGTGAGAGAAATGGGGAGATACTAGTCAAACGGTATAAACTTTCAGTTACAAGATAATAGGTTCTTGAAATGAAATTTACACATGGTGACCATAGTTAACAATACTGTGTTGTCCAACTACTTGGGAGGCTGAGGCAGGAGAATGACGTGAACCCGGGAGGCGGAGCTTGCAATGAGCCGAGATCGCGCCACCGCACTCCAGCTTGGGCGACAGAACGAGACTCTGTCTCAAAATAATAATGATAATAATAATAATAATACTGTATTGTACAATTGAACTTTACTAAAAACAGAGTTGGTGGTCTCATAAAAAAAGTATGTGAGGAGATGGATGTGTTAACTAACTTGACTGTGGTAATCATTTAAACAATATGTATGTATATCAGAAATCATATACACCTTAAATATAATTTTGTCAATTAAACTCAATAAAGTTGGAAAAATTTTAAATTTAAAATAAAATTTTATATAATAAAAAAGAATATTTTCTTATTCAATGTTTATGAAAACATTCTCCCATAAGCTATATGCTTTTAAGCAAATCATTAAAAATGGCCAACATTGAAAACTATTTGGTAATTTTTTTTCTTTCTTCCTTTGTGTGCTTTTCAGTATAATTTTCAAAACTACCATCTTTCCCATTATTTTATGTCTATAAACTTTCACATAGAAACTGATTGTATAGCAGATATTTTTATTGAATTTAGTTATTTTTTCTCAAGCTATCAGTAGAAAATAAAATTTTATTACTTTGCTTTTAAATGAATTTTGATGGCTCTATGTGAATTTCTAAAATCTGAATTTTTAAACATAGCTTAAATAATACAAGCATTCTAATTTTTTTAATTTGAGAACACAACCATTAGGAATTATTTGCCTTTTTCGGGATATTATTTCGTGATACAATTGCTTAATTTTCATTATGACATTATCACTCAGTCTTTTAAAATTAGAATTATTGCCATTATAAATGATAGGTAGGCATTACCATTTAAACAAAATTCTAGTTGGTAATAATATGGCAAAACAAATTTATGATTGGTGAAATGAACTGTAACCACACATATGTAATTTATTTTTTAAACATCCAAGCAATGATATAAATTACTAGGTAATGTTGATCACTGTGACAGAACTGAAACTAATTACCTGAAAAATGGTGAAATAAATATTAGGAATGTGAGTGGCAGACAAAATTCTTATGAACAGTTACTAAATCCAAATGTTTTCTTAATTCATCATGTTAATCATGCATTGGCTCTCAGAACTCAGAGTACGTAAGAAGCCCTGGGGAGCTGGTTAAAAATACAGATTTCCAAGTTCCCACTTAATGATTCTAGTTCCAGAGGCCTAATGCTGGATCTCGAAATCTGAATATTATCTGGGGCCTCAGAAGATAATACTGATACAGACAGTATAAAAGCCACTCAGGGTAAAGCTTGTTCTGGGTAAATCTGTAAAATAAAAGAATTCTATCACCAACATCCTTGTGGTTCCCATATCTCTCTTGCTCACCATTTCTAATACTTATTTGTAGCACTTGCAGACTAACCAGCCCCAGGCTGAGCAAGCTGTTGCAGCTGGGTGATCTCCCAGTCAAGAATGACCATCAGAATGTATCTCTAATGAAACAACCTGCACAAATTTCTCCAAAATTGTATTATTAATTAAAAGTTTTGATAAAAATGCATTACACTAAACTGTTAATAGCCGATACATTTATTGGTGTTTTACTGTCTTCCCAAAGCTATTTCTATGTTTACAGAAATGAATAATAATTATTACTTAACAATTTAGTAATGCAATTTCAGACTTTCTGGCAACCTGTCAGAGAGAACTGTGGATAGAGGAAGAAATGGTAAATGACAAGACTGTCATATTTTCTTGGTGTAGTGTGTGCACGTTTGTGTGTTTGTATGTGTTTTTACTTGAATATGTCCTATAGTAGTAGAAAGTTCAGCTTTGTACATTACTGGGCCTGGTCTTTGTAATGGTGAATGGCTTAGGATTGGTGTCTAATAAATATCCCTGAAGTAACTAAGAGGAAAACAAACTTTAAAAGTATGAGTTTATAGGTTATGTAAGAGGAGTAAGTGAAGGCAATTTTTTGAGGATATCAAAAATAAGGAACAAAGAATAGATTGAAGTCCCTGAGAGAACAGAACACTCTGAAGGCAACAGATAAAATTGCAAGCTGGAGAGGGAAATTTCAAGTCCATACAAAACTTTTTATCTCCATGAAATCAAAAGCAGTTATCTGCTAAAATTGAACAAGTATAGGTATAGTCTTAGAATTGAGGCACCTGGTCAAATAGACCATATTCAACTATATGCTCCATGGGTGGAGAAGTCCCCCTTTCTTTCTTTTTTATTGTTTTTTTTTTTTTTTGGTTGATTGTGTTTTGTTTATTTGTGGTTTCTTTCTGTATTTATACCCAAGACAATTTGAATTTCCTGGTGATTTTAATCTAGTTTTATGGTAAATATATAGTGGTGTCCATCTGTGAGTCTATAATTGTCTACATTGTGTTGTGCAACCTAAAATATGAATAGATGTTGTGGATTGTAGTATTGCTTTCTAATGCTAGATTTAGAGAACTGATGAAATAAAATGAAAAGGCAACAAAAGAAATAAATTTTGATGTCCATGTGAATAAAGCTTAAAGAGAAAGAAGTAAAAATGGGGGTAGTTTGATGAGAGAGAATAGGTAAGAATTACGTAATTTAAAATCTTGATTAAGTCAACTTGAAGTAAGAGTAAAGAAAATGATGGAGGTTGTAGGTGGAAATGTGGCATTTGTCATAGTTTCCCAGTAGAGTTATTCTGGTCATTTCCATGGAGATAGGGTGCTCAAGTCAAGTGTATTGTGAGGAAGTGATTTAGAGGTCAGGGGTATCCTACTGACTAGGAGAAGGAAAGAAAACTATAGCTGAACACTTGAGTCTAAATGGGAGTATGGATCTAATGACAATGGAAGAATGATGAAAGAGATGTGCAGTGGAGAAGAAAGAGAATACTGACCTCTAACTCTTTTTATTCACAACGAGGTTCCCATTCAAGTTCCAGGAAGAATTATATCCTTAAAGAAAATACAAATTTTAATTGAGAACAGAGATTAAGAAGACATTTTATGAAAAAAATTTTGGGTCAGAATGAAGTGACAATCCAGCCCTCTGCCTCATATCCTTGCTACCAACCAGAAATGCTGGTTTACATATTCAAAAACATCATGGGTACCTGGGCTGAAGAATGAAAGACTCTCAAAAACCTAAACAAAGAGGTAACGCAAAACCAAGATAGGCAAGCTGACTCTGTCAGATCTATTTCCACTTGCCTGGGAATAAAAATTATAGTATCTTGAGAATGCAGGAAATGGAGCAACAGGTTAGTCAGCACCATGAGAAAATGCTCATGTAAGATACTTTATGAGGACATTGGCCCGGTGCCTCCAAAAATATCAATGACATAAAAAGAGCATGAAGACTCTTCTAGATTAAAAGAGAGAGAGAGACAGAGAGAGAGAGAAATAATAACCAACTGCAGTGATCTTGTAAGAAAAACAAAATCTCCAAAACAATATTTATGGACAATCATAGAAATTTCAATATAAGCAAGATAGTAAAGAAATATCTGTAAATTTCTTTTAAAAAATCACAAAATATGGCAATTGTTGAACATAGGTAGTGCATATAAGACTTCATTATACTATTATTTCCATTTTCCTGTTTAATAACTTTCCAAATAAAAATTGTTGACACAAGCAAAAAATGGTATAAATAATGGTATTAACAATTAACTATTATTAGATAAATTTTTATTTATAAATAATTAGCTAGAAAAAATTTTCTTAAACTTCTGTCACAAGAGACTAATTCTGGTATACATCATCATTTTATTAACAAGGTAACTGCCTTTTAGCTGTTACAATAAATAATTGTTAATATTTAACATGTGGAAAATAGAAAGTACTGGAAGAATATGAAAATTATGGGACTTATTTTTTGCAACTATGTGTTTATACCAAGCAATATTTTTGTTTGATTTCAAAGCAAACCTTAAACTTTTTCACCTTTCTACTTGAATCTGGTTCCTGATACAACCACTCTGCTTTAATTGAAATCATCAATTATCATTTCCTTTGGAAAGTTCTAACTCTCCCAAATGTATTGACTCTTCACCCAAATTATTTAAGTGAGTCTTTTGCTTCAGGATTACTAAATTATTCAAATTTCATATTCAAAGTCTATTATTTTAACCAGAGTGTAGCCTATACAATCCATACGATATGATTTCAGGTAATAACCCTTTTCAGAGTATCTATTAAGAATTACTATATCCAATAGTCATTCAATAAATTATTTTCCTTCAAAAAGGTTTCATTTTATACCAATAGATAATTTTTTCCTTTACTTATTAAATGATTATTGTGATATTAATTTTATAACATTTTTTAAGTAACAGATCCAACTAAATTTTTACTGTCTTTATAATCATGTGGCTTATTTGAAAATGAAATGACAACTAATTCTTTCTGACAATCATAGTTTAAATTGAACTAATGAGTAGAGAAAATATGTGTAGGCCTAGATAATACTTAAGTATATGCTACTTCAGTTTTAGGCTATATTATGACGTGACAACAAATATTTTAAAAAATAAAAAATTATATTCAGTTTGCACTTGTTCTCATACACTAATATCATATATTTATTTGACTAGATCAGTGAAGATTGTAGACCAGTGCTATCCAGTAGAACTTTCTGAAATGTTGGAAATGTTCTATAGCTCTGCTTTTTCATTTAGTGTTGCTATAGATTGCTTGAAATATGGCTAGTCTGACTGAAAGCTGAGTTTTCCATCTTAATTAATGAAATCATAAATTTAAGTAGGCATATGTGGCTATTGGTTGCCACATTATACAGTGCAGCATAGACAGTAAAGGCTACAGACATAAGAAATGGTCTCTATTTATTGACACAATCTTTCTTTCTTGATAAACTTACATATTTATGATACTATAAAATGTATAACTTATAAGAATGACATATGTCTTAGAGTAATAATAACACTAGTAATAATAGCAAACCATTTTATTCACTTACTTCATACTATGCACTAGTATACCAACTCCTTTAACCCTCACAGCAACTCTTTAAGACTGGCACTATAATTTTCCTTATTTTAAAGGTATATTGATACACTTTGCACCTGGGTTTTGTCACACAGCTAGTGAATAGCAGAAACATGATTTGAACTAAGACAACACAGCTCCAGAATTTTTAAGTTGTCTTGAGGTAGAAATATTTCTTCTCGATCTGGCTATATTCACTTATAAAATATGGAGAAAGAGATGTACAATTATTTGATGTATCTTGTGCCTGGTTCTTTGAGATTAATTTAAATCAATTTGAAAAGCTTTATTTTTAAAATGACAATCAAGAGTATTCTGTATCTCCTCTTTCCTGAGGTCTCATGGGAATGGCAGAAATATATAGATATGCACATACACATACACACCCATACACATAAGAGTATGTATGTTTTGATACATATATAACAAAACCATAATAGTATTGAAAAAAGGGAAGCCTGACAATAGCAAATCCAAAACTTAAATAAAGATTTGGATTAGTGGAGTGTAATAACAGAAGCAACCACAGTCTGATATAATTTCTTTTCAGTAAACCCTAGAAGATGTTTCAAGGTCATAGTCAACATGTTCAAGAGAAATTGCATATTACTGAACAAATAGGAAGATAAATAATTGAAGAACTGAGCATAGAAAAATTGAGTCCATCAGACCATTTCCTCTTTCAACTGCCCACTCCAGGATACAGATAATTGCTTTCTAGGGAGTAAGAAATCTGACTTTGAAGAGTTCCTATTTGGGCAAAAGGCAGAAATGAATAGAATGAAGGAATAAAAGAAAAGATAGCTCTACCCAAGAGTAGAAAATTAAATATCTCTGTGGTCAAAGTAAATAATGCTTTGGTCACACAGCTAGTGAATAGTAGAAACATGATTTGAACTAAGACAACAAGCAAAAGTAAAAGCAAATTAAAGAATGTGTTTACTTTGGCAGCAGTGTACGTGTGTGTTTGCCAGGGTTTGCGGGAGGGAGATCTACCTATAGGCATCCTATCCAAATGCCTGAAAGGGAATCCAACCAGTTAACATTCTCTGTTCACTTATGCAAATCTGAAGTAGGCCATTTAAGTAAAGGATTAGATCTAACTCAAGAGAAATCAATACTAATTTTTATAGATGTAACAGTACCAACTACCTCAATTAATCAATATAGTTACCTGATTATTTAAAAAAAAGAAAGAAAAACTGGAAAGGACTAATATAAACAATCAGAACTCCCAGAGATAAGAAAGATAAATGAACTTTAATTCATTCAATACTCATGTCAGAGATATTTAAGTGGATAATGCATCCACAAAATCAGTGCAGATTACTAAGAAAAATAGCAATCAGAAAACAAAACAATGTAAGAAATTAATATAATAACTGAAATAAAATAATTAAATGGTTACATATAAGAAACTGTTGGCAATACAAGAATATCAAAGATTTCTAACAGAACACAGAGCATAAATGTAAAAATATAAGAGAAAAGCTAATATTTATGAAGTTCAACATTGAGTCATAAAGTCCAACACTGATTCACTGAGTCCAACATCTGCCTAAGGGTAGTTCCAGCAAACTGAGGGAGGATTTAAGAGAAGTTCTCAAAGCTGGAAAAAAGATTGAATTGAAAGAGCACATATACACCAAGCAGCACAAATGACCAGAAAGCCACTCTCAAATTAAATGTTATAAAATTTCAATTCCAATCATTAAGAGAAGACTGAACATTTTTAATGAGAAAAACAAAATTTCCTACAAGAGAACAAAATTCAGATTAACATTGGACTTCTATTTGGCAGAACTGAATGCAAGTTCTGAAAGAAAATTATACTGAAATAAGATTTTTTTTGCCTGAGAAATCTTTCTATAACGTTTGAAAGCAAAATAAAAGTTAAAATACATTTGGATTTGTATAACATCTAAATTACTCAGAAGACATTTTTTTTTTCATGGAAAAGGAGCCCAAGATTAAGAACCTAGAATCAAAACAATTAAGTATAAATTTGAGTTGGTATTGACAGCGAAATCCTGATACTGGAAAGATCCTTCTTAACTAAAAATATTTACATACTTACAATTTTCACTTTATTTACTGATTCTCAATTTTATCATCAACTGCCGTGGTTTGAATGTATGTGTCCCTCCCAAATTCATATGCAGGAACTTAAACCCCAATGTAACAGCATTAAGAGATGGGGCCTTTAGGACATGATTAGATCATGAGAGCAGAGCCTTCATAAATAGGATTAGTGCCCTGAAAAAGGGGGCTTGAGAGAACTAGCGAGGCCCTTTTGCCCTTCCATCTCTTTCACCATGTGAGGACACAGCAACAAGTCACCACCTTAGAAGCAAGGACCAGGCCCCATCAGACATCAAACCTGCTAGGGCTTTGCGCTTAGACTTCCCAACCTCTAGAACTGTGAGAAATTTTTGCTGTTTATAAGTAATCCAGTCTAAGATGTCTTATCACAGCAGCACGAATGGGCTACAACACCAACTAAAAACAAAATACAGGCTAAATAATGTTTGCTAGAAAATACCAAAGTACTACATTGAATCATGGCCTAAAATCTGTTTTAAAATATTACACATAACTAGAATATGTAAAAGTGATACAACTAAAATACTGTCGAAGAGACAGTGGGAAGGATATAAAAGAAAGAGTAAGTCAATCAAAGAACCCTTTAAGGGAAAAAAAGAAACTACTTACATTAACAGTAAAGAAATTTAGAAATAAATATATTTAGTATTATAATAATGTCTAGCAACATAAATACAAACAGAAATTAACAGTAGCTATTTTAGGGAGTGGACCTCAGTGTAAAGAGGGCAGAGTTTATTTTTAATTTTGTTACTTTCTTTGTTGTTTGGATATTTTAATATGTTCATATGTCACTTTTATAATTATAATATCAACTATTTATTGACTTGTTCTAAATAATATCATACAACTTCCATTTTAAAATGGCTTTAGCATGCTGTATTTTCCTATCCACATAATTAAATTTTAGTATAACTTAGTATCATATCAGAACATGTGTTTAGTACCTATGAAAGTCTTGTTCATTGCTCAAGATATTCTCAATAGGTGGGCATGAATATTTAATTAAGCTAAAATTCATTTTAAAATTAGCTATTATTTATTTTTTGATCTAGATGTATTAAAATATCCTCTGCAGCAGAAGTTGTCAAACTTTTTTTATTAAGGTTCAGCTAGTAAGTATTTCAGTCTTTGTGGGTCCTAAGTAAGATCTTTGCTGCAAGTATTCAAGTCTGCTGTTGTAGCATGAACATAGCCATGTACAACATGTAAAGAATGATGGTGAGTAAGTTCCAATAAACTTTTATTCACAAAAACAAGTAGTAATATAGATTTGGCTCACAGGTCTTACTTCGCCAACACCTGTTCATGTCTACTTTTCTTGGTGTCTACGTCCTTGTTACTCACTTGCACAATTTTGCCCCATTATAATATATGTCACTGTTAAATTCCTGAGTATGTTTTAACAAAATTCTATCATAGGTCTAAATCATTTACAGATGTTTCTGCTGTTTGCTGGACATTTAACTGCTTTCCTAGTTTTTTTTTCTCTCTCTCTCTCATCAGTTAATTTAATAGATTTATAGCTGGTTTAATAATCTAGATTATTTACACTGAATAGAAACAGGAAGTTCTCCCACATTGAACCCTGAGAAAATGCAATCCACACTTTCATTTTCTCTGTCTGAAAAATAAACTTATATTCAATTCTAATTTCCTGCTGCTTGTAAGTAAAGAATGAAGCTAAACACATTGTGAAGTACTATGGGGAAAAAGCTTATTATACTAAGATAAAAATGATGTGCATTGCAATTCAATTGGTTCTCTGACAGAATGACCTTAATTTCTATTCAGAACACTGTGGTACACTTTCAGATGTAGATGAGATATAATGGGCCTATAGTGAATATTGCCTGTCAGCCTGATAAAACTGACAAGATGAAGAGATAAGGAAGTTCCACATTCACTTATTTTCATGTTTGGCCCTAAGGGTTTTTTGGTATTAGAGCATTGCTGCAGTTTATTCTCTTAAAGCCAGGTTAAGATATTTGTGGAAAGGCTGGGATATGCTCAGAAGGAGACAGCTGACAACAACGTGAGACACGCACAATGGAGCAGAATTCTCTAAACAGTAATTTATGCTGATGCCAGAATTCTTTTTAACACACAAGCCATTTGAAATCCATTGATGTTACTTTCTCAGCTTTGAAGAAACCATTACTGAAAAGTATAGTAAATATTAGGCTCTTTCTCTAGTTCTTAGAACTTACAAGGATGTGTACTATTGGGGCTCAGAAACTGATACCCCCATAGTCAAGGTCTCAGAAGCAGCCTCCTAACAATGTTTCTCTCTGCCTCTTCCTGCCATCCTGTCTCTCACTCCTCATCCTCCCCCAAAGCAAGTCAAAGGAGCTAGAATCCATCTTCGCCACAGTGGGTCATAGAAACCAGCGCCCCTTTCCCCGGCATCCAGCCATAAAACCTAAAAATTGTATTCTAACTTTCCCCACCTTTCTGTGCAAGAAGTGTCCATAAAGAAATTCTCTCTGATCTACCTGGTTTGATTGTAAGTCATCATAAGACTCACTTCAGAAGGGGTCTTGCCCCACACCCATGAGGAAGTAATGCTACACACCCAAACTAAGGAAAATCTGAACAGGCCTTGCTGAGTTTCCCCACTTGGTCTATCAGCATTAGACCATACCCTCTTTGTCCTATCACAGTTCTACACACTTATCCATTCTTCATTGAACCTAAGCATAAAAATGGACAGCTTTCCCTCTATGTTTGGGTCTTTGTCTTGAAGGCTCCTGTGTCCAGTAAAACTAGAAAAAAATACATTTGTTATGCTTTCCCTTGTTAACCTGTCTTTTGTTATATGGGTGTTGGCCATGACCCTTATGATTAGTAAAAAACGGATCACTCCCTTACTCTCCCTACAATACATAGAATTTTATGCTGTAATTTTGTGTAGCCTTGCCTATTAAAGCTTAGAAAAAGGGTTTGTCTTCAGGTGCTGGAACTTTCAGTCTTCACAGAAAATAAGCTGAGATCACTGTAAGATGAATGAGAGTGGGAATGACTGCAGGTCTTATTTCACGTTATGCTTATCCCCGTATCTCCACCTAAGCCTGGGCTCCATACTGGAATGTCACTCCTCTAGTCACCGAATCCTAAAATGTTTTTTCTTCCTTAGTTGCATGCTTTTCTCCCAGTTCTGAAAGCTCCCTACCTTGCATATACTACTATCATGTAAAACATGGTTTTCTGTCTTGCAGCTGTTCAAGACTTATCTCTCTCACTTTTGACTAAGTATAGATAAAGGCTGGCAGATCCTAAAATTATATTCAGTATTTATGTGTGTACTTTCCACCAAGTATTCCTTCCATTTTCAGCACAACAGCTCTTGTCTTCTCTTCTTTTACTAGGAGGGTTAAAAAAATATTTTGGAAATTTTTTTGGTACAACAACTCAGAGTTTGGCTGACTCCAATAAAATCCTTTAAACTGGGGAATGAATGACTTCTCAGGAAGCAAGCTCAGACTATTATTCTTTAATCTTCTCTAACACTAAAACATGTATCTTTAACTGGAGAAGAAAAAAGTTGCTTATAGCCAACAGCCACAGGCAAGCTCACCTCTGAAACAAGCACTGCACTATCTCATACCCCCCAAATCATTACTTTCTACACACATTGAGGCCACACATCATGGTCAAATGGCCAAATAACTCCACCAATCCTTGGCCACTCTGAAAGAAAATCAGGTATTATAGCCCATTTTTCAGATGCTAAACTAACTCTTGAGGAACACGGTTGGAATTTGTTGAACTGCCATTTAATACCTGCTAAACACTGACTGAGAATTGTTGGGGAAATCTAGTGTAACAGTTTAATAGAAAATCTCCTGTAAACCCAGAAAACCTCTTCATAATGGAAGAGAAAGAAAACAGTTTTATTATTGAATAAACATGAAGTCAGAATGTAATGCATATATTGACCTAAAAGGAAGAAGCTGAGGCAAAATTAATGTACATGGAGAGTTTATTTGGACCATGCTTGAGGACTGCAACCCAGGAGCATAGACTAATTCAAGTTGCCCTAAACATACACTCCAGTGACCAGCGGTTAAAAGTGGATTTATAAAGGAAAAGAGAAGGCAGTTCCTGAGTTGTTTATGAAGAATTTGCATTAAAATAACATAAGCTTTTGATTGGCTTACATTGTTATTTGTATGACAAATTCCAGGAACATGAAGATAATGGGTGAGGTAGCTAGTCAGAAATAAAATGACTTGAAACAATTGCCTCCAAGCACAGGTCGGAGGGGCATGACTGATGTCCTATGCTCATGTCTCTCTGGGCCTGCATACCTCACATAGCTCAGATTGCTCTGAAGTATTTTTCTTTTCTTACACATCCTAGGCAACTTACTGCCTGCTACTAAAGAGAAATCTCACTGTTTTAAGCAAGCAGGTAAAAAGCATTGCTTACATGTCATCAAGATAAACAACAATTGGACCTCAAGTAAGGGTCTTGACAGCACTATTTGTTACAAATAGTTCATCTTATACTCACCTACAATTGGTGTGGCCACTTATCTTTGCAAATTTCCTTTATCCAAAAGATCCATAAAACTTCTCAGATTTCTATGAAGGTAGGTATTGTCAGCTCTTGAACAATGCAGAGGTTGTGGGGCACTGAATCCCTACACAGTCAAATATCTGTATATAACTTTTGACTCCCCCCATAATTTAACTACTGATAGCCTATTATTAACCAGAAGCCTTACTGATGATGTACACAGTCAATTAACACATATTTTGCATGTTATATGTATTATATACCATATTCTCACAGTAAAATAAGCTAGAGAAAAGAAAATGTTAAGAAAATCACAAGGAAGAGCAAATATATTTACTATTCATAAAATAGAAGTAGTTCATTATAAAGGTATTCATCTCATCAACTTCATGCTGAGTATGCTGAGGAAGAGAAGGAAGAGGAGGGTTGGTCTTGTTATCTCAGGGGTGGCAGAAGTAGAAGAAAATCCCCATATCAGTAAACCCATATTGGAAGTTTGTTGTTCAAGAGTCAACTTTAGTTACAATTTGGAGCAGATGCCTAAGTTAAACTCCCATGAGAATGGAGAGTGAATGATACTATCTTCCTTGATGTTTACATTTCAAGTAAACGACTCCAAGCACCTTAAAAAAATAGTCTTGGATTGTAAGACTTTAGCTTTTTAAAAGATTCATATACTTCTCAAAGGGATAGAGGAAGAATTCACTATTACTGTACAAGTTTTCTCAAGTAAATGCTATAAGAAAAGGGAGTTCCTGGTGTCTCTTTCCCTTTCTGCACTAGGAAAAAAATCCCATTTTGTTTTGCTTTTCCTTTCCTTTTTTTTTAGATTTCTATTTACCCTTACAGAGTCTTATCTTAAGAAGATGATGTAGCACCATGAATGTCTAGCCTCTTATATCTCCCCTAGGCCCTGTTCACTAGAGTTTCTAGATTTGGGACTACTTTCTTCACATTTTTTAATAAATTAATATACATTGAGAATTCAGGCAGGCCCTCAAAATGGAAATTATGCTCCACGTTATTTATTAATAACTATATATGTGTTCTCCTTAAATTTTCCTAAAATCTTGAAAATTTAGTAAGAGCGTTTGATCGCTGAACCTTTTCCTTCCATAATTTCCTAGTAAATAAAATTTCAACAAGCTACTAATGTGCCATTTTGAATATTTATATAAATCTCAGTTAACCACTAGTTTAAGGACAGTAGTGTGCCTACATAGAAATGATATTTTTCTGTTATTCATTTATATTTAGCCCTTTTAGTTGAACTTTATAAATGTTCACAGCAACTGCTCTAAAAAGTAAGCTCTGTGAAGAGCTGACTGTAGCCTTTGCCTTTGACCAAGATTGGGTGAATAAATACACACATGGATGAATTAATGACCCTTTTTTACTTCAAGTCTATTTATCCTTATAGTGTTTCTTCTGTGTCATTTTACCATAACTCAAAGTGCTTTCTTCTAGCATTTAGTAAAAACCTCTTTCTCAAGTACCTAGTAATAAGCAGGCTCCACTAGTGATTCTTGTTGGAAATGTAATAAAAGACTAATGATATGGCTGTGAAAAATAAATGTACAAGGCTGATATTAATCTTTAAAAATCAATTATTAGATGCAGTAATAAAAGTGACCTCTACGTGTTTTCTTAAAAATACACACACATATGCTATATGATTTCTAAAATCACAAGCTAACCTGCAAATACATGTGTGCACATGAACACACAAAGTTTTAAAACAAATAAATTTTGTCTGTAATGTTAAAAGTTAGAGAACAGCTAACAAATTCCATTAGACACTAAACAACAGAAAAACAAGAATTGCAATGTGAATACCTGAATTCAATTGAAAAATTCTATGAAGCAATTAGTTTACAGTAAAGTTATAACTCCTGGAAACCATTAGGCTTTCAAAATAATGACTCAATTGATCTATCAATCCATCAATGCATATGTACTCTCCTATAGACATATATAAAGAGCAAACAAAAAAAACAGAAAAGTATACTTGTATAGTCATATTGATGATAATAACATACATTTTTAGTACTTAACAGATGTATTAGTCTGTTTTCACACTGCTGGTAAAGACATACCCAAGACTGGGTAATTTATAAAGAAAAATAGGTTTAATGGACTCACAGTTCCACTTGGCTGGGGAGGCCTCACAATCATGGTAGAAGGCAAAAAGGAGCAAGTCACATCCCACGTGGTGGCAGTGAAGAGAGAACTTGTACAGAGGAACTCCTTTTTATAAAACCATCAGATCTCACGAGATTCATTCACTATCACAAGAACAGCACGGGAAAGACCTGTCCCCGTAATTCAACCACCTCCCACCAGGTCCCTCAGACAGCACATGAGAATTGTGGGAGCTACAATTCAAGATGAGATTTGGATGGGGACACAGCCCAACCATATAATTCTGCCCTGGCCCCTCCCAAATCTCATGTCCTCACATTTCAAAGCCAATCATGCCTTCCCAACAGTCCCCAAAAATCTTAATGCATTTCAGCATTAACTCAAAAGTCCAAGTCCAAAGTCTCATCTGAGACAAGGCAAGTCCCTTCTGCCACTGAGCCTGTAAAATCAAAAGCAAGTTAGTGCTTCCTAGATACAATGGGGGTACAGGTATTGGGTGAATAAAGCCATTCCAAATGGGAGAAATTGGCCAAAATGAAGAGACTACCGGCCCCATGCAAGTTCGAAATCCAGAGGGGCAGTCAAATCTTAAAGTTCCAGAATGATCGCCTTTGACTTCATGTCTCATATCCAGGTCATACTGATGCAAGAGATGGGTTCCCATGGTCTTGGGCCACTCCACCCATGTGGCTTTGAAGGGTAAAGCCTCCCTCCTGGCTGCTTTCACAGGCTGGCATTGAGTGTCTGCAGCTTTCCCAGGCACATGGTGCAAGCTGTCAGTGAATCTACCATTCTGAGGTCTGAAGGATGGTGACCTTCTTCTCACAGCTCCACTAGGCAATGCCCCAGTCTGGGCTCTGTGTGGAGGCTTCAACCAGAGGTTCTCCATGAGGACCCCACCCCTGCAACAAACTTCTACTTGGACATCCATGCATTTCCATGCATCTTGTGAAATCTAGGCGGAGGTTCCCAAACCTCAGTTCTTGACTTCTGTTCACCTGCGGGCTCAACACCACTTGGAAGCTGCCAAGGCTTGGGACTTGCACCTCCTGAAGCCAAGGCATGACCTATACCTTGGCCTATTTTAGCAATGACTAGAGCTGCCAGGCTGGGATGCAGGGCATCAAGTCCCTAGGCTGCACATAGCAGGGGGGTCCTGGGCCTGGCCCATGTAACCACTTTTTCCTCCTAGGCTTCCAGGCCTGTGATGGGAGGGGCTGTCACAAAGATCTGTGACATGCCCTGAAGTCATTTTCCCCATTGTCTTGGTGATTAACATTTGGCTCCTTGTTACTTATGCAAATTTCTGCAGCCAGCTTGAATTTCTCTTCAGAAAATGGGTTTTTCTTTTCAATTGCATGGTCAGGTTACATATTTTCTGAACTTTTATGCTCTGTTTCCCTTTTAAAATTGAATGCTTTTAACAGCACACAAGTTATCTCTTGAATGCTTTGCTGCTTAGAAATTTATTCCACCATATAACCTAAATCATCCCCTTTGAGTTCAAAGTTCCACAGATCTCTAGGGCAGGTGCAAAATGCCACCAGTGTCTTTGCTAACACATAGCAAAAATCACCTTTACTCCAGTTCCCAATAAGTTCCTCATTTCCATCTGAGACCACCTCAGTCTGGATTTCATTGTCCATATCATTATCAGCATTTTGGTCAAAGCCACTCAACAAGTCTCTAGGAAGTTCCAACCTTTCCCACATTTTCCTGTCTCCCTCTGAGCCCTCCAAAACTGTTCCAACCTCTGCCTGTTACCCAGTTCCAAAGTCGCTTCCACATTTTCAGGTATCTTTACAGTAGCACCCCACTCTACCAGTACCAATTTACTGTATTAGTCCATTTTCACACTGCTGATAAAGACATACCCGAGACTGGGTAATTTATAAAGAAAAAGAGGTTTAATGGACTCACAGTTCCACGTGGCTGGGGCAGCCTCACAATCATGGCAGAAGGCAAGGAGGAGTAAGTCACATACTACATGGCAGCAGGGAAGAGAGTGTGTGCAGGGGAACTCTTCTTTATAAAACCATCAGATAATGTGAGACCCATTCACTATCACAGGAACAGCATGAGAAAGATTTGCCCCATCATTCAACTACCTCCCACAGAGTCCCTCCTACTACATGTGGGAATTGTGGGAGCTACAATTCAAGATGAGAATTAGGTGGAAACACAGCCAAACCATATCAACAGATTAAGTGTAAAAAAATACTGAGAATTTATGTCATATGAGCAAAACAATATATTTTGTATTAAGTAAAAATATATCAAACTCTGCCTCTAAGAAACAGTTAGCTTTCTTGTGTAGGTGGAATATTTACATAAAATTGACTAATTCTAAAAATATAAAGTAATGCAAGCAACAAAATTAATCACAAAACTATAAACAAAAGATTGTTTAGGGAAAAATAATCCATCTAATGGGATCAATGAGTAAATCTAAACTTTACAGAAATTTTTAAAATAAAAAATAATGAGAACAAACCATCAAGTTTCATAGAATTTTTCCAACATAACATTCTCAAAGAAAAACATATAATATTTAATTTTTTATTAAATAAAAAACTATGACAATACATTAACTAAGTTTTAAATTAAAAGTATAAATCCAATTGTAAATTGCAGTTTTCAGGGATATAATATGAAAAAAACCTGACAAAGCTTACAGGATTTTCCCCAAAACTATACTCAGAGAAAAATATTTTTCAATAGTGTTTATTAATAAACAACAATAATCATAACTAAAATTAATTTGGTTTTCAAATTTATAATTAAACAAATGTAATGAAAGTCAAATACAGCAATGTTAAATGATATAGATAGATACAGTTAGGGAGTAATTCATTAATCTTATCTCCATTGTGTCACTTTTTTCTTTTATTTATTATTATTCATATTATTTTTTACTATTTTAGAGATAGGCTTGCTCTGTCACCCAAGCTATACTCCAGTGACACTATCAAAGCTCACTGTAGCCTCCAACTCCTTGCCTCAAGCAATCCTCCTATCCTGGCCTCCCAAAGCATTGGAATTACAAGCATGAGCCACTGTACTCAGCCACTGTCTGTCCTTTTAAACACCTACATCCAAGTACCAATTTTCTGCTTGACTCTATGTTTTTAGAGTCCTGTGAGAGAAGTTCATTTTACACTCTCATAAGCAAAATAAGAGAATGCATTGACTTATGCTGTGGCTTGAGTGTATGTGTCCCTCCAAAATTCATATGCGAGAACTTAAACCCCAAGGTGATGGTATTAAGAGGTAGAGATTTTGAGAGGTTATTAGAGGATGAGGGCTCTGCTTTTATGAATGGGATTAATGCTCTTATAAAAGTGGCTTCAGAGAGCTGCCTGATTCTTTCATCTCTTCTGCCATGTGGGGATACACCATTCCTCCCTTTTGCCCTTCCATTATGTGAGGACACAGAAGGGAGGCACCATTTTGGAAGGAGAGAGCAGCCCTCACGAAACACCAAATCTGTTGGTTCCTTAATCTTAAATTACCAAGCTTCTACTACTATGAGAAATACATTTTTACTGTTTATATATTACCCAGTCTGTGGTATTGTGTTACAGCATCCCTAGCAAACCTAGACAGCTTATATAACCTAGAAGCCTTATCTAGATGCTCAATAATTTGTTTCTCTTGATTTTCTCTCTTTTTCATCTCTGTCTCCCATTCTTCACCCTCCACTTTCTTCCCTCCATTTCTTCCTCTATTCATTTTTATCTTTTTATACTTTATATTATCTTTTCCTACATTCCTGGAAAATGTCTACAAGGTCTTAAATCTCTACTTAGTAGTCCAGAGCCAGATAAATGGTCATATATTCACCCTATATTAAGATATGGACCAGACATTTTGACAGTGTGATTTGCTGGCTTTTTTTTTTGGAGGTGGGGTGCTTCTGGCAAGAAAGACATAATTTCAGTCCATGCTTACTCATTTGAAACCAGAATGAGACATTTAAGTTTTTTAAATAGGTACTTTTTTTCCATGAATCCATGGACTGTTATCTAAAAACAGTTATTAAATTGCAAAATAAGACAAAGTGAGACGGTTCATGCTAGTAATCCCAGCACTTTGGAAGACCAAGGCAGGAGGAGTGCTTGAATCTGGGAGTTTAAGAACAGCTTGGGCAATACAGGAACATGTTGTCTCCAAAAAAAAAAAAAAAGAAAAGAAAAGAAAAGAAAGAAAAAGAAACATAAAACAATGAAAATTTCTACCATGTGCTAAAAATAAAGCTCAATATCACAGAGAGAAATACAAATGGTAGAGATAAGTAGTAGACATGTACTGTCTAACTTTTGCTACAATATGCGATATACACTTAGAACTTTAATAGCATAAAATCACAATAATTTGTCCCTTGGTACTGTATATTGGCAATGTGGGATGCGCATAGCTGTGGATTCTTCTGCTCATCTCAGCTGGCTGGCTGGCTGAAGATGATCAGTCTGGATGGCTTCATTCACATGTATGATGTTTGGTTAGAGTGACAGAGGCAAATAGGTCACATGTCCAGTACCTAACAAAGTCAGGCTTCTTCCCTTAGTGTCTGAGTTCTAAAAGTAGCAAGAGAAGCCAATGTCTAGTGCACTAGCGCTTTTCATGCCCCTTCTTATGTCACATTTGCTAAGGTCCCATTAGTCAAAGCAAGTTACATGGTCAAAGTTTGATTTAAGGGATTGAGAGGTAAAACTCACCTTTTGATGTGATTACCAACAGTCACATTGCTAAGGGGTATTGATGCATAAATATCTTGACTTTTTTGTAGGGAGAGGTAGTTTGCAATCTCAGAGAAGCTTGAACCTTAAGGTAACACTCAAATACCTCCTGCTGTTCTCACCATTCTCTTTCCACTAGATTGTAAATAAAAATTGCTGAGTGAAAAAGCAAGTTGCAGTAGAATGTGTGTATTAAATATGTATTGTACATATATATTTAAAAGCACATACAACACAACTTTAATGCTTACGGACATATATAGCTCTAAATAAAGGTAGAAATGAAGGATGGGCAGATTAAGCAGTTAATTTGTGTTAATGTGTATTTATGGTGAGAAGAAAAGATATTCAAATAGTAGACTAAAATATAGAAAAAAATGGGGTCTCAACTAAGGAGGATGATAGGGTGAATCAATGTCAATCTGATGAGTACCATAAATGAATTAAAAATTAGCAATACAGGGCAAGGAAATTTGTTTTGACAAAAAAAGTATATACACCTGTCATTTAGTAAAGGTCCTGGTTTTTTTTGTGTGTGTGTCAATCTATGAAGTGACTGTAAATATGACTTTGACAAGAATGTGTAAGTTAGATAGATAGATAGATATTCACTTCTCCATTCCTGGCTTTAGATCATTTTTCTGTTGCTGCTTCACAAGGCAAATCTTCCAGTTATCCTTGATTTTGTCTGCTCCATTGAGACATGAACATTTTTGTCAAGATCTTGACTTTTGATTTAATACTTACAATATTATACTCATTGAGCTAAGATATGTTTAAATTTATTTTTATATATTTATATATGGATATATATAGATTTTTTACAATATTTCCAGCCCATATCAAACAGAAATATAGCCAAATTGAGGTGTTGATATCTCCTTTTGTCTACAGAGTATGCCAGCTGGTTTGCTGAAGGCTCAGCTGGTAATTGTGCATAAGAGACCGCTGCTCTTAAGACATCACGATGCAAAAGTTTCACATATTCAGGTAAGTAATCTCCATTAACACAATAAAAGTTAAATGGACACATTGATATGCAAAAGTGAAACAATTCAAATAAATATAATAGAATGGCTTAGGTTTAGGCTTAAGCTTAATGCAACATCTCTAAATGAACAAATGGAACAGTTTTCAAAACAGAAATTTTCCATGAGGGAATGGATCATATACTGCAGTGCAGAGGATTTGATTAGATACTCAACAGCAATGTTTTTTATTAATAATATTTAGATTGATGCTGAGCAGGAGTAATTAAAAAACACGATGACTTTGAAGCTCCTTGTAGATTAAGGTTTAACTAATAATATTGAGTTAAACGTACCACATAATTATCCTTTGTGCCACAAATGACTGATAAATAAATGAATGAATACTGGTCCCATTTCCATGCACTTCTCCTGTCCCTTTCTCTCTGTTATTTATTATGCCTATGGTCAGGTACACCCAGGATCACTTCCTCTCTTCTCCTGGCCTTAGATGCTATTTCTGCTGCTGCCTTATAAGGCAACTCTTCCAGTTATCCTTAACTTTGCATATCTTCTCAGCGCAAAAATAAAAATATTTGTCAAAATCCTATGTTTTGGTTCTATAATTATAATATTATTCAACTAAAGGTATTTAATAGAGTTAAAGTAGGGGCCTACTAGTTTCTTACAGCCACGTACATGTACTTGGATGATTTTTCTTTTTTTCTTTTTTTTTTTTTACAAGTTAAATGATTTTTAATTCAATATTGATTCCCATTAATGTATTTGTCTAGCTGCAGAGTGCTTTTGTGGTCAAGATGGGGGAAGGTCCTTATTCTTAGACCAAATACTTCTTTTTTTTTTGTTTGTTTTTAGCTAAAGCACTTTTATTTATTTATTTATTTATTTAATATATTTTTTTATTATACTTTAAGTTTTAGGGTACATCTGCACATTGTGCAGGTTAGTTACATATGTATACATGTGCCATGCTGGTGCGCTGCACCCACTAACTCGTCATCTAGCATTAGGTATATCACCTGATGCTATCCCTAGCCCCTCCCCCCACCCCACAACAGTCACCAGAGTGTAATATTCCCCTTCCTGTGTCCATGTATTCTCATTGTTCAATTCCCACCTATGAGTGAGAATATGCAGTGTTTGTTTTTTTGTTCTTGCGATACTTTACTGAGAATGATGATTTCCAATTTCATCCATGTCCCTACAAAGGACATGAACTCATCATTTTTTGTGGCTGCATAGTATTCCATGGTGTATATGTGCCCCATTTTCTTAATCCAGTCTATCATTGTTGGACATTTGGGTTGGGTCCAAATCTTTGCTATTGTGAATAATGCCGCAATAAACATACGTGTGCATGTGTCTTTATAGCAGCATGATTTATAGTCATTTGGGTATATACCCAGTAATGGGATGGCTGGGTCAAATGGTATTTCCAGATCTAGAACCCTGAGGAATCGCCACACTGACTTCCACAATGGTTGAACTAGTTTACAGTCCCACCAAGAGTGTAAAAGTGTTTCTATTTCTCCACATCCTCTCCAGCACCTGTTTTTTCCTGACTTTTTAAAGATTGCCATTCTAACTGGTGTGAGATGGTATCTCATTGTGGTTTTGATTTGCATTTCTCTGATGGCAAGTGATGATGAGCATTTTTTCATGTGTTTTTTGGCTGCATAAATGTCTTCTTTTGAGAAGTGTCTGTTCAAGTCCTTTGCCCACTTTTTGATGGGGTTGTTTGTTTTTTTCTTGTAAGTTTGTTTGAGTTCATTGTAGATTCTGGATATTAGCCCTTTGTCAGATGAGTAGGTTGTGAAAATTTTCTCCCATTTTGTAGGTTGCCTGTTCACTCTGATGGTAGTTTCTTTTGCTATGCAGAAGCTCTTTAGTTTAATTAGATCCCATTTGTCAATTTTGGCTTTTGTTGCCATTGCTGTTGGTGTTTTAGACATGAAGTCCTTGCCCATGCCTATGTCCTGAATGGTAATGCCTAGGTTTTCTTCTAGGGTTTTTATGGTTTTAGGTCTAACGTTTAAGTCTTTAATCCATTTGAATTGATTTTTGTATAAGGTGTAAGGAAGGGATCCAGTTTCAGCTTTCTACATATGGCTAGCCAGTTTTCCCAGCACTATTTATTAAATAGGGAATCCTTTCCCCATTGCTTATTTTTCTCAGGTTTATCAAAGATCAGATAGTTGTAGATATACGGCGTTATTTCTGAGGTCTCTGTTCTGTTCCGTTGATCTATATCTCTGTTTTGGTACCAGTACCATGCTGTTTTGGTTACTGTAGCCTTGTAGTATAGTTTGAAGTCAGGTAGTGTGATGCCTCCAGCTTTGTTCTTTTGGCTTAGGATTGACTTGGCGATGCGGGCTCTTTTTTGGTTCCATATGAACTTTAAAGTAGGTTTTTCCAATTCTGTGAAGAAAGTCATTGGTAGCTTGATGGGGATGGCATTGAATCTGTAAATTACCTTGGGCAGTATGGCCATTTTCACGATATTGATTCTTCCTACCCATGAGCATGGAATGTTCTTCCATTTGTTTGTATCCTCTTTTATTTCCTTGAGCAGTGGTTTGTAGTTCTCCTTGAAGAGGTCCTTCACATCCCTTGTAAGTTGGATTCCTAGGTATTTTCTCTTTGAAGCAATTGTGAATGGGAGTTCACTCATGATTTGTCTCTCTGTTTGTCTGTTGTTGGTGTATAAGAATGCTTGTGATTTTTGCACATTGATTTTGTATCCTGAGACTTTGCTGAAGTTGCTTATCAGCTTAAGGAGATTTTGGGCTGAGACAATGGGGTTTTCTAGATATACAATCATGTCATCTGCAAACAGGGACAATTTGACTTCCTCTTTTCCTAATTGAATACCCTTTATTTCCTTCTCCTGCCTAATTGCCCTGGCCAGAACTTCCAACACTATGTTGAATAGGAGTGGTGAGAGAGGGCATCCCTGTCTTGTGCCAGTTTCCAAAGGGAATGCTTCCAGTTTTTGCCCATTCAGTATGATATTGGCTGTGGGTTTGTCATAGATAGCTCTTATTATTTTGAAATACATCCCATCAATACCTAATTTATTGAGAGTTTTTAGCATGAAGGGTTGTTGAATTTTGTCAAAGGCTTTTTCTGCATCTATTGAGATAATCATGTGGTTTTTGTCTTTGGCTCTGTTTATATGCTGGATTACATTTATTGATTTGCATATATTCAACCAGCCTTGCATCCCAGGGATGAAGCCCACTTGATCATGGTGGATAAGCTTTTTGATGTGCTGCTGGATTCGGTTTGCCAGTATTTTATTGAGGATTTTTGCATCAATGTTCATCAAGGATATTGGTCTAAAATTCTCTTTTTTTTGTTGTGTCTCTGCCTGGCTTTGGTATCAGAATGATGCTGGCCTCATAAAATGAGTTAGGGAGGATTCCCTCTTTTTCTATTGATTGGAATAGTTTCAGAAGGAATGGTACCAGTTCCTCCTTGTACCTCTGGTAGAATTCGGCTGTGAATCCATCTGGTCCTGGACTCTTTTTGGTTGGTAAACTATTGATTATTGCCAGAATTTCAGCTCCTGTTATTGGTCTATTCAGAGATTCAACTTCTTCCTGGTTTAGTCTTGGGAGAGTGTATGTGTCCAGGAATTTATCCATTTCTTCTAGATTTTCTAGTTTATTTGCGTAGAGGTGTTTGTAGTATTCTCTGATGGTAGTTTGTATTTCTGTGGGATCAGTGGTGATATCCCCTTTATCATTTTTTATTGCATCTATTTGATTCTTCTCTCTTTTTTTCTTTCTTAGTCTTGCTAGCGGTCTATCAATTTTGTTGAGCCTTTCAAAAAACCAGCTCCTGGATTCATTAATTTTTTGAAGGGTTTTTTGTGTCTCTATTTCCTTCAGTTCTGCTCTGATTTTAGTTATTTCTTGCCTTCTGCTAGCTTTTGAATGTGTTTGCTCTTGCTTTTCTAGTTCTTTTAATTGTGATGTTAGGGTGTCAATTTTGGATCTTTCCTGCTTTCTCTTGTGGGCATTTAGTGCTATAAATTTCCCTCTACACACTGCTTTGAATGCGTCCCAGAGATTCTGGTATGTTGTGTCTTTGTTCTCGTTGGTTTCAAAGAACATCTTTATTTCTGCCTTCATTTCATTATGTACCCAGTAGTCATTCAGGAGCAGGTTGTTCACTTTCCATGTAGTAGAGCGGTTTTGAGTGAGATTCTTAATCCTGAGTTCTAGTTTGATTGCACTGTGGTCTGAGAGAGAGTTTGTTATAATTTCTGTTCTTTTACATTTGCTGAGGAGAGCTTTACTTCCCAGTATGTGGTCAATTTTGGAATAGGTGTGGTGTGGTGCTGAAAAAAATGTATATTCTGTTGATTTGGGGTGGAGAGTTCTGTAGATGTCTATTAGGTCTGCTTGGTGCAGAGCTGAGTTCAATTCCTGGGTATCCTTGTTGACTTTCTGTCTCGTTGATCTGTCTAATGTTGACAGTGGGGTGTTAAAGTCTCCCATTATTAATGTGTGGGAGTCTAAGTCTCTTGTAGGTCACTCAGGACTTGCTTTATGAATCTGGGTGCCCCTGTATTGGGTGCATATATATTTAGGATAGTTAGCTCTTCTTGTTGAATTGATCCCTTTACCATTATGTAATGGCCTTCTTTGTCTCTTTTGATCTTTGTTGGTTTAAAGTCTGTTTTATCAGAGACTAGGATTGCAACCCCTGCCTTTTTTTGTTTTCTATTGGCTTGGTAGATCTTCCTCCATCCTTTTATTTTGAGCCTATGTGTGTCTCTGCAAGTGAGATGGGTTTCCTGAATACAGCACACTGATGGGTCTTGACTCTTTATCCAATTTGCCAGTCTGTGTCTTTTAATTGGAGAATTTAGTCCATTTACATTTAAAGTTAATATTGTTATGTGTGAATTTGATCCTGTCATTATGATGTTAGCTGGTGATTTTGCTCGTTAGTTGATGCAGTTTATTCCTAGTCTCGATGGTCTTTACATTTTGGCATGATTTTGCAGTGGCTGGTACCGGTTGTTCCTTTCCATGTTTAGTGCTTCCTTCAGGAGCTCTTGTAAGGCAGGCCTGGTGGTGACAAAATCTCTCAGCATTTGCTTGTCTGTAAAGGATTTTATTTCTCCTTCACTTATGAAGCTTAGTGTGGCTGGATATGAAATTCTGGGTTGAAAATTCTTTTCTTTAAGAATGTTGAATATTGGCCCCCACTCTCTTCTGGCTTGTAGGGTTTCTGCCGAGAGATCTGCTGTTAGTCTGATGGGCTTCCCTTTGAGGGTAACCCGACCTTTCTCTTTGGCTGCCCTTAACATTTTTTCCTTCATTTCAACTTTGGTGAATCTGACAATTATGTGTCTTGGAGTTGCTCTTCTCGAGGAGTATCTTTGTGGCGTTCTCTGTATTTCCTGAATCTGAACGTTGGCCTGCCTTGCTAGATTGGGGAAGTTCTCCTGGATAATATCCTGCAGAGTGTTTTCCAACTTGGTTCCATTCTCCCCGTCACTTTCAGGTACACCAATCAGACGTAGATTTGGTCTTTTCACATAGTCCCATATTTCTTGGAGGCTTTGCTCATTTCTTTTTATTCTTTTTTCTCTATACTTCCCTTCTCCCTTCATTTCATTCATTTCATCTTCCATTGCTGATACCCTTTCTTCCAGTTGATCGCATTGGCTCCTGAGGCTTCTGCATTCTTCACGTAGTTCTCGAGCCTTGGTTTTCAGCTCCATCAGCTCCTTTAAGCACTTCCCTGTATTGGTTATTCTAGTTATACATTCTTCTAAATTTTTTTCAAAGTTTTCAACTTCTTTGCCTTTGGTTTGAATGTCCTCCCGTAGCTCAGAGTAATTTGATCGTCTGAAGCCTTCTTCTCTCAGCTCGTCAAAGTCATTCTCCATCCAGCTGTGTTCCATTGCTGGTGAGGAACTGCGTTCCTTTGGAGGAGGAGAGGTGCTCTGCTTTTTAGAGTTTCCAGCTTTCTGTTCTGTTTTTTTCCCCATCTTTGTGGTTTTATCTACTTTTGGTCTTTGATGATGATGGTGATGTATAGATGGGTTTTTGGTGTGGATGTCCTTTCTGTTTGTTAGTTTTCCTTCTAACAGAGAGGACCCTCAGCTGCAGGTCTGTTGGAATACCCTGCCTTGTGAGGTGTCAGTGTGCCCCTGCTGGGGGGTGCCTCCCAGTTAGGCTGCCTGGGGGTCAGGGGTCAGGGACCCACTTGAGGAGGCAGTCTGCTGGTTCTCAGATCTCCAGCTGCATGCTGGGAGAACCAGTGCTCTCTTCAAAGCTGTCAGACAGGGACATTTAAGTCTGCAGAGGTTACTGCTGTCTTTTTGTCTGTGCCCCGCCCCCAGAGGTGGAGCCTACAGAGGCAGGCAGGACTCCTTGAGCTGTGGTGGGCTCCACCCAGTTCGAGCTTCCAGGCTGCTTTGTTTACCTAATCAAGCCTGGGCAATGGCAGGCGCCCCTCCCCCAGCCTCGCTGCCGCCTTGCAGTTTGATCTCAGACTGCTGTGCTAGCAATCAGCGCGACTCTGTGGGCGTAGGACCCTCCAAGCCAGGTGCCGGATATAATCTCGTCGTGCGCCGTTTTTTAAGCCCGTCGTAAAAGCGCAGTATTCGGGTGGGAGTGACCCGATTTTCCAGGTGCCGTCCGTCACCCCTTTCTTTGACTCAAAAAGGGAACTGGCTGACCCCTTGCGCTTCCCAAGTGAGGCAATGCCTCGCCCTGCTTAGGCTCGCGCACGGTGCAGGCACCCACTGACCTGCGCCAACTGTCTGGCACTCCCTAGTGAGATGAACCTGGTACCTCAGATGGAAATGCAGAAATCACCTGTCTTCTGCGTCGCTCACGCTGGGAGCCGTAGACCGGAGCTGTTCCTATTCGGCCATCTTGGCTCCTCCACCCGGATGATTTTTCTTACTTTCTATAGTCCTCATTCTATAACTTTTGATCCAAATTATTCCAGAGATTGGATTAAAAACAAATGGATGTGGCATACAGGGAGCATCTCAAATCATTCATTCTCACCAGCAGGTCTCATGTGCTCCGAAACCAACTTGAAGCACTCTCCTTCTTCCTCTAGGTGAGTCTCTTCCTCTTCAGGTAAACTACTTTGGAGCTTAAGGATTGTATCTCTCCCCTCACCTGCTCACGTCTGTCTCATTTTATTTGATAGGTGTCAGCTGTCCCTGGCATACAATGTCCCTTTCCACTAGGTATACAGGCTAAAAAAAAAATTACTCACATCATCTTGTGTTGAAATCCCTGAATTCCTAGAATGAGACATAAAATATTAAGAACATCACTGCCTCTTAACTTCACCACACTGTTAAAAATATAACCTTTATGTGTGATTGAAGAAAAGAGCAGTCTGTATTTTCAGAGAAGCATCATGACCTACTGATAAAACAAATTTTTAAAGCACAAATTCCTCATAGAGCATTAAAAATATATCATGGGTGCTTCTTTCTACATATTCTCTCAATTTATTTCCCTACCACAATGTATTCTACAATCTAGACACACCAAACTAATTATAGTTACTTGAATATAGTGTTTTGTCTTGTCTCTGTATTTTCCATATGCTATTTTTTACGCCAGTAATGCAGTGCTTTTAAAACATTTTAGATGATAACACTAAGATTTATATTTTAAAGAGCAGCCAAGTAATAAATATGTGCGTTTATGTCTGTGTGTATGTGTGTAAGGAAACATTTTTTTCACATAAAAATCTTTAATCTTAATACATGTGATGCATCTCATAATTTTTATTCATCTGTTTAATTTTTAAATATACTGATCATAATTTACTAGACTGATTGTATAAAATCTTAGTGTCATGACTTTAACCTAGTATAGAAAAAAATAGTAGGATCGTCTTTTCTTTTCAATTTAGTAGATAATTCCCTGTTTTTTCACACTACTCTGGATTATTATGGATGGATGACTCATGAATTCTATGCATTCAATAACTAATATTCTTAGAAGCAGAGAAAAATTTCTTAAAATGAGGCCATTGAAGTACAATGCTTACTTGTCATTTGGCTTACAAGTATCAGAAATAAGCATCAATGAACTAAGAATGTATTCTCAAGATGAAATACTTTTTCCTAATCTCATAGCTGTCAGACTACTATAGAATAGAAACTAATGCTTGTCAAAAGTTATAACCCAGATTAGAGTTGTCTTATGAGCATTCGATGCAAAACCACCACCAAGCAATATCTTCCTTAATTAGAAATGTGTTTTCTGGAGGGACAAACTAAATCAAAATTACAAAAATCCGAAATCCAACTTTAACTGTACATTTTAATTTAAATTAAATTTGCATGTATTCAAGGTGAAAGTTTTAAAGCACTACACAAATTAACATAGTAGATTTTTCAAACATATATTGCCTTCATCTTGTGGGGAAAATGAATAAAATTAATGTGTTATAATACCCATGAGACCGCAAGTACAGTGCACTTTGGAAAAACTTAGAGTAAATTGCTTGAAATTACTGTCAGCATCAAAGTTCAGGCTGACAAGAAGCCTCTCAGTATCACAATTTAAACTGAATAATCTGTAGTCACATCATGTACTCTCTATTCTATTGCTAGTCTCTACTTTCGTTCTATCTCTACCAGTGTAAAGCTTGATTTCAGCATTTAAGATACAAATTAAATTTATTAACAGATAGATTATTTGAAGTATTACCCTTAAACAAAGACTTTCTCAAAGCATGCTCAGATTTAATGCCAATCAAAAGTTAAGTCAAGGCCGGGCGCGGTGGCTCACGCCTGTAATCCCAGCACTTTGGGAGGCCGAGGCGGGTGGATCACGAGGTCAGGAGATCGAGACCATCCTGGCTAGCACGGTGAAACCCCGTTTCTACTAATAATACAAAAAATTAGCCGGGCGCGATGGCGGGTGCCTGTAGTCCCAGCTACTCGGGAGGCTGAGGCAGAAGAATGGCATGAACCCAGGAGGCGGAGCTTGCAGTGAGTGGAGATGGTGCCACTGCACTCCAGCCTGGGCGACAGAGCGAGACTCTGTCTCAGGAAAAAAAAAAAAAAAAAAAAAATTAAGTCAAATTATTTAAACCCTACCCTACAAAGTTAAAGATTACTTTTTTAAACATAATGCAAATTGAAATATATCATATATAGAGAGAAGTACAAAAAAATCACAAAAGTACAGTTCAGTAAATGTTCACAAACTGCACATACTCATAGAAATATGACCCAGAACTCTCAGCACAAAGAGGCCCTCAAATGGCCCTCTAGTTTCTTTTCCTTCGTTGTCAAGAGTAACCTCTATCCTGAATTCTATCACTTACATATGCCTTTTCTATAATTGATATAAATTGAATCATAGAGTGATGCACTTTCCTGCATACAGTTTGTCCAGCTCAATATCTGCAAGATTCATACTTCCTGAATAAAGCAGTTCATGCATTCTTATTGCCCTTTAGCATTCCATTACAGGTCAAAATATACCATAATTTACTTATCCATTCTACTGTTGATATACAATTGGGTTGCTTCCAAATTGGGGCTAGTGCAAATAGGCTGCTATAAATCTTTCTCTGTGTATCTTTTGATACATATATAAAAGAAATTTCCAGGAAGTTGAATGACTTAACATTTCCTGGAAATTCATAGGCTATAAATTTGTCTGACTTTTTTAGACACAATTGTGCTCTTCTCCAAAGTGATTTTACCAAATTACATTGCTAATGACAATGTATGAGACTTCCAATTACTCTATATACTGCCCCAAACTTGGAATTGTCAGGGTTTTTTTGTTCATTTGTTTTGTTTTCAATTTTAGCTATTTTGTTGGATGAATGCCAGTATAACATCATGGAGTACTAATAATTAGGTTAAGCATGTTACTAATAATTCGTTTAAACAGATTTTCATTTATTAGCTGCTTAGATATTCTTTTTTTTACCCCAAAAGTCTACTACCCAATTTTTAAAATAGAGATAACTGTTTTCTTAATGATTTCTAGAAGTCCTTGATATAGCGTGGATAAGTGTATCTTCTCCTAATTTGTGAATTGTATTTTCACTTTCTAATGGTATTCTTGAGAAATATAAATTATAAGATTAAGGTAGACAAATTTATCAATTTCTTGATGAATAATGCCTTTCGTTTCTCTACAAAATATCTTTCCTTAACCTAAGGTTCTAAAAATATTTGCATATGTTGTCTTCCATAAACATTATTGTTTTAATTTTCACACTTAGACATGTAGTCAATTGGAATTAATTTTTGTATATGATGTAAGGTAGGAGGTAAAGATTTGTTTATGCTTTTATTATTTTTCCAAGGTGATTATCCAATTGAAACAGCATTCTATATTGAAAATGTCATCTTCTCTTTACTGCACCACATTGTCATCTTTAAACCAAATAGCAGTTCTTGATGTCTGTGTCTTTTTCCTATGCTTCAATTTTCTTTTGTTACTATAATTGTCAATTCTTCAACAACTAATACATTTTGTTAATTAGCTCTATAATAACCTTTTATGATTGGCAGTGTAGGTCCCTGAAGCCTAATTCTTATTCTCAAGAAATACTGTAGCAGACAGAATGCTAAGATGGTTGGTTTCCCAATCCCTGTTATGTACATTCTCCATAGTGCCCTCTCATTGAGTGGAAGCAGGACCTATGAATATGATGAGGTAATTACTCTTTTTATCAGTTTATGTTATATAGAGTAAATGATGGGATTGTTTCTCCTTTGATTAAATTAAATTGTGTAAGGCTATCCTATAGCAAACTGGAGAAAGATTCACTTGCTGGCCTTAGGAAGTAAGAAGCCATGTTGTGATATGGCCGCATGGCTAGGACATGAGAGTAGCCTCTAGGATGTAGGAGCCACCCTAGCTAAGAGCCAGCAAGAAAACAGGGACCTACAATGAACTGAATTCTGTTAATAACCTGATTGAGTTTGGAAATGGATTATTCTCTGGACAGTCCTGCAGATAAGTATGCAGCCTGGCTGGCACCCTGGTTTCAGACTCATGATCCTGTAAGCAGGCATCTCAGCCAAACTGGACTTCTGATCTAAAGAAACTGTGAAATAATAAATACATGTTATTTTAAGACACCAAGTCTGTGGTAACTTGTGCAGCAGTTGAAAACTAATATGAAAAATTTTGCTTTTTTTGGTTCATTTTATTTCCCCATATATTCTAAAATCAACTTACCAATTTGCAATTCTAAAACCTACTGAAAATTTGAATGTAAAAGTACTGAATTTGTAAATAGAGGATACTATTTAGTTATTCTTTAGTTATTCTCAATACATTTTGCATTTTCTATTCTTAAGAAGAATTGGTGTTAAAATAGTTTTTTGCTTTGCCTAAAACTATTTAACAAAATTCATTAGTAAAATCATATGAGCTTTACTTGTTTTGAGGAGATAATTTTTGGGAGTTTCAACATCCTCAGTAACTATGAACCTACTCAAAATTTTTATGTCAATTTGTGTTACTCTGAGTGTATACAGATATTAATGAGTATATATATTTTATTATCTGTAATATAGCTTATTACCCATTTATCTTTTTAATATCTGTAGGATCTATTGAGTCATTGCCTTTTTGTCTACTGAAATTGTATATATGATATATAAATTAATTGATATATAAATTATATATTTTATTAGTTTTATCAGAGTGCTGTCAGTTTTATGAAACATTTTAATAGATCAACTTTTAGCTTTGTTGACTTTTTCTATTATATATTAGTTTCCTACTTCACTGGTTTCTTTTTATATCTTTATAATTTCTTCGACTTTCTTTGAGATTAATTTGCTTTTTTCTGGTTTTTTAATATTACTAAAACTCGGAATTTTTTAAATTTGTAATATATAATTTTAGAGCCATAACTTTTCCTCTGAAATAAAAAGGAGTAATATAAAGAAAATTAACAAGAAGGAAGGTTCAGGGAATTTAGAGTTTCCTATTTCTACTTGAGGGTGTTGCATGTCAAAGAGAAGAGCAAGGATCACCTCCAGAAATACTGGCTGAAATCACAGCATAATAAGACTTGAATATTTGATTAATGCATTATACTTAGGGCTTTCTAATGTAACCAAATTGGCCCTAGAAAATATATCATCAGATATTTTAGTAAGGTTTATTTTTAGCAGTATGCAGAATACATCAGGGTTATAGGGGCAACTATTTGAAATTTCCCATGCAGGATGTGCTGCTGGGTTTTATTACTACAAAAGCCTCTCCTGGGCATAAAAATGTGAAAGAGGTTATAGGTGAGAAGAAAACTTAAAATTTAAAATGTGAAGCCATTAACTGGATTTAAAAGCAAAGTAAAAGGCAGAATCAACAATGTCTCTAAAGTCTCAGCCTGAGTAATGATGGTGGCATGGGATAGTTGTGCCATCAAGGGAAAGAGGAATTTTAACTAAATTTATTTGAATGAGTCTAAGGATGGTGGAAGTAAGGAGATTAAAGAGCTAAATATTAAAAAGGCTTATGATACTTATTTCATTTGGTTTGGGACTGATTGCTTAAATGTTAAGTAAGGAGCAGGAATAATTCTTAGTAATAGTTGCTTTGAAATGAACCAGATACCAAAGTTAAGAAATTGAGTGCTATAGAAATGTCCAAGTACAATGAAATTACAAAACAAGGTGTTATCCCACAAAGCTTGATAGAGAGATGAAGTGACGATTTAGATTAGAAACGTTTATCAAGGAATCAAGAAACCTCAACATGAAGTTAGCAGCAAGCTATGGGAAAGCTATAAGCAATGGGCTTCCTCCAGGCCTTTTAAACACTAAATTCTGAGTTTGAAGGAAACCAAATCTCTTCTTTCATAACTTGGTTTTGGAATTATGAATGTTTCTCTAATTAAAGCTACTATGTTTTCAATGGTTATGATTTAGCAATGTGAAAGCTAATCCATAATCCTTGTTATGGGAGCACAAAATTATGAGAGCAAATTTGTACATATAGTGGGATTGGCCAAATAAGTGAATATATTATGGAAAAAGAAAGCCAGGTTCCTCACTGTCAGAGAAGAACGTTACAAATAAGGAAATGTGGAAGGCTAAGATGAATCCAGTAGAGTTAGATTGAAATTAGAAGTATTAATAAAAACTTAGGTTTTTGTTAAATTATATATACAGATAAACATAGAAATAAGTATTGGTGTCTGTGTATTCATGAATTAGAATACATACATATATTTCCTAGTTCTTTCTGATGAGTCTAGACGCAATGATACCCTAATAGCAATGAACACACCAAATGCTAAGACATATGTAAGTAAGCATGTGTGTGTATATATTCAGAAATATATACCCAACACAAGGTAATCATATGCTTAATCTTTTTGTTTTAAAGTCTTTATGGTCGCCTATACATAGTCATTTTTTCTTTCTATCTAAAGATGAAAAAACCACAAATTTTGCCAAAATATATTTTAAAAGGTTTATTCTGAACCAATATGAGTGACTACAGCCCAGGGTTATATAATCTCAAGAGGTCCTGAGAAAGTGTGCCAGAGGCAATTGGGTAACAGTTTGGTTTTATACATTTTAGGGAGACAGGAATTGCAGATAAAATCATAAATTAATACATGGATGATATACATTGGTTTGGCCTGAAAAGGCAGGGAATCTTGAAAAAGAGAGCTTACAAGTCATAGGTGGGTTTTAGGGATTCTTTAGTTGACGGTTGAGAGTGAAACTATTATTTAAAGACTTAAAGTCAGTAGAAAGAAATGCTTGAGTTAAGATAAGGGGGCTTTGGGGGCCAAGGCCCTTAGCCTCTGGAGGTTCCCTGAAAAATCACTGATATGAGGCAGATTGATTAATAAGAGAAAAGGCATACAAATTTGTGTAAAGTATATACATGAGAGTCTTCGAAATGAAGACCCCACCTCCCAGTGAAGTTCAGAAGCTTACCATCTTAAGGTTATAGAAAGAATGCTGGCTTAGAGTATGGGCAAAAATAGGTTTTCGTAGCAAGACAGGTTAAGGGAGGGAGAAAGAAAGAGGATTGGCTAGCAAAGGTAGCCTTGTTATGTATATGAAGACTCACAGGTAGCAGCCCTCAGAGAAAATAGATCAAAGGTATCTCTTTTCAGACCTTTAAAGGTGTCTTACTCTCAGTTAATCTCGTCTGGATGCAGGAAAGGTCTAGAAAGGGAAGTCATGGATGCATTAATGGAGATTATCTACAGATGTAAATTTTCCCCCAAAAAGATGGCTTTGCATGGCTATTTCAGTCTGCTGGCCCTGTAGCAGCCATCTCAAAATATATTTTGAGTTAAAATATTTTGATTTCCCTTCAATTCTGCTATTTGTCATGTGATGCTTTACCACACACAGGTTGCAATGTGTAAACCAAAAATAAAATTCTAAGCCCTGCAACCAACTGCTGGACCTTCCACTTGGACAAAGGGCATTCCAAAGTTAATCTAAAAGATTAGTTCAGGCCATGATGGGAAATGAGAGTTAGACTCTTTTATAATGAGTGTCTTATTATAGTGCCTTATTATACTCTCCCTGTTGGAAATCAGGCACAGCTGACCACCATTAACATCAAAACAGAGACCTTAAGACTAAGTCTGATAAAAAAATTTATAATCTACTCTCTCTGAAGCATGCATCTTGGGGGCTTCATCTGCATAATAAGAACCTTGGTATTAATAACCCCTTATCTTAACCCAAACACTCCCTTCTATTGATTCTAGGTCTTCAGAAAATCTTTGAATCTTCCTGTGACCTGGAAGTACCATCCCCACCCCATGCCCCAGTTTCCCCATATTTCTGGATTGAACCAATGTACATTTATTGATCGACGTCTTATATCTCCCTAAAATGTATAAATCTAAGCCACAGCTCAACCACCTTGAGCACATATTCTCAGGATCTCCTGGGGCAACGTCACAATCCACTGGTCACTTACGTTTGGCTCAGAATAAATCTCTTCACATATTTTACAGAGTTTGACTCTTGTCGTCAACAAAAGTAAGCCACCTTATATGGATTAATTAAAAAAAACACATAATGAGATTTTATGGTTTATAAGGAATGAGTCCCCATACCTCTTAGGAATTTGGGCAAGAGAATAAAAGTTCAGAGATCAGTGCTCGTAACTAATCTCTCTATCCATTCCTAGATATAGATATCTATCTATACGTATAATGTCTCAGGGATGTCTTTATTCCTATTTTAAAGCCATACATAATTTTTAAAAGTTTTCTTTCCTCCTGTCTCTTAGGCTCCTGTGAGTGAGATAAATATTAAATGAGAAAAAAACATATTTTCAGATGTTTATAATTTCTGAGAACAAAGTGGACAATATGTCATGAGATAGTAACCTGGATTAACTTGATAGGGAGAAAGGGTGTTCTCCCTGTTATAAATAAGATGATTAAGAATAACAAAGCTCTCTTGGTTGGCTACCTAAAGAAGGTAAATGAGTATTCTCAGGCTGTGAGCTTATGAACCATTGCAAAGGTACAAAAAAGAGATAGGCATGTTGGACAAATAGTAAAGAAACAGTATGCCTGGATCTTAAACACAGGGTGGTGAGAGGTGGATTATGAAATTCAAAATTAGGCAGAAACAATTTTGTGGAACATTCAGAATATGGATTTTACTTTAAAAATTCTAGCAACAACTCAAAATAATCAGAGGTTAGAAATGTGCAATTTAGTACATGTAGTTAGGGTTGAAAATTGTATTCCTATTTTCCTAAAACGAGAATCACCTTCTCTCACATGCAAGGATATTTTACTTTGGGGAATTTAATTTCAAGTATCAAATCTGAGCAGAAGTATATTTAAAATTTTTTTCAATTTGTATTTCATGGCAATTAATCCTCTACAGTATCCTCAAACTGAGCCTGGAGCTCTTTCTTTGTACATAACTTTTGTGAACACAAATAAATATTTCCAGGAAAGTAGACATAAATAAGGAATGTAAATATCCTCTTGCTACAGAAAATCAATAGTATTGCCTAAAACATGATTTACTGATAATGTGTCAGAGACTATTTTTTGTTTAAGAGAATAGAAATATATTAAATGAGCAATTCCCGAAAGCTCTTGATTGTCCCTTACTTTTATGAGACCTGTTTTTATGATCATTAACCCTGTAATAGAGTATTTCAGATTATTGCCTCTTTAATAAATTGCTCATTGTTCATGATTCTCTAAGAACAGCAGATATTAATTAACAAATGAATGTATTCAGTTCCTTTGTTTCCATTTGTGCCTTACTTCATGAGCTGATTTCGGAAAGACTATGATAAATGGTTATCTGTTTCTTTTCCTCATTAGGTTATCTCTAAATTCACTGTCTCCTGGTTTCAAGGATGATTGCAGAAATATGACCATAAAACTGTAGCTTCTCATTATACCTAGAAGCAGTAGGAGTATAGTATTTATAATCTCATTATCTCAATGGATAGTTGTAGCTGTGCATATGCCCTTATTATCTCTACTGGGGCTGGTAATGATATACATAGTCTCATTTTCTGTGCTGTGGAATTGAAGAGTTGCATTTATAATTGAGCGTTCTGCACTGTAAGTAATATAAGGTGGGTGGATAACTGGTTGAAAGTGTGTCTAGTATTTTTTTGACTTTCCATTTTTCATATACATTTGATACTTGTTCCTCAAATATCTACAATTAGAAAATTCTGATAAGAGTAGACAAATAAGAAAATAAAATGAATAAAAATATTTAAGAAAATACGAGTTAAGATATTGACAACCCATCACCCTATGGATGACATTCCACTGACAAACCCCCCCGACTCCACCACCCAAGATTGTCATTCAGGTGAAAAAAAAAAAAGAAAGAAAGAGAGAAAAAGATAGAGAAGATTAAAAAAATAACATTTTAGTTTTGAACTTTCTTGGGTTTTTTTTGTTTTATTTTGTTTTTCTGTTTTTTTTGAGAAGGAGTCTTGCTTCTTTGCCCAGGCTGGAGTGTAATGGCATGATTTTGGCTCACTGCAAACTCCACCTCCCAAATTCAAGTGATTCTCCTGCCTCAGCCTCCCCAGTAGCTGGGATTACAGGCATGTGCCACCATGGCCGGCTAATTTTTGTATTTTTAGTAGAGACAGGGTTGCACCATGTTGGCCAGGCTGGTCTCAAACTCCTGACCTCAAGTAATTCGCCCGCCTCAGCCTCCCAAAGTTTTGGAATTACAGGCGTGAGCCACCGCACCCGGCCCTTGTTTTCATTTCAATACCCTAGCCATCACTTTTCTTACACAAAGTGTTATGGAAAATACTCTGCTCAAAATGAAACATTGCTTTTGAACACTTTCATAAACATAAGGTTATACAATCTCTTGGCAGTTCTGGGATAGTAACTAAAGTTCAGAGAGAGTAACAAAGAAAAATCCACAGTTTTCATGGCTTCTAAACCATGTTTCCAAGTAAAAATCTCCAAAATAAAATCAAAGGTGGGGTAAAATTTTAGCCATCAAAGGCTAAATGCTGATATATGTTTCCAAGTAGTCTGCTAATGTGTTATACAAATAAATCTCTGAAATAACTTCCATTTTTCCACTTTATATTGAGAAATTTAATAATTATTTAGATTTATGTCTTTAAATAAAGAGGAAGCATCAGAGGCATTTAAACCAGAGCAACTCCATCTTGTATAGAGGCTGGGTAAAATAAATTGGAGACCTACTGGGCTGCATTCCCAGGAGGTTAGACATTCTAAGTCACAGGATGAGATAGGAGGTCGGCAAAATATACAGGTCATCAAGATCTTGCTGATAAAGCAGGTTGCAGTAAAGAAGCCAGCCAAAATCCACCAAAACCAAGATGGTGAGAGGGACCTCTGATCACCCTCACTGCTCTTAATACACTAATGATACTGCATTAGCATGTTAAAAGACACTTCCACCAGCGCTATGAGAGTTTACAAATGCCATGGCAACATCAGGAAGTTACCCTATGTGGTCTGAAAAGGAGAAGAACCCTCAGTTCTGGAAATAGCCCATTCCATTCCTGGAAAACTCATGAATAATCCATCTCTTGTTTAGCCTATAATCAAGAAATAACCATAAAAATGGGCAACCAACAGTCTTAGGGCTGCTCTGCCTATAGAGTAGCCATTCTTTTCTTCCTTTACTTTCTTAATAAACTTGCTTTCACTTTATGAACTCACCCCGAATTATTTCTTGGGCAAGAACCAAGAACCCTCTCCTGGGGTCTGGATCATGACCTGTTTCTGGTAACAGAAGCATACACACAAATGTAGACTACTCCAGTATTACTGGTAGGCTTCCACTCACTAGCCTTGGGAATAATTAAGTCACCTCTCTTTTTAATACTTACATGAAATTGTGGGCCTTCCCCTGCTCATATGAACAGAACATCCAGTTGCTTTCTCTGTGAACTCCTCATCCCATTTTTATTATTATAAAAATCCAAAGCATCTAATCCTCTTTACAAATTCATGGCAAAGACAGAACTGGAGAACAAAGCATTTTTAGTTGCTATTTCTTTTCTCACAGGAGCTTTGCTGTGAAAAATTATTTCAAACAATTCAGTGCATCCCTCCCCACTACTAAGTTTTTGGAATTGTTGGCCTGAGGCTGTATGCAGGTTGTAAAATTTCTGTCTTTAATTTAACCAAGAATGGCTATCTAAATGTTCCCCTAAGTTAAAAGGTCTTTAGTTTACTTTGAAATTGAAATATCACTCACTATTTGACTGGAACGAGGCCAAAAGGAGGTCAAAAATTCAGTCACAAGCAATACAAGACTCAGTCCTACTTCCCTTCTTTTCATCCACTTAACCTACTCACATACAACTGCTTTGGTGTGAAGTTTGGTCCTACTTGATTCCAATTATATCCAAGATAAATTTTCATTTCAAAGCTCCAGGACTTTATTCCTGATCAGCCCACCCATCAGAGAGTTTCTAATAATGTCAAATCTAATTAAGGAAGTTGTTTAACTCCAACTCATTTCTCCCAGTAAGCTCTGTGAAAAGAAAATAAAGGACCCCAAAATCACAAAGCCAAAGGGAAAATTCAAGCTAGGAACTGCGTCAGGTAAACCTGCCTCCCATTTTATTTTTAAATAAGACAGCTGCCAGGTGTGGTGGCTCATGCCTGTAGTCCCAGCACTTTAGGAGGCCAAGGCAGGTGGATCAGGTCAGGAGATCGAGATATCCTGGCCAATATGGTGAAAACCTATCTCTACTAAAAATAGAAAAATTAGCCAGGCGTGGTGGCATGTGCCTGTAGTCCCAGCTACTCAGGAGGCTGAGGCAGGAGAATCACGTGAACCCGGGAGGTGGAGGATGCAGTAAGCCAAGATCATGCCACTGCACTCTAGCCTGGGCGACTAAGCGAGACTCCACCTCAAAAAAAAAAAAAAAGAGATGGTTACAAAGATTTATATACATATATATATATATACTACATACCTCCCTCACAATTTGCCCACAAGGAAATTCCTTATGGGCAAAGGACAGACAGAATTCCAAGTCATTCCTCTGTTCACCTGAGACAACTGCATATCTGATTGCTTCCTCTGCCCTATTATTTCACTAAGCCAGACTAAAGCATAAGTGACTATTCCTTTATTCTCCTCTCACATGTAAATTGTGTATTCAGTGAAAGGCTAACTAGAAACTTAAAAGAATGCGACCTTTTGTCTCTTATCTACCTATGACCTGGAAGCCCCCTCCCCACTTCAAGTTGTCCCACCTTTCCTGACCAAACCAATGTACATCTTACATATATTGATTGATGTTTCATGTCTCCATAAAATGTATAAAACCAAGCTGTCCCCAAAGAACCTTGGGCACATGTCATCAGGACCTCCTGAGTTTGTGTCACAGGTAACATTGGACATTTGTGTCCGTAACATTGGAAAATTGTTTGTGTCTGTAACATTGGCAAAATAAACTTTCTAAATTGATTGAGATATCTCAGATACTTTTGGGTTCACAGCTCCTAGGCAGATATTTTTAACTCTTTTTGGAAGATGAGGTAGTATGAAGAGCAGTAACTTCTTTTTATTATTATGTTCATTATTTTTAATTTTAAATTCCAGGGTACATGTGCAGGATGTGCAAGAGCAGTAACTTTTTTAAAATAGACTTTTTAAAAGATAAGTATTAGGTTCACAGCAAAATTGAGCAGAAGGTACAGAGAATCCCTGTATACCACCTGCCCCCTGGCTCATGCATAGCCTCATCAATTATCAGCATCCCCAGTTAGAGTGGTACATTTGTTACAAATGATGAACCCACATTAATACATCATTATCACCCAGAGTGCATAGTTTATATTAGGGTTTACTCTTGGTGTTGTACATTCTATGGGTTTGGACAAATGTATTATATATTGATGCATGTCTACCATATTAGTATATGATACTATACATTAATACTACACCTTAGTATATTAGTAGTTTCACTGACCTGAAATTCTCTGTATTCCATGCATCATCCCTCCCTCCCAGCCCAACTCTGAAAAGAACTGATCTTTTTACTGTCTCCATAGTTTTGCCTTTTCCCAAATGTCATATAATTGCAATCACACAGTATGCAGCCTTTTCACATTGGCTTCTTTCACTTAGTAAAATGCAGTTAAGTTTCTCCATTTTCTGTGCATAGTTTGATAGCTCATTTCTTTTTGCACTGAATAATATTTAATTTCCTGGATGTACCAAAGTTTATTTACCCACTAACCTATGGAGGGGCATCTTGGTTGCTTCCAAGTTTGGGCAACTATGAATAAAGCTTCTATAAACATACCTCTACAGGTTTCTGTGTAGACATAAGTTGTCCACTCCTTTACGTAGATACCAAGGAAAATGATTGTTGGATAGTATGGCATGAGAATGTTTAGTCTTGTAAGAACCATAAACTGTCCTTCAAAGTAGCTGTACCACTTTGCATTCTCATCAGCAGTGAATGAGAGTTCCTGTTGCTTCACATCCTTGCCAACATTTGTTGTAGTGGTGTTCTGTACTTACAACACTTCCGTAATCAAATATGTAGATTTTACACACATTGCAATTTACATATTATCTGTGAACACCAACTCAGTATCCTACAGTTTAATTCAATTCTAGCACTAACAATAGGATAAGGGCTCAGTCCCACAGAACCACCTCCAACTTCAGATTCCAATTGCAAGTAGTTAGTCCTGGGTTACCCACATTTCTGTCTGACTTGGTTACTGTTGGGTTCCCTAAAACTTTCTCCTCAAATTTGATGATTTTCTATAACAGCTCATAAAATCCAAGGAAACACTTTACTTGCATTAACTGGTTTATTATAAAGAATATCATAAAGGGTACATACGTACAGTCAGATGAAGAGGTCCATAGGACAAGGTATGATGAAGGGGCATGGAGCTCTCATGCTGTGTCCAGGCGTGGCACTGTCCCAGTACTTCCGTGCAGTCACCAATGCGGAAACTATTTTAACTCATTTGTTTGGGATTTTAATGGATGCTTCATTATATAGGCATAATTGATTCAATTCTTGGCCATTGTCAGTTTAACTCAATGTCCAACTGCTTACCCCTTTCCAGAGGTGGATGGTGCTGAAACTTTCAACCCTCTTGTCTTGTGGTTGGTTCTTCCCACAACCAGCTCCTATGCTCCAAGAGTAGACTTACTAGAATAAACTTAGGTATGACTAAAAGGGGCTTATTATAAATAAGAAATGATGCCTCTCTTATGCTGTCACTCAGGAAATTATGAGAGTTTTAGAAGCCTGAAGCAGAGAAAAAGTATATATTTTTATTGCGTCCCAATAGTCACATCTCGTTGTTTTATTTTAATTTGCATTTCTTTGATAACATGAGATGTGGAACATCTTTTAAGATGCTTATTTGTCATCTGTATATCTTCTTGGTGAAATGTCTGTTAAAGTCTTTGGCTCATTTTGTAATCAGGTTGTTTTATTGTTGAATTTTAATAATTATTTGTATATTTTGAATAACAATCTTTTATCAAATATCTTGCGAATATTTTCTCCTACTCTGTGGCTTGTCTTTACATTCTCTTGACAGAGTCTTTCACAGAGCAGAATTTTGTAATTTTAATGAAGTCCAGTTTTAATTTTTTTTATATATATTGTACTTCGGTATGTTTTGAAAAGTCATCACCAAATACAAACACGAGTTCTAGATTTTTCTTCCAGGAATTTTATGGCTTTGCATATTACATTTAGATTTGTGATCCAGCTTGGGTTAATTTTTGTGAAGGGTCTAAGGTCTGCATTGAGATTTATTTTCCTTGCATATGGATGTCCAGATGTTCCAGCACCAGTTGTTGAAAAGTCTTCCTTGTCTTTATTGTATTGCCTTTGCTTTTTTGTCAAAGATTGGTTAACTATATTCATGTGGATCTATTTCTGGTGTTTCTATTCTGTTTCATTAATCTTTTGGTCTATCCTTTCTCCAATAGCCCACTGATTAGTGTAGCTTTATAGTGAGTCTTCAAGGTGGATAGCATCAGTCCTCTTCCCTTGGTATTCTTCTTCAATGTTGTGTTAGCCATTCTGTGTCTTTTGCCTTCACATATAAATTTTAGAATTAGTTTTCCTAATTCACAAATAACTCACTAGCATTTTGATTAAGATTGCATTGAATCTACAGATCAAACTGATAACTAACATCTTGTCAATATTGAGTCTTCCTGTCTATGAATAAGGAATATCCATTTATTCAGTTCTTCTTTATTTCATCAGAGCCTGTAGTTTATTTATTTATTTATTTATTTATTATTATACTTTAAGTTTTAGGGTACATGTGCACATTGTGCAGGTTAGTTACATATGTATACATGTGCCGTGCTGGTGTGCTGCACCCACTAACTCGTCATCTAGCATTAGGTATATCTCCCAATGCTATCCCTCCCCCCTCCCCCCACCCCACCACAGTCCCCAGAGTGTGATATTCCCCTTCCTGTGTCCATGTTACCTCATTGTTCAATTCCCACCAATGAGTGAGAATATGCGGTGTTTGGTTTTTTGTTCTTGCGATACTTTACTGAGAATGATGATTTCCAATTTCATCCATGTCCCTACAAAGGACGTGAACTCATCATTTTTTATGGCTGCATAGTATTCCATGGTGTATATGTGCCCCATTTTCTTAATCCAGTCTATCATTGTTGGACATTTGGGTTGGTTCCAAGTCTTTGCTATTGTGAATAATGCCGCAATAAACATACGTGTGCATGTGTCTTTATAGCAGCATGATTTATAGTCATTTGGGTATATACCCAGTAATGGGATGGCTGGGTCAAATGGTATTTCTAGTTCTAGATCCCTGAGGAATCGCCACACTGACTTCCACAATGGTTGAACTAGTTTACAGTCCCACCAACAGTGTAAAAGTGTTCCTGTTTCTCCACATCCTCTCCAGCACCTGTTGTTTCCTGACTTTTTAATGATTGCCATTCTAACTGGTGTGAGATGGTATCTCATACTGGTTTTGATTTGCATTTCTCTGATGGCCAGTGATGATGAGCATTTTTTCATGTGTTTTTTGGCTGCATAAATGTCTTCTTTTGAGAAGTGTCTGTTCATGTCCTTCGCCCACTTTTTGATGGGGTTGTTTGTTTTTTTCTTGTAAATTTGTTTGAGTTCATTGTAGATTCTGGATATTAGCCCTTTGTCAGATGAGTAGGTTGTGAAAATTTTCTCCCATTTTGTAGGTTGCCTGTTCACTCTGATGGTAGTTTCTTTTGCTGTGCAGAAGCTCTTTATTTTAATTAGATCCCATTTGTCAATTTTGTCTTTTGTTGCCATTGCTTTTGGTGTTTTAGACATGAAGTCCTTGCCCATGCCTATGTCCTGAATGGTAATGCCTAGGTTTTCTTCTAGGGTTTTTATGGTTTTAGGTCTAACGTTTAAATCTTTAATCCATCTTGAATTGATTTTTGTATAAGGTGTAAGGAAGGGATCCAGTTTCAGCTTTCTACATATGGCTAGCCAGTTTTCCCAGCACCATTTATTAAATAGGGAATCCTTTCCCCATTGCTTGTTTTTCTCAGGTTTGTCAGAGATCAGATAGTTGTAGGTATGCGGCGTTATTTCTGAGGGCTCTGTTCTGTTCCATTGATCTATATCTCTGTTTTGGTACCAGTCCATGCTGTTTTGGTTACTGTAGCCTTGTAGTATAGTTTGAAGTCAGGTAGTGTGATGCCTCCAGCTTTGTTCTTTTGGCTTAGGATTGACTTGGCGATGCAGGCTCTTTTTTGGTTCCATATGAACTTTTTTCCAATTCTGTGAAGAAAGTCATTGGTAGCTTGATGGGGATGGCATTGAATCTGTAAATTACCTTGGGCAGTATGGCCATTTTCACGATATTGATTTTTCCTACCCATGAGCATGGAATGTTCTTCCATTTGTTTGTATCCTCTTTTATTTCTTTGAGCAGCGGTTTGTAGTTCTCCTTGAAGAGGTCCTTCACATCCCTTGTAAGTTGGATTCCTAGGTATTTTATTCTCTTTGAAGCAATTGTGAATGGGAGTTCACTCATGATTTGGCTCTCTGTTTGTCTGTTGTTGGTGTATAAGAATGCTTGTGATTTTTGTACATTGATTTTGTATCCTGAGACTTTGCTGAAGTTGCTTATCAGCTTAAGGAGATTTCAGGCTGAGACAAAGGGGTTTTCTAGATATAAAATCATGTCGTCTGCAAACAGGGACAATTTGACTTCCTCTTTTCCTAATTGAATACCCTTTATTTCCTTCTCCTGCCTAATTGCCCTGGCCAGAACTTCCAACACTATGTTGAATAGGAGTGGTGAGAGAGGGCATCCCTGTCTTGTGCCAGTTTTCAAAGGGAATGCTTCCAGTTTTTGCCCATTCAGTATGATATTGGCTATGGGTTTGTCATAGATAGCTCTTATCATTTTGAAATACGTCCCATCAATACCTAATTTATTGAGAGTTTTTAGCATGAAGGGTTGCTGAATTTTGTCAAAGGCTTTTTCTGCATCTATTGAGATAATCATGTGGTTTTTGTCTTTGGCTCTGTTTATATGCTGGATTACATTTATTGATTTGTGTATATTGAACCAGCCTTGCATCCCAGGGATGAAGCCCACTTGTTCATGGTGGATAAGCTTTTTGATGTGCTGCTGGATTTGGTTTGCCAGTATTTTATTGAGGATTTTTGCATCAATGTTCATCAAGGATATTGGTCTAAAATTCTCTTTTTTGGTTGTGTCTCTGCCTGGCTTTGGTATCAGAATGATGCTGGCCTTATAAAATGAGTTAGGGAGGATTCCCTCTTTTTCTATTGATTGGAATAGTTTCAGAAGGAATGGTACCAGTTCCTCCTTGTACCTCTGGTAGAATTTGGCTGTGAATCCATCTGGTCCTGGACTCTTTTTGGTTGGTAAACTATTGATTATTGCCAGAATTTCAGCTCCTGTTATTGGTCTATTCAGAGATTCAACTTCTTCCTGGTTTAGTCTTGGGAGAGTGTATGTGTCCAGGAATTTATCCATTTCTTCTAGATTTTCTAGTTTATTTGCATAGAGGTGTTTGTAATATTCTCTGATGGTAGTTTGTATTTCTGTGGGATCGGTGGTGATATCCCCTTCATCATTTTTTATTGTGTCTATTTGATTCTTCTCTCTTTTTTTCTTTCTTAGTCTTGCTAGCGGTCTATCAATTTTGTTGAGCCTTTCAAAAAACCAGCTCCTGGATTCATTGATTTTTTGAATGGTTTTTTGTGTCTCTATTTCCTTCAGTTCTGCTCTGATTTTAGTTATTTCTTGCCTTCTGCTAGCTTTTGAATGTATTTGCTCTTGCTTTTCTAGTTCTTTTAATTGTGTTAGGGTGTCAATTTTGGATCTTTCCTGCTTTCTCTTGTGGGCATTTAGTGCTATAAATTTCCCTCTACACACTGCTTTGAATGCGTCCCAGAGATTCTGGTATGTCGTGTCTTTGTTCTCATTGGTTTCAAAGAACATCTTTATTTCTGCCTTCATTTCGTTATCTACCCAGTAGTCATTCAGGAGCAGGTTGTTCAGTTTCCATGTAGTTGAGCGGCTTTGAGTGAGATTCTTAATCCTGAGTTCTAGTTTGATTGCACTGTGGTCTGAGAGAGAGTTTGTTATAATTTCTGTTCTTTTACATTTGCTGAGGAGAGCTTTACTTCCCAGTATGTGGTCAATTTTGGAATAGGTGTGGTGTGGTGCTGAAAAAAATGTATATTCTGTTGATTTGGGGTGGAGAGTTCTGTAGATGTCTATTAGGTCCACTTGGTGCAGAGCTGAGTTCAATTCCTGGGTATCCTTGTTGACTTTCTGTCTCGTTGATCTGTCTAATGTTGACAGTGGGGTGTTAAAGTCTCCCATTATTATTGTGTGGGAGTCTAAGTCTCTTTGTAGGTCACTCAGGACTTGCTTTATGAATCTGGGTGCTCCTGTATTGGGTGCATATATATTTAGGATAGTTAGCTCTTCTTGTTGAATTGATCCCTTTACCATTATGTAATGGCCTTCTTTGTCTCTTTTGATCTTTGTTGGTTTAAAGTCTGTTTTATCAGAGACTAGGATTGCAACCCCTGCCTTTTTTTGTTTTCCATTTGCTTGGTAGATCTTCCTCCATCCCTTTATTTTGAGCCTATGTGTGTCTCTGCACGTGAGATGGGTTTCCTGAATACAGCACACTGATGGGTCTTGACTCTTTATCCAATTTGCCAGTCTGTGTCTTTTAATTGGAGAATTTAGTCCATTTACATTTAAAGTTAATATTGTTATATGTGAATTTGATCCTGTCATTATGATGTTAGCTGGTGATTTTGCTCGTTAGTTGATGCAGTTTCTTCCTAGTCTCGATGGTCTTTACATTTTGGCATGATTTTGCAGCAGCTGGTACCGGTTGTTCCTTTCCATGTTTAGCGCTTCCTTCAGGAGCTCTTTTAGGGCAGGCCTGGTGGTGACAAAATCTCTCAGCATTTGCTTGTCTGTAAAGTATTTTATTTCTCCTTCACTTATGAAGCTTAGTTTGGCTGGATATGAAATTCTGGGTTGAAAATTCTTTTCTTTAAGAATGTTGAATATTGGCCCCCACTCTCTTCTGGCTTGTAGGGTTTCTGCCGAGAGATCTGCTGTTAGTCTGATGGGCTTCCCTTTGAGGGTAACCCAACCTTTCTCTCTGGCTGCCCTTAACATTTTTTCCTTCATTTCAACTTTGGTGAATCTGACAATTATGTGTCTTGGAGTTGCTCTTCTCGAGGAGTATCTTTGTGGCGTTCTCTGTATTTCCTGAATCTGAACATTGGCCTGCCTTGCTAGATTGGGGAAGTTCTCCTGGATAATATCCTGCAGAGTGTTTTCCAACTTGGTTCCATTCTCCCCATCACTTTCAGGTACACCAGTCAGACGTAGATTTGGTCTTTTCACATAGTCCCATATTTCTTGGAGGCTTTGCTCATTTCTTTTTATTCTTTTTTCTCTAAACTTCCCTTCTCCCTTCATTTCATTCATTTCATCTTCCATTGCTGATACCCTTTCTTCCAGTTGATCGCATTGGCTCCTGAGGCTTCTGCATTCTTCACATAGTTCTCGAGCCTTGGTTTTCAGCTCCATCAGCTCCTTTAAGCACTTCTCTGTATTGGTTATTCTAGTTATACATTCTTTTAAATTTTTTTCAAAGTTTTCAACTTCTTTGCCTTTGGTTTGAATGTCCTCCCGTAGCTCAGAGTAATTTGATCGTCTGAAGCCTTCTTCTCTCTGCTCGTCAAAGTCATTCTCCATCCAGCTTTGTTCCGTTGCTGGTGAGGAACTGCGTTCCTTTGGAGGAGGAGAGGCACTCTGTGTTTTAGAGTTTCCAGTTTTTCTGTTCTGTTTTTTCCCCATCTTTGTGGTTTTATCTACTTTTGGTCTTTGATGATGGTGATGTACAGATGGGTTTTCGGTGTGGATGTCCTTTCTGTTTGTTAGTTTTCCTTCTAACAGACAGGACCCTCAGCTGCAGGTCTTTTGGAATACCCTGCCTTGTGAAGTGTCAGTGTGCCCCTACTGGGGGGTGCCTCCCAGTTAGGCTGCTCGGGGGTCAGGGGTCAGGGACCCACTTGAGGAGGCAGTCTGCTGGTTCTCAGATCTCCAGCTGCATGCTGGGAGAACCACTGCTCTCTTCAAAGCTGTCAGACAGGGACATTTAAGTCTGCAAAGGTTACTGCTGTCTTTTTGTTTGCCTGTGCCCTGCCCCCAGAGGTGCAGCCTACAGTGGCAGGCAGGCCTCCTTGAACTGTCATGGGCTCCACCCAGTTCGAGCTTCCTGGCTGCTTTGTTTACCTAAGCAAGCCTGGGCAATGGCGGGCGCCCCTCCCCCAGCCTCGCTGCCGCCTTGCAGTTTGATCTCAGACTGCTGTGCTAGAATCAGCGAGATTCCGTGGGTGTAGGACCCTCCGAGCCAGGTGTGGGATATAGTCTTGTGGTGCGCCATTTTTTAAGCTGGTCTGAAAAACGCAGTATTCGGGTGGGAGTGACCTGATTTTCCAGGTGCCTCCGTCACCCCTTTCTTTGACTTGGAAAGGGAACTCCCTGACCCCTTGCATTTCCCAGGTGAGGCAATGCCTCGCCCTGCTTCGGCTCGCGCACGGTGCACGCACCCACTGGCCTGCGCCCACTGTCTGTCACTCCCTAGTGAGATGAACGCGGTACCTCAGATGGAAATGCAGAAATCACCCGTCTTCTGCGTCGCTCACGCTGGGAGCTGTAGACCGGAGCTGTTCCTATTTGGCCATCTTGGCTCCTCCCACGCCTGTAGTATATATCTTGTACATATTTTGTTAAGTTTATACCTAAGTGTTTCATTTTTGTGGTGCTAATTTAAACAGCATTGCTTTTTTAATTTAAAATTCCACTTGTGCATTGCTTGTATATAGAAAAGCCATTGAATTATATACATGAACCTTGTGTCCTGCAACATTCCTATAGTTGCTCATTAGTTCTAGGAGTTTCTTTGTCCATCCTTTTAGATTTTCTACATAGATGATCATGTTATCTGAGAACAAAGACAGTTTAATTTCTTCCTTTCAGATATGTATACCTCTTTTTCTCATCTTATTGCATTAGCTAGCTAAGAATTAAAGTAAGATGTGAAAAAGCAGTGGTGAGTGGAGATATCCTTGCCATCTTAGGTGAAAAACGTTGAGTTTCTCACATTCAGTACCATGTTAGCTGTAGGTTTTTTTGCAGATAATTTTTATCAAGTTGAGGATGGTCACCTTTATTCTAAGTTAACTGAGAGTTTTTATCATAAATGTTGTTATTTTGTCAAATGCTTTTCTTCATTTATTTATATGAGCCTGTGGTTTTTCTTCCTTAGCCTTCTGATGTTAGGGCTTACATTAGTTGGTTTCTGAATGTTGACCGAGCCTTGCATACCTGGTATAAATACCACACAGTAGAGCTGTATAATTCTTTTCACATATTGTTGAATTTGAGTTGCTAATATTTTGTTTAAGATTTTTGATCTGTGTTCATAAGAGATATTGATCTGTGTTTTTCTTATAATGCCTTTGTCTGGTTTTGATATTAGAGTAATTTTGGCCTCATAAAATGAGTTTGGAAGTGTTTTCTCTATTTCTATCTTCTAAAGGACATTATAGAAATTGGTATAATTTCTTCAATAAATATTTGGTAGAATTCACCAGTGAACCCATCTAGGCCTGATGCATTCTGTTTTGGAAAAGTATTAGTTATAGATTCAATTTTTAAAAAGACATGGACCTTCAAATAGTTTATTTCTTCTTGTGTGAATTTTGGCAGATTTTGTGTCTTTCAAAGCATTTGTCTCATTGACCTAATTATTGAATTTGTGCAGATAGAGATGTTAATAGTGTTCCTTGATTATCCTTTTAATGTCTATGGGATCTATAATAATGTTTCCTATTTTATTTCTGATATTAATGTCTGTCCTATCTCTTTTATTCATAGTTAACCTGGCTAGAGGTATATCAATTTTATTGATCTTTTCAAAGAAGCAGTTTGTGGTTTTACTGATTTTTTCCTACTGAATTTATGTTTTTAAATTTATTTATTTCTACTCTAATTTTTATCTTTTCCTTTCTTGTGTTTACTTTGGATTTAATTTACTCTTATTTTCTATTTTCCTAAGGTAGTATCTTAGATGATTAATTATGGATCTTTCGTCTTTTCTATTATATGCATGAACACCATATTTTTTTCTCTTGACACTGATTTTACTGCATTCCACAAACCTTGATAAGAATTTTTTTCTTTTTTTTAATTAAAAAAAATTTAAATTTCTCTCCAGGTTTCTTTTTTGACCTAGAGTGGTAACATTTTTATTAACAGAAAATATTTTGTCCTATCTCTCTCCCAGTTCAGTGGCTGCTTGCACATCTTAAATGTATGTAACTGAGAGGTGTCATGGAAGTGATCCTTTAGAGACAGAAAAATATCATAAATAACTTTCTAAGAAAAATCAGGCAATCTTTCTAGCTCAGACTATGCTAAGCAAATACTTATTAAATTATCTCTCTAATGGAAAATTAAAAAGTGATAAGGACTCTTTAAAATAATAAATTTCTCCTTGTAATTTATTACAACATTTATAGTGTAGTTTATCATTCATTAATGTGGCAAATATTTATTGGTTAGTACTAGGTATACCCAGCAGTGAATGAAATAGTCAAAGCCATTTTGAAACTTACTTTATGGTAGAGTATAATAAATAGTAAGCAAAAAGTACATAATAAGTAAATTATAAATCATATTAGAAAATCTTACATGCTTTGAGGGAAAAAACAAACAGAGAAAGATAAGGGAGATCAGAATGTGGTAGGAAAGAGTTGTAACTGAAAATACAATAAAGTAGTTTGAGTAAGCCTTCTTGAAAAGCAAAGACTAGAAGATAGTGAGGGAATTAGCCACATGTCTAGCTAAGGAAAGCAGTAAAGACACGGCACCCAGTATAAAGGTTCTGTATTTTACAACTCTTAAATGCCATCTAAGAAATGTATAAGCTTTCGCTCATGCATAGCGAAAGTGCAGAGCTCTGGACATGGGATGTGAGGATGTCAGTTATCCCCCAAATTTCCAGATCTTTATTTCAGAACTGTACAAAATCATTTTGTTCCAAAAATAGTGCTATGTAAAATGGGCACTATTAATATTTATTAAAGGAATGTTAGTTGTTTTGGTCATAGTTTAAGTTATGAATACTTGATCCCAGAAAATTTAAAAAATTGATTAATATCTACAGCTTTAATATAATTAATTTACTTGTAAGAAAATTGTAGTCTCTGTATGTTCATACATAATTCAAATTGTCTTCTCTAATATTAGTTTGTCTCTAGATATTAATCTTATTATAATTTATGAATGTTATTATAAACTTAAAAATTACATGTATTTCAGTGACATATTGTATCACATAAATTTAGTTTCTTCTACCAATATAACAGAATAAAATTCTGCTGTATTTATTAACAACTCTGGTTGATCAGCTGGTGGAAAAATTAACAACTCTTTGTTAATTAGATTTGATTTCAAGGTAGAATCTATCTATGATTTGATGCTTGGTCACACTACTAACTGACTGAGGACACTTTGCTATGCTACACAAAAACCTACACATGACTCCGAAATATGTCATTACTCTCTCATGTTTCTGTACTTATACTGGATTTGGAAGAATGAATATATTCTACTGATGTGCATGTTGCTAAACATTACAAAAATTATGTAATACTACAGCAACTGGCAATTTCGTTTATTCATTTAATTTTTTTTTTTTGCCAGGCGTGGTGGCTCATGCCTGTAATCCCAGCACTTTGGGATGCTGAGGCAGGTGGATCACAAGGTCAAGAGATCCAGACCATCTTGGCCAACATGGTGCAACCTTGTCTCTACTAAAAATACAAAAATTAGCTAGGCATGGTGGCATGTGCCTGTAGTCCCAGCTACTCAGGAGGCTGAGGCAAGAGAATAGCTTGAACCAGGGAGATAGAGGTTGCAGTGAGTCAAGATCACACCACTGCACTTCAGCTTGGTGACAGAGTGAGACTCCCTCTCAAAAAAAATCAATCAATCAATCAATAGTGTTTTTGAGATTTTTTTCCCACAATGATACTTAAAGATACATCTTACCCATCTTAACTGCTACAACACATAATGTCCCAATACATAAAGAAAACGGAGCATTTGTTTTCCTTTGTTCTAAATACATTTATCATACTGAAATATAGGTTTTTCCCCTCATTTTAAATTTTCTTGACATTGCTATGAAAAACTATTTCAGTGTACATTTTTTTATACTTTAAGTTCTGGGATACATGTGCAGAACATGCAGGTTTGTTACATAGGTATACATGTGCCATGGTGGTTTGCTGCATCCATCAACCCGTCATCTACAGTAAGTATATCTCCTAATGCTATCCCTCCCCATGTCCCCCACCCTGGACAAGCTCTGGTGTGTAATGTTCCCCTCCCTGTGTGCATGTGTTCTCCTTGTTCAACTCCCACTTATGAGTGAGAACATGCAGTGTTTGGTTTTCTGTTCCTGTGTTACTTTGATGAGAATGATGGTTTCCAGCTTCATCCATGTCCCTGCAAAGGACATGAACTCATCCTTTTTTATGGCTGCATAGTATTCCATGGTGTATATGTGCCACATTTTCTTTATCCAGTCTATCATCGATGGGCATTTGGGTTGGTTCCAAGTCTTTGCTATTGTGAACAGTGCTGCAATAAATATACATGTGCATGTGTCTTTATAGCAGCATGATTTATAATCCTTTGGGTATGTACCCAGTAATGGGATTGCTGGGTCAAATGGTATTTCTGGTTCTAGATCCTTGAGGAACTGCCACACTGTCTTCCACAATAGTTGAGCTAATTTACACTCCCACCAACAGTGTAAAAGCATTCCTATTTCTCCAAATCGTCTCCAGTATCTGTTGTTTCCTGACTTTTTGAATGATCACCATTCTAACTGGTGTGAGATGGTATCTCATTGTGGTTTTGATTTGCATTTCTCTAATGACCAGTGATGATGAGCTTTTTGTCATGTATTTGTTGACTGTATAAATGTCTTCTTTTGAGAAGTGTCTGTTCATATCCTTTGCCCACTTTTTGGTGGACCCTTAGTTTTCTTCTTGTAAATTGTATAAGTTACTTGTAGATTCTGGATATTTGCCCTTTGTCAGATGGATAGATTGCAAAAATTTTCTCCCATTCTGTAGGTTACCTGTTAACTCTGATGATAGTTTCTTTTGCTGTGCAGAAGCTCTTTAGTTTATTTAGATCCCATTTGTCTATTTTGGCCTTTGTTGCCATTACTTTTGGTGTTTTAGTCATGAAGTCTTTGCCCATGCCTATGTCCTGAATGATATTGCCTAGGTTTTCTTCTAGGATTTTTATGGTTTTAGATCTTATGTTTAAGTCTTTAATCCATCTTGAGTTAATTTTTGTATAAGGTGTAAGGAAGGGGTCCAGTTTCAGTTTTCTGCATATGGCTAGCCAGTTTTCCCAACACCATTTATGGAATAGGGGATCCTTTCTCCATTGCTTGTTTTTGTCAGGTTTGTCGAAGATCAGCTGGTTGTCAATATGTGGTGTTATTTCTGAGGCCTCTGTTCTGTTCCATTCGTCTATATATATGTTTTGGTATCAGTGTCATGCTGTTTTGGTCACTGTAGCCTTGTAGTATAGTTTGAAGTCAGGTAGCGTGATGCCTCCAGCTTTGTTCTTTTTGCTTAAGATTGTCTCAGCTATATGGGCTCTTTTTTGCTTCCATATGAAATTTAAATTAGCTTTACTCTAATTCTGTGAAGAAAGTCAATGGTAGGTTGATGGGGACAGCATTGAATCTATAAATTACTTTGGGCAGTATGGCCATTTTCACGATATTGATTATTCCTATCCATGAGCATGGAATATTTTTCCATGTGTTTGTGTCCTCTCTTATTTCCTTGAGCAGTGGTTTGTAGTTCTCCTTGAAGAGGTCCTTCACATTCCTTGTAAGTTGTATTCTTAGGTATCTTATTCTCTTTGCAGTAATTGTGGATGGGAGTTCACTCATGATTTGGCTCTCTGTCTGTTATTGGTGTATATAATGCTTGTGATTTTTGCAGATTGATTTTTTTATCTTGAGACTTTGCTGAAGTTGCTTATCAGCTTAAGGAGATTTGGGGCTGAGACAATGAGGCCTTCTGAATATACAATCAATCATGTCAACTGCAAACAGAGACAATTTTACTTCCTCTTTTCCTGTTTGAATACCCTTTATTTCTTTCTCTTGCCTGACTGCCCTGGCCAGAACTTCCAATAATATTTAGTGTACATTCTTTTAAGTGTGAAGTTTTCTCTAAGATAAATATAGCTTTATATATGAAGGGTTTTCTAGAATGTATATCTAGGAGTACACTTTCTGGGCTTTGTGTACGCACATTTACAACATTATTAGGTATTTTGTCAATTGCCCCCTCAAGTCGTTGCCTCAATTTACACTCCAACCACTCATAAAATTACCTGTTCCCTCATATCCTCATGAACACTTGGTGACATTGCTTTAATAGGTGTGACTCAGCTTGATATACTGTTGTTTAATTTGTTCTCTCATTAGTACTAAAGTTAAATATTCTCACAGTTATTTGCCTTTTGGATTTATTTCTCTGTAAATCATTTTATATTATTTGCTAATTTTGTGTTGGTTGTCTTTTACTTCTTTGTGAGGTCTTCACTGTATTCTGAATATTAACCCTTTGCTTACTTTGAATATGTTACCCTAATATCTTATGCCTTGAATTGATTGTGATGATAAATTTGCTGTCATTCTTGTTTATGTTCCCTTCTTATATGTCTTTTTTGCTCTAGCTGGTTGTTTGTTTGTTTGTTTTGTTATTTGACAGCAAGCTCATCCTTAAGCTCTAGGTGATTTTAGTTCTCTTTTTATTACCGCTTCTCAGCTACTTGTTTAGTTTGTGGAATTTCACAAATAACAGTAAAACTATAGGCCTTTTGTAGCAACCCTGCATTAAATCAAGGCTATTTTCCTTATTTAGATAGTGTTTTTAGATGGCTTTTGTATTTATATTCACAAGTGGGATTGAGATTCATTATTCTTTTCTCCACTTTTTCTTACTTAATTTCTCTATTAAGTCTATTCTAGGCATATCAAATGAGGAGACACTGTATAGATTAGATTATTTTCATGGAATAAGAGACAAAACAGTTGTGCCTGAAGTAACTTTAGTACAGATTTTAAATACTTTACTGGCTGTAGGTCTACTGTAAGTGTTTATTACTCTAAAAAATCATATTTTTCCCTAAAATTATCTAGTCAAATTTTTCTAATTATATTTTCATAAACATTTTCATATTTTAATCCCTTTTGTAGTTACCTTTTATTTCTAATATTATGTTTTCCTTGATTTTATTTGAAAAAATTTATTCCTTAACAAAGATTTTTAAACAGCTGCAGAAAGTAATAAAATATCTTTGTTTTTTATTTCATGTAATATACTCATATCAATTATTCCCTTTCTTCTGCTTGTTTATGTTCTTTGTTCATTTAGGAAGTATTTATATGGGGATGTTTAGATTATTGAATTGCGATTTTTATTCCTTTTAATATATACTGAAAGCTATAAGCTTTAGCATTAAATATTGCTTTATTCATCACATACTATTTAATATGTAATGTTTCCTTTATTTTTTAACATTAAATATATTGCTAGATTCTGACTTAATTATTTCTTTAACATATCATTATTTTGCAGCCTACTTTCTTTTTCTAAATTTATGATATAAATGCATTTAGGTTTCATTTATGTTATTGATTTAATATTTTGTTACATTGTAAACTTTGCTTATTATGAATGGAATTAATGGTATTTCATTATATTTTTAGTATCCATTGAGATTCCTCGATTACAATATATTTATGATTCTTAAATGCTTGAACATGTATTTTTAATACATGGAAACAGGATACTGTATATGTGTACTATGTACAATTTGTTAAACATATTTGTCAAATATTCTACACTTTTTCTAATATTATATCTGTTTAAATGATCTATAACAAATATATAAACACATATACATATTAAAATTTTTTACAAATGTTTTCTTTTGATTCTCCAATTTTTTCCATATATTTTGAAGATATATTATTATCAAATATTCAATTTATTGCATATTCCTATTGAATTTGCTATTTTATTATTATGAAGTCACTTTCTGCTTTTATTATATAGTGCTAAATAGAAAACATATCATCTGTAAAACTTAGCAGCATAAAACAACAATAATTATTTGGCTTGCCAACATGCAGTTTTGAAAGATCTATATGGGAGAGACTTGTTTCTATCCCAGGCATCCTCAACTGAGGCTCAGTTGAAAACTGATGGATTTGCTTTTATGATGGCTCACTCACACGGGCAGCAGTCAGTAGGGTGGTCATCAGGCTGAGGGCTAAACGACTTGATTGCTCTTCATGTGAAACTTCCCTTTGGCTTTGATTTCCTCACAGCATGGTGACTGGATTCCAAGGGAAACTGTATCAAGAAAAACAGCACCAAAAAAAGTCATGTCACCTTTCCTGACCAGTGATGCAGCTTCCATTCTACCACATTCCATTCATCAAGGTAGGCACAAAGCTCTGCTGAGATTCAGTGGGCAGGAAAATAACCCTCACTGTCATTGCCTAGGGCCTTAGCAAAGTTCTAAAAGAACATTTAAGAAGACAGACATTCTTGCAGCCATTTTTGGAAAATACAATCCACTACACATTCTTCATAGTAATGTAAGCTTAGTTTTTGTTTTATTTTGCCCTTATATCTAGATTGATATTCATATTAATTTACCCATATAAGTATTCATCATGTTCTGGTTTGCCTAACATATCATTTTTAAGCCCCTTAACTGCCAACTATTTTGAAAAATCAAATCTGAGATATCTATCACATACAAGTGTAATCCAATTACAGTTTCCAATAATTTCCCGTATATAAGCAACATAGGAAATTTTAAGTGTAGTTCTAGCCCACTGCAATAAAGCAAATATCATAATAAAATGAGTCACACAAATTTTTTGGCTTCTCAGTACATAAAAAAGTTATGTTTACACTATAGTGTAGTCTATCTTGTGCAATAATATGTTTTCAAAACTATATGTGTTAGTATGTTTTCATGCTGCTGATAAAGACATACCTGAGACTGGGCAATTTATAAAGAAAAATTGACTCACAGTTCCACATAGCTGGGGAGGCCTCACAATCATGGTGGAAGGCAAAAAGCACATCTTACATTGCGGCAGACAAGAGAGAATTTGTGCAGAGAATCTCCCCCTTGTAAAACCATCAGATCTCATGAGACTTATTCACTATCATGAGAACAGCATGGGAAAGACTTGCCCCCATGATTCAATTACCTCCCACCAGGTCCCTCCCACAAAACACAGGAATTGTGGGAGCTACAGTTCAAGATGAGATTTGGGTGGGGACATAGCTAATTCATATCACCATGTATATATACCTTGATCAAAAAATACTTTATTGCTAAATATAAGTGCTCACAATTATCTAAGCCTTCACCAAGTCATCGTATTTTTGCTGATGAAGGGTCTTGTCTTGATATTGATGGCTGTTGACTTAAGAGGCTAGTGGTTGCTGAAGGTTAAGCAGGTTTTGCAATTGTTTCAAATAAGACAATGATGAAGTTTGACACATTAATTGATTATTCCTTTCACAAAAGATTTTTCTGTAGCATGCCAAGCTGCTTGACAGCATTTTCCCCATAGTAAAACTTCTTTCAAAATTGGAGTCCATCTTCTCAAACCTTGTTGCTGCTTTATCAAATTGATGGAATTTAGTTGATAAATCCTTTGTTGTTATTTCAACAATGTTTACAGCATGCAAATCTGGAATAGATTCCTTCTCAAGAAACCACGTTCTTTTCTCATCCAAAAGAGGCAAATCCTCATCCATTCAAGTTATATCATGAGATTTCAGCAATTCAATGACATCTTCAGGTTTTACTTCTAATTCTTGTTCTCTTGCTATTTCTACCAAATCTATAGTGAGAAGTTCTGAACCCCTCAAAGTTGCTTATGAGAGTTGGACTCAACTCCTTTCGAACTCCTGTTAATATTGATATTTTAACTTTTCCCCTTGAATCAAAAATGTTCTTAATGGCATATAGAAAGGTGAATCTTTTCTAGAAAATTTTCATTTGAATATGACTTTGCCCATATTCATCAGAGGAATTACTATCTATGGCAGCTATAGCCTTATGAAATGTATTTCTAAAATAATAAGCCTCGAAAGTCAAAATTGCTTCTTGATCCATGGGCTGCAGAATGGATGTTGCATTAGCAGGAATAAAAACATTTATCTTCTTGGATATCTTCATCCAAGCTCTTGCATGGTGAGGTACATTGTCAATGAACCACATTATTTTGAAAATAATCTGTTTTCTCAGCAGTAGGTCTCAACAGTGAGATTCAACTATTCAGTAAACCATACTTTAAAGAGATGTGCTGTCCTTCGGGCTTTGTTGTTTCGCTTATAGAACACAGACAGAGTAGATGTTCTACAATTCTTAAGGACCTTAGAATTTTCAGAATGGTTAATGAGCATTGGCTTCAACTTAAAATCACTAGTTCAAATAGCTCCTAAAAAGAGAGATAGCCTATCCTTTGAAGTTTTGAAGCAAGGATTCAAAAGATTTGAAGAGGATTGGTTTCTCTCTCTAGTTATGAAAATTCTAGATGGCATCTTCTTCCAAGGCTGTTTTGTCTACCTTGGTAATCTGCTATTTAGTGTAGCCATCTTCATCAATGATCTTAGAGAGGTCTCTGTATAACTTACTGAAGGTTCTCCATTACAACTTGCTGCTTCACCTTGCATTTTTGTGATATGCAGATGACTTCTTTCCTTAAACCTCATGAACCAAACTCTGCTAGCTTCAAACTTTCCTTCTGCAGTTCCCTCACCTCTCTTAGCCTTCACAGAACTGAAGAGTTACAGCCTTCCTCTGGATTAGGCTTTGTTTTAAGGGAATGTTGTGGCTGGTATGATCTATCCAGACCACTAAAACTTTCTCCATATCAGCAATAAGGCTGTTGAGCTTTCTTATCATTCATGTCTTCACTGGAGTAGCACTTTTAATTTCCTTCAAGACCTTTTCCTTTGCATACACAATGTGGTTGTTTGGGGAAAGAGGCCTAGCTTTCAGCCTGTCTCAGCTTTCAACATGCCTTCCTCACTAAGCTTAATCATTTCTAGCTTTTGATTTAAAGTGAGAAACTTGCGATTCTGCCTTTTACTTGAACACTTAAAGGCCATTGTGGGGTTATTAATTGGCCTAATTTCAGTAATGTTGTGTCTCAGGGAATGAGGGGATCCAAGGAGAGGGAGAGAGACCAGGGAACAGATCATAGAAGGAGCAGTCAGAACACACACATTTATGGATTAAGTTTGCTGTCTTATATGAGCGCTTGTTCACGGAGCCTCGAAACAAATACAATAGTAACATCAAAGACTACTGATTACAAAACACCACAACAGGTATGATACTAATAAAAAAGTTTGAAATATTGGAACAATTACAAAAATGTGACCCAGAGAGGCATTTTTGTAGTGAGCACATGCTGTTGAAAAATGGCACCAATAGACTTGTTCAACTCAAGTTTACCACAAACCTTTAATTTGTAAAATTGCAGTATCTGTGAAGTGTAATAAAGCAAGTATGCATGTGCATTTATTCTTAGCTAGTTTTTTGAAATTTATTATACTTTCAATTTTTTAAAATTTATTTCTTCCTTTTAATTTTGGTTGCTCATATGTTTTATTTCCTCCTCTTTCACTGTTTTGAATATTATACACTCCATTAATTTGTCTTTATGAATATAATTAAATTTTGAATTTGTACCTTTGACATTAAAATTTTTAAGTTAAGTACTATAAACAATTTATAGAACTTCAAGTAAAATTATCATCTTGTGACTTTTCAAAAATTACTTTTATATAACCTTGTTTTCACATATTAATGTGAGTCACTATTTTCACTTTTTCTTATCGTAGTTTTAGGTTTACTAATTTATTTGCTCAACTTTCCTGCTTGCATCTCATTTCTTCCTTTTGAATTCAATTTCTTTCTCCCTGAATCATAGTTTTCAGGGATGCTGTGTGAGCAGTAGCCTCACTAAGTCTTTATTGAATAGAATATGTTTGGTTTACTCTTAATCTTAATTAACAATTTAACTGAGTGCAGGGGTCTAGGTTGACAGCTAATTTATCTTTGCAGCTTTAACATTTTGAATTTGTTATTCTTTTATCTTCTGGACTGTATTATTATTTTTGCTGTTGGTTATTTGCAACCAGTTAATTTGTAACTAGTATGTCCTTTATTAGGGCTGTTTTTCATTTTTGTACTCTACATTTCAGTAAAATTTTATAAGATGGTTTTATTTTTTACTTTTTCTCTATATATTTCCTCTGTTTGTTGACTGCAAAAACACTTGCTTTTTATTAAATCCAGAAAATTATCAGCCTCTTTGTCAACATACATAGCCTTCATCCATTCTATTACCTTCCTCTGAGATGTTGTTTCGACCTTGCCAACCTATCTTCCACAACTCTTAATTTCTCACTTACTTTTCACCTCGGTATTTCTCTAAACTGCATCCTAGTAAATAATATCAGGTCATTTTATTAGCTGTATTTGATATGTTGCTTAATGACCCACTGAGTTTGTAACAATAATATTTTTTATAAATACATTTTAGACATTCCATTTTACTTTTGTCCAGATTTGAATTTTTACATTTTTTTCTTCACGGTTTTAATATACAAATTGCTTGAAAAATAATCATTTCTTCTGTATTTCTCTTGTTGTAATCATGCTTACTTTTACTCATGGCAGATAATTTTCTAATATGTGTCTAAATAAGTGGATGAAAATCTTTAATAAAACATGATATATAGGGGTCCTGTGTAGCAGAGATGACAACTGGGTAAAAAATTAAGATAAATGGATACTATAAGGGTAACATATAAACGAACTTACAGAAAAAAAGCTCTAGAGAGAACTAGTAAAAATAAATACTAACATAATAGCTGATAATTTTTGGAATTATTCTTCTGGTGATATAAGACAATGTATATAATGAAAAATCTCAATCTTAACATATTTGAAATGTAGGCTATGGGTAAGAATCCTCATAGAAAATAAGTATTCTCTATTCAAAATCTTCTGAAGATGAAAATTTTTTTTTGTGGGGGTGGTGGCTGGTGAATATACTTCTTTATTCGTGTAGAACTTAATCTTTTCGTGGCTTTAAGAAGGAATGTCATTTTCAGCCCCTCAAATACTTACCTCCCCCATGGCCTGAGATCCCTCTCCTGTTTCATATAGATGCTTTAACAACCCAATTCCCAGGTCAATGAGATGGAATCCAACCCCCCGAGGAAGCCAGAGCATCACGATTTTTACATTTTCTATATCTGTTTTTGATAATTTTTTATTTGCTCTCAAGAGCACAAATAGTCATTTAAAAGACAACTTATTTTTTCTATCCTTTGAATCTGCATGTAACAAACAGGTTTTCAAATATTTTCACCCAAAACAAAAAAACCAACCCTGTCTTAATCCATTTCGACTGCTGTAACAAAATTGATAATTTATAAACTATATAATTTATGCTCACAGTTCTAGAAGCTGGGAATTCCAAGATCAAGGCACTAGCAGATTCACAGTGTCTGGTGGGGGCCCGTTTCTTATAAATGACACCGTCTATGTGACCTTACATGGCAGAAGAGCAAGGCAGCTCTCTGGGTGCTCTGTTATAAGGGCATTTATCTTATTCATGGGGGTGGATCACTCATTACCCAGTCACTTCCCCAAGACCCCACCTCTTCATACCAATGTATTGGGGATTAGATCTCAACATATTAATTTTGGAGAGATACAAACATTCAGACTATAGCAAGCTTTCAATTTATTTCTTCCCTGCTTCCCTATTTCCAACTGCAAATCACCATCTTCAGAGAGTTCCTGAAAACATTGTTATAAGGAAATCTGATTAAACACATTCATAAGAAGTTATAGGATTACTTGCATTTTAACAGAAGATGCTTATAAGCATAAAAACAGTTCATTTATTTGATATCATCTCCAGTTAAAAACCAGCACCTGGAAAGTATTGGTGAAATACACCTAGCCTTGTAACAAATTCTATTTAATCATTTTACAAAAGCATAACTTTTATTATCAGCACCACACTCCTACAATAAGTACAGTAGTACTTCCTTATCTAAAATTTCCATTTCTGTAGTTTTAGTAACAGGCAGTCAATGGCAGTCCAGAAATATTATTCATACATGAAAAGTTGCAGAAGTAAATAACTTATAATTTTTTAATTGTGCACCGTTCTTAGTAATGTGATGAAATCTCATGCCAGCCTGCTTCCCCTGCACAGGATATGAGTCGTCCCTTTGTCCAAAGTATCCATGCCATATATGCCACCTGCATGTTAGTCACTTATTTGCCACCTGGGTTATCAGATTAAAAAAAATAGTATATATAGGCTTTGGCTTCAGTACTATACATGGTTTCAGGAATCCACTGAGGGTCTTGGAATGGGTCCCTAACAGGTAAGGGGGGACAAATGTTATCAAAAGTTCATGGGTGAGTCAGAAGAAACATATATTTTATTACCATAATCTTCATGAATAGCTATCAGTTAAAAATCTCAAATTAAAAACAAAAAATTGTTCACTCATACAGCATGTTCCCGCTTTAGTTCCCATACCATTTTAAATAACAAAACAAATCCTGTAACTATATATTATAATAAAATATACAAATAAAGCCATTTTAATTTTGGTGTGATTTTTGTTAGTCCTACAGTTTTTACATTAAAATTTATGTAACAGTTGTCAAGAAGTAGTCACATGTGTCTCTGTCTCTTCTTTAGTAAATACTTAGAATATTGTTTTATTTTCTAGTGTTTTATAGAATGAAGGGTTCATGACATCTTATTAACCTAGTAGAGAACTAAAAGTGTAACCAAAATTAATTTTTTATCTTTGACTTTAGACGATCATAAAATTAAAAAACTAGATAGCTTTTATACTGCATAAAGTCTTTTCTAAATAGCCTTTCTGAAAAGCAGTTTAAAGACTTTTACATGATTTAGTAAATAGAGTTTTTTGTCTGCAAATGTTTTCATATGCTCATGCAACCACTGTTATAAAACATTTGTTCTGTTGGTAATAAAATTTTGCCCTCACCCCAGGTTTATAGCATAATTTTATTTCAAAAGCAATATTCAGTAATACTTCATTTAACAAGGGTTCTGGGAATAAAATTCATTTAAGGCAAAGTGACTTCTTCACTTCCTATTAACTGAGGTTATTGAAAGAAAAAGCTTTTGGTATGGTTAAAAATTTATGTTTTCTTCCTTTGAATTAATAGGTTCAGAGCAGAAAGAGTGACTTACTTTTCAAAGAATAATATTTCTCAATAAGGAAAGCAAAAAAGTCAATCATAAAATAATAGTAATAGTGTGATAACAATTATAATTATAGCGTTGCTTGCCCTTCCACAGTCTTTGCTAAAGAAATCACCCAGAATGATATTTTTACAGGTCATATCATGACACATCTCTTGTGGCATCCCATCTTCTTCATTGCCAGTAGTCAAATTCAAGCCCTGCCTACCATTCACAAAGCCCTAACTTATCTGGCCCCTATCTACCACTTTGGTTTCATCTCCTACCATCCCCCTCCCCTTGGGTTTCTTATTGTTCCTCGAATGTGCCAAGCATTCTCCCTTCCTTGAAAATCTGTGCATGCTGTTCCCTCTCCCAGAATGTTTTTTTCCCAGATATCCTTAATGCAATCAAGTCTTCATTGAAATATCATCTAAGAGGATGAAATCAATCACTCCAACTTAAGTAGTATCCACTTGTCACTCTGTATCACCTTACACTGTTATATTTTTTCATAACGTTTATCACCATTGGTTTATTTACTAAGTGCTTACTATGTACGAGATGCTGTTCTAATCACTGAGAAAAGCAGACAAAAGTCCCTGCTCTCATGAAACTTACATTTTAATTTAATATCAGATAATATGTTTACTCTTTATTGCCCATCTCCTGCCATAACCCCCACTTGGAAACTAAGTTCCATGCCAGCAGTGACTTTATTTTGTCACTGTGGTATCCCCAGAACCTATATCAGTGCCTGGCAAACTGTAGTTCTTAAACAAACATTTATTGAATAAATGAATGAATACAAATAAAAATGAAAGTCATCCTATACAAAATTTTCAATATAAAAACAATTAAATGCATTATCTCTTTCAAGTGATGAATATGATGTTGATTACCTCATTTTGCAAATTAACATGAGGCTATTTAGAAAGCTTACATGACATGCAATGTCACATGCCTTGTACATTGCACAGATAGGACTTGATCCAGCAACTTCTGAGTAAAACTTTAGTTTTTTTCCACAGTAAAACATTACCCCCACAGCCTTACTATCAAGTCTTGATTACCTGATTTAATGGAAAGAGTAGACTAGTAAGGATTTTATGATGACATGAATGCAGCAGGTACACTTATTCCGTGCTAGCAGAGCCTTCACTGACCATGAAGGATGAAAATACCATATGTTCCCTTTCCTACTGCATTTCCAACTTGGAGTAGACAATATAACACGAGGGAAAATCTACTTGAAATTTTTGAAGTGAAACTATTTATCTTAATAAAAAGAGAAAGGTATATAAGAAAGGCTGTCTTTCTCACACCCTTTGTCCTTGTCACCCACCTCTCAATGTGTTTGTCACCTGCTTTCTTCTTCCCGTTTCTGAATGTGTTTAGAATGTGATGGTTGGAGCTGTTGTAGCTGTATTACAACCAGGAGGAAAGACTTTGCTGACGTACTAAGGATGGAAACTAAAAAAAGGTAAGAGGCATATGCGCTCCAAATTATCATCTTGATCTCTGCGCTATGTCTGGAATGACCCACCTCTTTAATTCTTGTTATATAGATAAAAATAAACCTGTGTTGTCTAAGTCAGTACTGGTCACTTCCTCTCTTGCTTTGTAGCTACAAATGATCTGATAGATTAAAAAGGAGAAAGAGAACAAGTGTTAAATTAGCCAATTTATGATATTACAGCCTCTTTCATTTCAAATTATTAAATAATTAATCTCTCTTTTTCCTGATCCCTCTCTGTTATCCTCCCCAAGATGACATACAGAGCTATGGAAAAGATTTGTGTGCTCTTAAGGTCTCAGAAAAGGATACAGTCCCATTAGTCACAGCCTTCTGGCTTCTTTTTGGTCTCTGCTTCCAAGTGGCTAGCTAGGATTAGTTTCTGCTGAGAGAACAACTGCTCCTTCTGACCTTGGTGACATTGACATCAATTCTTCCTATTAACTGTTCACCTCTTTGATATTTGCGAATGGTTTACTCTTCACTAGATCAGCTCCAGGAGTCCCTATATATTGGCTTAATCTCATTTCACCTATTGGTAGTGCTTCAGATCCCCTGAGATTTGGCTGTGACTTCTATTCATACTCTATCCTGAATGAGTCCTCTGTACTGTTGATCACAGAATCACATCTTGCAACACAGCACACAAAGGAACTATGATATTTTATGTGTCTCACTGGAGCCACTGACATTCAGGGTAGTCTCAGAGAAGTTAAATGAAAGCATTCAGCCTGGATAAACACACCACAGCACAGATTATATTCAACTGTACTTGTCTTAGTTTGTCATAGTCCTAGCTTGTCAAAGTTGCCAAACTCCAAAACAGATAGTTGGAGAATTAAAAGTGCCTTCTTTCTTTGACCTTTCCCTCTAACTGTGTTGTATACTCCTTTCTTCAGTAAGATCAGTCTTACACAGTAGAGGAGATTACTGCAAAACTTGTCACCCTCCCTTCACATCTGTTCATTTAAAAATTTATGCGGGACTAAGGCGCAGATTTTCTGCTTAATCTTTTTTCACCTAGACTTCCTTAACACATATCTTTCATACTTCTACTCCCTCTCTGGTGTTGTGATGAAAGAATGGAACTGAGGAGTAATTTATGGGGTGGGAGTAGTAAAAAGTTTAGCAATTTAACATTTTAAGGCATTATTTTCGTTACTCAACCAATTGAAATTGATAAAAGCTAAGCTAATATCAGAAAGATGATGTATTGAAAAGATAGTGGATAGCTCAAAAATCTAAATGGAATGTATATTAGTTTGTTCCCACACTGCTATAAAGAACTACCCAAGACTGGGTAATTAATAAAGAAAAGAGGTTTAGTTGACTCACAGTTCCACAGGCTGTACCGGAAGCAAGGCTGGGAGGCCTCAGGAAAATTAAAATCATGGCAGAAGGTGAAGGGTAAGTAAACATGTCTTACCATGGCAGAGCAAGAGAGAGACAGAGTGAAGGGGGGCGTGCCACACTTTTAAACCATCAGATCTCACGATAACTCACTATCACAAGAACTGCAAGGGAGAAATCCACCAGTATGATGCAATCACCTCCCACCAGGCCCCTCCTTCAATTCCATATGAGATTTGTACAGGGACACAAATTCAAACCATATTATTCTGCCCCTGGCCCCTCCCAAATTTCATGTTCTCTTACATTGCAAAACACAATTACCTCTTCTCAACACTCCCCCAATCCTAACTGTTTCCAGCATTAACTCAAAACTCTACAGTTCAATGTCTCATCTGAGACAAGATTAGTCCCTTCTGCCTATGAGCCTGTAAAATAAAAAACAAGTTAGTTACTTCTGAGATACAATGGGAGTACAGGCTTTGTGTAAATGCTCCCATTTGAAATGGGAGAAATGGGCCAAAACAAAGGGGCTACAAGCCTCATACAAGTCCAAACCCCAGCAGGGCAGTCATTAAATCTTAAAGCTAAAAAAACAAAAAACAACAACAACAACAAAAAAACCTCCTTTGACTCCATGTCTCACATCCAGAGAACACTCATGCAAGGGGTGGGCTCCAAAGGCCTTGGCAGCTGCACCACTGTGGCTCTGCAGGGTACAGCACCTGCAGCTTTACATGGGCTGGCATTGAGTGCCTGCTGCTTTTCTAGGCACATGGTTTAAGCTGTTGGTGGATCTGCCATTTTGGGATCTGGAGGATAATGGCTGTCTTCTCACAGCTCCACTAGGGAGTGCCTGAAATGCCCAGGAGACATTTTGCCCATTGTCTTTGCTATTAACATTCAGCTCCTCTTTATTTATGCAAATTTCTCCAGCCTTGAATGCCCCTCCAGAAAATGGGATTTTCTTTTGTACTGCATGGTCAGGCTGCAAATTTTCCAAACTTTTATGTTCTGATTCCCTTTTAAATATAAGTTCCAATTTCAGACCACCTCTTTGTGAATACATATGACTGAACACTTTCAGAATAAGCTAGGTCACATCCTGAGTGCTTATTTGCTTAGAAATTTCTTCTGCCAGATACCTTAAATCATTTCTCTCAAGTTCAAATTTCCACAGATCCCTAGGGCATGGGCAAAATGCCACCAGTCTTTTTGCTAAAGCATAGCAAGAGTGACCTTTACTCCAGTTCCCAATAAGTTCCTCATCTCCATCTGAGACGACCTCAACCTGGACTTCATTGTCCATATCACCATCAGCATTTTGGTCAAAACCATTCAACAAGTCTCTAGGAAATTCTAAACTTTCTCACATCTTCCTGCCTTCTTCTGAGCCCTCTAAACTATTCTAACCTCTGCCCATTACCCAGTTCCAAAGTTTCTTCCACGTTTTCAAGGATCTTTATTGCAGAGCCCAACTCAAAGTACCATTTCTGTATTAGTTTGTTCTCACCCTGCTATAAAGTACTACATGAGACTGGGTAATTTATAAAGAAAAGAGGTTTAATTGACTCACAGTTCTGCAGGCTGTACAGGAAGCATGGCTGGGAGGCCTCAGGAAACTTATGATTATGGCAGAAGGGGAAGAGAAAGCAAACACATCTACCATAGTGGAGCAGGAGAGAGAAAGAGTGAACATGGAAGTGCCACACACTTTTAAACCATCAGATCTCATGAGAATTCACTCACTATCATAATACCAACAAGGGAAAAATCCACCCCTATGATCCAATTACCTCCCACCAGGCCTCTCTTCCAATTTGACATGAGATTTGGGCAGGGACACAAATCCAACCCATATCAGAATGCTTTATAATTTGTCAAAAACCAAACTGAGAATTATTCGGTGGACTAGGTAGTGGAAAGCAAGGTAAGTCTCTTCAGGGTACCATCAAGTAATGTAGATGAATAAGTTTCAGCCTTCCTCAGTCTTTTCACTCTAGCTTTGCTCAAAGTTCAAATTCCCAGCAAATTAAGTCTGTTTGTTGCAGCTCGGGTCTCATGCCTATTCCTTAGCTGTAAGAGCATGGACTCTCTCACTGGATTTAATGGGATAAAGGGTAATTCCCACACAAAGATTCAGAGTGCTGTTTTCAGAAAGCTAAACAGATACCAGGCAGCAAAGCAACAGATGACTATTTTACTAGGAGAGATTCGGATGAGACAGACTTCTCAGTTTCTTCCTTCCTTCAGACATTTTTCATCCTTAATAATCCTTAACATAATGTTGCTGTCATTACCTCTCAGGCAGAAGTTACAGTTTCATCTCAATGAATACATAGAAATAAGGATTCTTTATCAGTAAAATATTTTATTTTCTTAATCATTTTAGTTGATGCTAAGGGATCCCAGAAACACTGGGGTCCGACAAAACAGCACAACTAACAAACATATAAAGGATGTAGATTCAGCTTTGGGAGCATCTCACCATCATCATTTTAAACTAAATGCATATTACTTATGTTCCTTGTGCGTAAAGAAACAGGAGCTTCCTGTCTAAGCTACAGAACTAATAAAGAATTACAACAATAGACTTGAATGAGCTTGGATCAGTTACTTGTAGTTTTTGGCTCAGCCTCCCAATATGTAAAATTAGGCAATAATAGTGTTTCTCTAGACAATCTTGTTTGAACCAGGAAAGAACAAGCAAGGTAATAGAAATAAAATGCTTTAGTGTACAAACTATGTTCCTTGCTATCAATACTAAAAGGTTGTATTTAATCAATGCTAGTTATATTAAAGCTTTACTCAAGAAATATACACTGAGTACGGCTTATGTAAAATACTTTATAAAATGTTGCTTTTCACAGTAAAACAATTTTTGGATCAATATTTTATTCATAACTCCAGTTTAACTTCAACATAGTCAGTTGAATCACTAAACTCAACTTCTTTCCAAAAGCGAGTAACATTTAATAAATTTGAGCAAAACATATTCTGAAAGGAAGAAAATTGAAAGCCAGAGACACAAAAATATAAGACATATTAAAGATATGTATCAGTATACTAACAAGAGGAAAATAATCTTACCCTTGTTTTGCAGCAAGCTTTAGTCACGTTTTATAATGTAGAACAGAGTAAGCTCTAACATTTTATCTCTAATTTTTGTAAAAATTTGTTTTATATTATATACTTTAAAACTTCTTTAAAGGTTAACTATATCACTTGTATCTCAAAATTCAATTTCCCATCTGAATTTCCTAAACAATCCAAACGGATATTTCTTCTTCCTCATACAAGTGTTTGGCAGAAGAAATTCCTACAATATTATGAACAGAGTTCTTAAACTACATTCCAAGGCAAAATAGATCTCTCTGGGGTATGTGATGTTCTAGGATCTCAGAAATTTACACTTTCAAGAAGTTCCACCTTATAGTATCCATTTTTCAGTCTGTTCCTAATGCCAATATACAACACACAGGCAATTTATAATGCAGTAAACAGACACTCAGGTTGGCTTTTTTTGCTGAGCAGTTTAAACAAGGCCACTAAAACAATGACACCCTGAAAATAACCTCTTTCATCTTGTGTATAAGCAATCGATATTAAGACACTAGAATTACTAAAACACCAAGATAAGTAGTTTGAAAATATCTTGCTTTAGAAACAACTGCCTGGGCTAAAATTTATGGAAAATAATCTAGAGTATGAAGAACATATTATAGAAAAAATGAAAAATATAAAATATATACATGTATACATTCCTATATGAGAAAAATGCAAATTAATGCATGAAACAATGATTGTGATTAGGTCATATGTGAAAAATTACTCGAACAAACAAGTAATTAAATAAATTCTTTGTCTGGCCAAAATTAAACAAACTGAGTTTCTTTTTCCATTAATTTACTATTTTAAAAATGATTTTTAATGAATCTATTGGTTACATTTATGTGTCATATAAAAACCATAAATCTAACAACAAATCTTATTTTTATTTTTTCTAAAATAAATATGAGACTGATACAACTTCATTTCAATTTGGAAGGATGAAACATATTGTTGGCTATTTAAATATTTTCTAAAAATGTAATGTATGTTGATTGGCCCTGCAAGACAGCAGGCTCATCCAGTAAAAAGGAATCATAGCTTTAAACACAATCATATTTCAAAATGACAATATTCAGGACAAGATTTTAAAATCTTCTAAATTAAAATAATGGCAGTATCCTACAATATATTTATATATCTCTGAGTGTGATGTGAAAGGGTAGATAGTAATGAATAGAATCACATTCCCAAGGAGTACAAAAGAAAACCATATTTTAAATTAGAACTTTATCTGGAATTTGCATAAGCTGGTACAATTTGCAAATGTACTTTATTCTGAAAGAATGGAGAACCTGATTTCCAGGGAGTAAAAACGTCATCAGTCTGTACCTTAGCAGCAACGTTTGTAAGTTTTTGGACCTAGATGCTTTTATTAAACTAAATGTTATAACCTAGTAGCAATTTTTAATTTATGATCAATAAAATATAATAATAAAAATAATGTCAGAAGCTCTCATCTATTGAATATCAATTCTTTGCCAAGAATTGTGTTAGTCACTAGTTACATGAATACAGTATTATAAGACTGTAACTTAGAAATTCTCATATTACTGATAGGACCTTGAAGCTTAGCGAAACTAACATAATTTTTCCACTGCAGTAACCTACATTGTCCTAAAGACTAATTAGCATAGATAAGTACAGTAAATAAATGACTCTTTTATTTCTTTGATAACAGAAATATCAACTAGTTCTTGTCCAATTTTAACTAGCTATCTATACCTCCAACCCAGTCAATGACCTTAGCTGTTTCCAAGACAGTTATTGTTAAGTAATTTAGAGAAAAAAGTACAACTGACATATTATTTATCATGTCTTTTATACAGCCAGAAAATTTATGAGCCATAGTATGAAAATGGAGGATAGTACAATGGCCAATTTTGTTTTCTTCTGTGGTTATTTTTTCAAACTCTGAATTTACCAGTTTCATTTAATTTATTTTAAATTTACATAATGCTTTAAGTTTTATATAGCATTTTAGTATGAGAACTAGAAAAATCTCCCACTGACAGATTTGAGAGAATTGGGAATTATCTATTTCACTCCTACATGACAACAATTATAAACACAGAGTGTACTTTGTACTTATAGAGTTCTTCAAAATGTTTAATACGTTTTTGCAACCATTCTATATTTCTTTAAATGATTCTTGGAGGATGAGAAAGCATATAGAACTTCATTTTATAAAAGAAAGTAAAGATAGTTATTACTGTAAGTTAACAATGTAATGAAAATTTATATCTTGGTGTTGATCTTGCTTTTTCCGTTTCTAAAATGACACATGTAATACATGGTTTTACTTGTCATTTAATTTGTCTTATCAAGAGCCAGTGAAAACATTGTTGAATTAAAAATAACATTTAATAATATGTTTAATTGGGTTGATTTATGTAATTCATAATTAATTTTACTTACTGTATGTAAACATCTTCAGACATATCATATAATCACATGTTATCAATGACTTTTCAATCACTAATTCTGGAAACTTCCAGAATTTTGAAATTCTCTTAGCTTTCAAATCATTTGAACACATTTTTCTACTAAAAAATCTAATCTCTTGTGCTCTGTGATGCTGTTTCCCTTGTCTTTTCTTGAACTGCCTCTTTTTGTCTCCATAGCCAGGTGTTTTTGTTTTTTCTGCTCTCCCACTCTATAATTTAAAAAATTGATTCAATGAACATTTTCCCCTTTATCCCAGCTTTATAAATTCTCACAGAATACTCTAGCACCTTCATGAAGATGACTCCAAACTTTTCTCTAACAATGGTGGTTTCTCTATTTTACTTTTTAAAAATACTTCATTGTTTTGTTTTCAATGATTACTTTCCTCTATGGTTTCTATCTTTAGTTTTATATCACAAAAAGCTATTTTAAATGGAAGGTTTAGTAAATGGTGACAGGTGCATTCTTCTACGACTTTTTTGTTTCTTTTAACATATGTTGTATCTCAAATATATTTTTATGACATAGAAAAATATGTGTCATAAAAATGACAATATTCAGGATGAGATTTTAAAACCTTCTAAATTAAAATGATAGCAGTATCTTCTATATATTTATAAACTGCCGAGTGTGATGTGAAAGGGCAGATAGTAATAAATAGAATCATGTTCCCAAGAGTACAATAGAAAACCATAGTTTCCACTAGAACTTTATTTGGAATTTGCATAAGCTGACACAATTTGGGACTGGGCATAGTGGCTCATGTCTGCACTTTGGGAGACTGAGGTGGGAGGATCACTTGAGCCCAAGAGTTTGAGATACAGTGAGACACCCATTTCTCGAAACAAACAAAAAAAATGTTTTGGTTAGTTAGCTCTTCAATGAAATATCTCTATTTCTAAGTAATAATCTTACTGAACGTTAACCTGGGATAATAACATTACAGTTCATTTGCTGGATTTATCCAGAAGATAATCATATTATTAGAGCTTTATACAAATAAGGAGGATTTTATTGTAACTTTTCAAATATCATTTTAATTTAAAAAATTTTTATTTTATTTTGCATTAGATAGGATGATATCAACATTAGTAAGTAAAAATGATGATATCAAGCACCTCAGGTTATTCTAGAACAACTTGACTGTCAGGTTTTACCATGAATTGTGATGGTAACTGCTAATTATTATTTGTTATGATATGGAAATAAGGCTAATTTTTCTAATTTAAGAATACTAAAAGCTTTATTTGGTGACTTCATTGTTTTGAATCATAAATATATGGCCTGCTAGAATTATAGTTTCCACAATTCCCTATACTTTGAAAAGCCTAGATTATTTTAGTGATTTTTTAAAATAATGATGAGAATTGCCTTTAAAGCTATCTGGACTGGCAAGTTAGGACAATTTTTTTAAAATGTATGTGATTTATTTTATTTTATTTTCAGCTTCTTATTTAATTTTTTTGTTAAATAGCATTTTCTTCAAGATGAGAGAGAGGAAACTTTGCATTTTAATAAAATGTAGTATCAACATAAACAAATCTTAGGATAACCATAATATTGGAATTATAACAAAAAGCCTTCAAATTTCCAATTAAAGATATGCTCGAGGACTCTAAGAAGATAGTGATAAATTAATGATGCATATTCTAATTCTGCCTAGATCAACTACTCAAAAATGAATGCAAATACATGTAGTTTAAAAGCCTGTAAAGGAATTAAAATAAAATAATCAGTTCAAACAAATTAAGAAAGAAAAAACACACAGGAAAATTAATAACAACAACAAAAAGGATGTGACAAATAGAAAGTAATTATTGTAGTAACACAATATACATGAATGCAAACATGACTGCGAACCTACTAAAATCTTCAACTCAAAGACCTTGATTCTTAGCAAGATCTAACTACACACTGTCTGTAAGAGATGGACATTAAAGATGTCTATTGCTTGAAAGTAAAAAGATTAAAAAAATACATACAAGGAGGAAGCATCAAAACCTGCCATGGCTTTATTAATATTAACTAATATAGACTTCCAGAAAAGGGATATTACCAAATTTAAAGTGAGACTTTCCACAACTGAAAAAAGGGTCAATTTACCAGGAAGACATAACAGTCTTAAATGTGTATGTGCCTATGTACTGAGCTTTGGAACATATGGAATAAAATTAAGCAAAATGGGAAATCCAAAGTGATGTTTGAATATTTTAATTTGTCTCTCTTGATAATTCATAGATGATTTGGGAAACAAATTAAGTAACGACATAGAAAATGTTAGCAACATTATTAACCAACTAGATCCAATTGTTATTTACAACAATTATTTACAACAGAACAGTTGTAAATGTAATTAAACATTTATAGAAAAGCAACTTCTAGTTTCTATTATTTTAATAAACAAAGTAGTCATGGATAGCTTTTAATCAAATTGCAGTATCAGCATGTAAATATTATTTTTAATGAATATTTTCATGTTCTATATTTTAGGAATTATTTTTTATGAAGGCAGTGTTACTCAATGATGTTCCAGTCTCTCACTAAGTTGAAGTACAGTCATGATACTTGTAGTAATTGTTTCAGATTTCTCATTGTAATTTATAAAGTACATGTATAGCTATTTGGTAGATATGGCTGGTTATTGTCAGTCTGTTCCCCCACATCAGATTCATTTTCAAACCTTGTTTTTTCCACTCTGTGTCTAAAGATAATGAGCATTATTACCTTATTACCTCCAAAACTTTCTGGGATGACAGCTTTGGGTTAATTATTAGAATATACAACTTTCTTATTTTCTCTGTGGTTTTTATTTGTTAATTTGCACTTTCATAGGAAAAAAATCCTTGCATAATGAGAAAGGCAATAAAGAAAATCAATCTTAGGATAACTCAGATGTTAAAATCAACAGAAAAAAGGCCAAGTAAGAATTCCCCTGAAGATGGCCTCTTGATGTATTGGCTACTGAGGTCCTGGGAGGAGATCAGTGGAAAGGAGGAGAAAAATGTTTAAGTATATTTTTTCCCATGCCTCCTTGTTCTGAGTCCCTCTATGACCACAGCCTCATTGGGACTGCCCCTCTTTCATGGATCCAGCTCCCAAGACTCCTATAATATCTTTTCCTCAGGACTAGGAGTTTCCTTGACTTCCTACTACTGTTGCTGGTTTCTGGATATCACAGCTCAACATTTGCCCCACTATAGTGTGTATTTTCTTCATGAAAGCTATAATAGTTCTAAAAAGTATTTCATATTATATTCTGTGTCCTCTTAAACCGTGGCATAGCTCCCCAATTCTTTTGAAACAAAATGCCAACCTTTATGAAGCCTTAAAGATCTTTTTTGATTTGTGCCCCCACTCCACCCCACTACTATTACCCTAGACTTCTCTCTCACTTTACTCTGACCACATAGTCCATCCCTTTCTCATACCCACCAGCCACAATCCCTCATAAGGATCTTTGCGATGGCTATATCCCCTCTTTGTTCCACATGGTGAATTCCCTCACCCCTTCAAGTATTTGCTCAAATACGTCTTTCTTAATGAGATCTGACCTGAACATACAAGTTGCAATTGAGATCTGTCCTCCTCCATGCCTAGCACTGAATTCTTCTTTCCTTGTTTGATTCTTTCCATAGCATTTATCATCACTCAACACACGACATATGGTTCTTATTTTCAATGCTTATCATTATCTATGTTCCCCCCAAAATGAGAACTCTACATGAAACAATATTTTATGCTTTTATCACTGATGAGTCCCAAGATCCTGCCTGGTGCTCTAATAATATTTGTTGAATGTTTTTGCCTTTCAATTACTCTCATTCACCATACTTCTACCACCACAAAGGCACTGAACTTCCACTAGTTAGCTCCCACTTTTTAAGCTCTTTTTCCTGAAACATTTTGATGAAGAGTATCTTGGCGGTACCTTGTCTAAACTCTTGGATGACATATGTATCTCACTAAAGATTAAAGCCTTTTCTGTTTCTAAAATTCTCAATCCTTATAATGACATTAAGATCTCCAGTCATTGCCTCACTACATTTATTTAGCAAATTTAAAAGTTATAGAAAAGTCTATTGTCAATCTACTTTTCAAAATAAAATTTGTATGTTTTGGTCTAGATTCTTAAAGGACACATACACACACACACACACACACACACACACACTTATACACACATTAATATTCTTATGAGCCACATAGTATAATAAGTTTTGTGTGACATTTGTTGAGAAACTTCAAGCTGATGTTGCACTTCTCTCTTAAGCTCAGGGAATTTTTTTTCTGCTTTTTTCTTTTATCACTAATTTCCATTTATCTTATTTTTCTTCTTCCACTGCATTTCTTAAAGCAACAAATATGAGACTACTGTAAAAAACAGTGATCTATAATAAGGTAGGTATTTTAATACAATGATTAAGAATGTGGCTCTGCAGTCAGACTAAAATACTTGAAACTAGCCCCACCATATTCTAGCAATGGTGACTTTAGGCAAGTTCCTCAAGCTCCCTGTATTACTTTTCTTATTTGTAAAGTGTTAATAACTTAAAAACAGCACCTACTTACAGGGTTATTATGAAGACTAATTTATTAAATATAAGATGGCAGAAATGGTGTCTGATATATTCAATAAATATTATTACTATTATTATATTTGGCAGAGAAAAAATGGAAAATATAGTGTTCAAGAACAAAAATTACAGATTTGATGTAAATATATCTAACAGAAAATTTAAAGCATGTTTTGGGAAGCAATTGTTTTGATTTTAATCAGATAAATAGAGGGTGTCCATAGATCCAGGAATATGAGACTGATAGTCAAAAGTAAGGAGTGGCAATAAACTATAAAAATTGCCATGGGCAAGTCCTATGAAATCTAAGAACACTCTGCTGAATGTATTCAACTCTTGCACAGTCATACTAAAAAATGTAAGTCTCAAGGCATGCTGGGCCATGCTATAGGCTGGTTCTTAGCTTGAGGCTTCACCCAGAGTTTGCAAGTATCTGCCTTAACCTAGCTTAACTCAATGAATCACAGAGATGAAAGAAATGAACCAATTGTCATCAACATAGTTCTCCGATTTCTTTGAATATCGTGTGTTATTTGTCTATATGGTTTTAATTGGGTGTTATATATGGTATTTCCTCTGATTTGAACTCTTTGCACATTACTATCATTTTTACCTATTATTCATATTTCAGATCTCATTTTAAATATCACTTCCTCTGATAAGACTTTCTGACCTTATTAAGAGTACTTTCAAATAATCATTATTCACTCTCTTAGCAATCTGTACTTCCTTGATCAGACAATTTATCATGCTTTGCTGTAATTACTTAATTTTCTGTCTCATTTGCTTGACTCTTGTCTCTTGCAAAAAAAGAACAGTGTCTACTATGCTTAGTGTTATGTCCCAAATAATTAAGATACTGTTTTACATAAAATTATAATAGATGCTCACTTAATATGTAATAATATTAAATATATACTAAGATCCACTGTCTTATATGTTTTGCTTTTATGAGTCATTGATTTCTTAACCATGTCCTCTATTTCAAAAAATTTGTCTTTTTAATATCCTATCTTATATTTACTCCTTCCATTGTGCTTTTTAAACAAAAAATAGTCAATCATGTTTTCCTTTTACAATAATTTGTATACATTTTTATGACTGCTTTTAACCTATTCAATCCCATTAAATATCCTTTCCAATTTTATTAAAGATATAAGTTGAAATTTTTAAGTTTTCATGTTTCTTACAGGAACATTGTTTCAAATGGCCGTGATTTTGTCTAATACAGAAATTGTTCCCTTTGTGTCTCATGCTAATTTTTTATAAGTTATGTGAATTTTATTCATATGGTATTCATAAGATCTTACATGGCCTTTCACCAGAAATCCACATTAACCTGAGTCCTGACTTGACTGTCACACTATATCCCAAGAGGACTCAAACAGAGGAAACACAGAAAGAAGTAAAGGAATCAAAATAGCATGTTAATTATAACTTGACTTTTGGTCCCAAACCATTATGCAATACACTAATGATGTGAACAATCTGACAGGGAACATATGGAATACTCTTTTGCCTCATTTGCTATAGAATAGTACTCAAAGACAAAGAAAAGAAATGACCTATTTCTCCTACATCATGCAAATATCAAAATTTAAAATTATGTTGAGATATGCTGCACATAAGAAAATATATCTGGAGAGGCAGAGTAGAAAATAGTATTTATCCCTGATGTCTAGAACCTCCTACCCAGACATTCCTAAATTGAAGCTTTTGGCAAAGCTGTTATGTGAGAACAAGATGGGAAAGGAGGAGGCAGCAAAGGTACACAGAGAGGAGGAGGATAAGAAGAAGAAAAAGAGCAAAGAATAAAGTTCTTGGAGATAGCTAAGATGGCTGACTAGATGCAGCCTGGAAGACCTTCTCCCATGAAGAGAGAACAGACAAACAAGTAAACAAGCAAACTCCAAATAGTTCTTCAGAAAGAAAACATTTACAGGGGACAGAGGAAGGCAACAGACACCAGGCTAAAAGGGGAGGAAGCTAAGAAACCTGCAAAGGGTTGCTGAGCATGAGGACTTTTTCTGGCTCCAAGTGTCTCCTAGGGAAAGGGTGAGTGAAATAGGCATGGGGTGGCCCACTTTCACCATGGACCTCTGGGATCTTAGCTGGAGGAGACCCTGTGACCCCCATGGACATTTGAGTTGGCAAGAAAAACTACTCAGAGACTTAGCAGAGACCAAAATCTAGCCTGCATGAAGCCCAGAAAGTTTTGTGTAGGAACAGCTGCACTGGAGCATGGCCATGGACATCCACCTCCCAAGGATTGGTATACTCCTCCAGGCAGCTTTCACATTAGTTAGCTAGTGGACATGGACAGAGCAAGGCTGTCTTGCCCATGGGACAGGAACAGTCTGATCTGAGCACCACTCTGTCTGCCAGCTTTTCTCAGGGTCCCTGCTTGGCCACACCCACTTGCAGTTTAGCCTCAGCTTGCCAGCAGACACTACCATAGCTCTTTCACTAGCAGACCCTGCCTACCTGTCAGCGCACATTTGCAGATGGACCCCACAAGTGGACACCCACCTACAGCCTTTCTCCACTGCCCCACTGGAGTACACATGTGTGCAGGCCCACCACTACCCCACCAGAGCCCTTTTAAGGGCAGCCACCATCAAAGTGTGGTTGCCAGAATACTGGGAATGCCTCAGACTCTCCAGTGCAGCAAGTGCTTAACCAGGAGGAGGAAGAGAACAAAGCCACAGGCCTGGTCTCACCTACATAGGGTTAAGGCACACAGCCCAGGAGTACTAAGTGGAGCCTTGGTCTCCTGAAACCATCCAGAAACAAAGCCAATTGACTAAACCCATTTTATACCACAGTCAAATCCTCAAGGGCATCAAAAAATATGAAAGCAAAAAGCCACAGCCAAAAGACAGCAACTTCAGAGATTAAAAGAACATCATCAGCACACAGAGATGAGAAAGACCCAGTGCAAGAACTTTGGCAACTCTAAAAGCCAGAATGTCTTCTTACCTCAAAACGATCATACTAGCTACCCAGCAAAGGTTCTTAACTAGACTGAAATGGCTGAAATGATAGATATAGAATTCAGAATCTAGACAGCAAGGAAGCTCATAGAGATACAGGAGAAGGTTCAAACTCAATCCAAGGAACACAGTAAAACAGCCCAAGAGTTGAAAGATGACATAGCCATTTTTAAAAAGAACCAAACTGAACTTCTGGAAATATAAAAATTTGCTACAGGAATTTCAGAATGCAACTGGAAGCATTAATAACAGAGTAGACCAAGCTGAAGAAAGTATCTCAGAGCTTGAATACTGCTCCTTTGAATCAATGCAGGCAGACAAAAATATAAGAGAATTTTTAAAAATAAACAAAACCTCTGAGAAATATGAGATTATGTAAAGAGGCCACACTTAGGACTTATTGGCATTCCTGAAACAGAGAGAGAGCAAGCAACTTGGAAAACATATTTGAGGATATTCCCCATGAAAAATTCCTGAACATGGCTAGAAAGGTCAATATGCAATTTCAAGAAATTCAGAATATCCCTGAAAGATACTATATTCCTAAGACACATAGTCATCAGATTCTCCAAAGTCAACATAAAAGAAAAAATCTTAATGGCAACTAGAGAGAAAGGTAAGGTCATGTACAAAGCGAACCCCATCAAGCTAACAGCAGGTCTTTCAGCAAAAGCCCTAAAACCCAGAACAGATCAGAGCCTGTATTTGGGATCCTTAAAGAAAAGAAATTCCAACCAAAAATTTCATATCTCACCAACCTAAGCTTCATAAGCAAAGAAGAAATAAATTTCTTTTTTAGACAAGCAAATGCTAAGGAAATTTGTTAACTCTAGACCTGCCTTACTAGAGGTCCTTAAGGGAGTGCTAAATATGGAAACGAAAGATCGTTACCAACCACCACAAAAACACATTTAAGTATATAGCCCACAGACACATCAAGCAAATATACAACCAAGTTTACACAACAACCAGCTCACAACATAACAGGATCAAATCCTCACATATCAATATTAACCTTGAATGTAAATGGGCGAAATGCCCTATTTAAAAGACCCAGAGTGGTAAGTTGGATAAAGAAGCAAAACTCAGCTGAATGCTATCTTCAAGAGACCCAACTCACATGTAAAAATATTCATAGGCTCTAAGTAAAGTAATGGAGATTTATTAAGAAAATGGAAAACAAAAGAGAGCAAGGGTTGTCATTCTTATTTCACACAAAACAGACTTTAAACCAACAATGATCAAAAAGGATAAAGAAGGGCATTACATAATGAATAAGGGTTAAATTCAACATGAAGACTTAATTATCCTAAATATATATGCACCCGACATTGGAGTACCCAGATTCATAAAACACATTGTTGGAGACCTACAAAGAGATTTAGATAACCACACAATGATATGAGAACGGGGCAGGAAGTGCTAAGTAGAGAAGGGCGGGGTCCCTGGCAAGGGCTCAACCCTCAGGCCTGTGCCCACGGACCTAAATGAAGACAAGCATTTCTTTTTTCATACCCAAAAAGTTGCCTTTGGTCCACCACACCCTGCATCCTGTGTTCATAAAACCCAGGACTGTAGCAGGCACACACACAAGTGGCCGGAAGTTGAGAGGAGCAGAAGAACACACCAGCAGACACCAGGAGACCTGCAATGGTGGAACAATGCAGACACCAAGGGGAATTTAGCCGTGGGCAGTCAGAGGAGAGTCCGACCGCCAGGTGGCCCGACTTTAGGGGAAGACCACCCTCCCACTCCATCCCCCTTCTGATTCCCAATCCATCTCACTGAGAGCTACCTCAACTACTCAATAAAACCTTGCACTCTTCCTCCAAGCCCACATATGATCCGATTTTTTGAGTACACTAGGGCAAGAAGCCGGGATACAGAAAGCTCTCTGTCTTTGCATTAAGGCAGAGGGTCTAATTGAGCTGATTAATGCAAGCAGCCTGCAGACTGCAAAGCTGAAAGAGCATACTAACACATGCCCACTTAGGCTTCAGGAGCTGTAAACACTCACCCCAGATGCTATCGTGTGGTCAGAGCCCAAAAATGCTCCCCACGACCACTGCACTGCCTAGAAGTTTAAGTAGTGAGGCACAGAAGAAGCGAGCCCACACTCCTGTCACACACCCTGCGAGGGTGATAAGGAAAATTCTCCTGTTTCAATAATAGTGGGGTCTTCAACACCCAACTGCCAGCATAAGATCACTGATGCAGAAAACTAACAAAAATATTCAGGACCTAAACTTGATACTTGACCAAATGAACCTGACATATACAGAATACTCCCCCCAACAACAACAGAATATACGTTCTTCACATCTGCACACTGCATATACTCTAATAAATGACACATTTGACCATAAGGCAATTCTTAATGAACTGAAAAAAAAATCCAAATCATATCAACCACATTTTCAGACCACAACACAATAAAAACAAATCAATACCAGGAATATCTCTCAAAACCATACAATTACATGAAAATTAAACAACTTTCTCCTCAGTGACTTTTGGATAAAGAAGGAAATTAAGGCAAACAAAATCATTGAAATTAATGAAAAATAAAGGTAGAATATAAGAGAACCTCTGACACACAGCTTAAGCACTGAAAAGAGGAAGTTTATTGGGCTAAAACCCTACATGAGGAAGTTAGAAAGATCTCAAACAACCTAACATCACATGTAAAGGAACTAGAAAAACAAGAGCAAGTCAACCCCAAAGCTACTAGAAGTGAAATAACCAAAATCAGAGCTGAACTGAACAAAATTGAGATGGAAAAATTCATACAAATGATCCACAAAACTCAAAGTTTGTTTTTTGAAAGAATAAATAAGATTGGTAGGCTACTACCTAATTAATAAAGAAAAAGAGAGAGAAGATTCAAATAAACACAATCAGAAATGACAAAGGGGACATTGCCACTGACCTCACAGGAATACAAAAAAGCCTCAGAGTCTATTACATACACCTCTATGCATACAAACTGGAAAATATAGAAAAAAATGGATAAATTTCTGGAAACATAAAACCCCTGATGATTGAACCAGGAAGAAATTGAATTCATGAACAGACCAATAATAAGTTCCAAAACTAAATCAGTAATTAAAAGCCTACCAACCAGAAAAAGCCCTGGTCCAGATGGATTCACAGCTGAATTCAACCACACAATAAAGAACTGCTACCAATCATGCTAAAATTATTCCAAAGACTTGAGGAGGAGGGACTCCTAACTCATTCCATAAGGCCAGCATTATTCTGACGTCAAAACCTGGCAGAGACACAAGAAAAGAAAAAAAGAAAAAGAAAAGTTTAGGCCAAGATCACTAATGATATATGCAAAAATCCTCAACAAAATACTAGCAAATCTAATCTAGTAACACATTAAAAAGCTAATCCACCATGATCAAGTAGTCTTTATTACTGACATGCAAAGTTAATTCAACATATGGAAATTAATAAATGTGATTCATCACATAAACAAAACTAAAAACAAATGCCATGTGATCATCTCAATAGACACAGAAAAGGGTTTTGATAAAATTCAGCATTCCTTCATATTAAAAACCCTGCACAAACTAGGTGTCAAAGGAACATACCTCAAAATAATAAGAGCCATCTATGACAAAACCACAGCTCATGGGTAGGAAGAATCAATATCGTGAAAATGGCCATACTGCCCATGATAACTTATAGATTCAATGCCATCCCCATCAAGCTACCAATGACTTTCTTCACAGAATTGGAAAAAAACTACTTTAAAGTTCATATAGAACCAAAAAAGAGCCCTCATTGCCAACTCAATCCTAAGCCAAAAGAACAAAGCTGGAGGCATCACACTACCTGACTTCAAACTACACTACAAGGCTACAGTAACCAAAACAGCATGGTACCGGTACCAAAACAGAGATATAGACCAATGGAACGGAACAGAGCCCTCAGAAATAATGCCACATATCTACAACCATCTGATCTTTGACAAACCTGACAAAAACAAGAAATGGGGAAAGGATTCCCTGTTTAATAAATGGTGCTGGGAAAACTGGCCAGCCACATGTAGAAAGCTGAAACTGGATCCCTTCCTTACACCTTATATAAAAATTAACTTAAGATGGATTAAAGACTTAAATGTTAGACCTAAAACCATAAAAACCCTAGAAGAAATCCTAGGCAATACCATTCAGGACATAGGCATGGGCAAGGACTTCATGTCTAAAACACCGAAAGCAATGGCAACAAAAGCCAAAATTGACAAATGGGATCTAATTAAACTAAAGAGCTTCTGCACAGCAAAAGAAACTACAATCAGAGTGAACAGGCAACCTACAGAATGGGAGAAAATTTTTGCAATCTACTCATTTGACAAAGGGCTAATATCCAGAATTTACAAAGAACACAAACAAATTTACAAGAAAAAAACAAACAACCCCATCAAAAAGTGGGTGAAGGACATGAACACACACTTCTCAAAAGAAGACACATGAAAAAATTTATGCAGCCAAAAGACACGTGAAAAAATGCTCATCATCACTGGCCATCAGAGAAACGCAAATCAAAACCACAATGAGATACCATCTCACACCAGTTAGAATGGCGATCATTAAAAAGTCAGGAAACAACAGGTGCTGGAGAGGATGTGGAGAAATAGGAACACTTTTACACTGTTGGTGGGACTGTAAACTAGTTCAACCATTGTGGAAGTCAGTGTGGCAATTCCTCAGGGATCTAGAACTAGAAATACCATTTGACCCAGCAATCCCATTACTGGGTATATACCCAAAGGATTATAAATCATGCTGCTATAAAGACACATGCACACGTATGTTTATTTCGGCACTATTTACAATAGCAAAGACTTGGACCCAAGCCAAATGTCCAAGAGTGATAGACTGGATTAAGAAAATGTGGCACATATACACCATGGAATACTATGCAGCCATAAAAAATGATGAGTTCATGTCCTTTTTAGGGACATGGATGAAGCTGGAAACCATTATTCTCAGCAAACTATCGCAAGGACAAAAAACCAAACACTGCATGTTCTCACTCATAGGTGGGAATTGAACAATGAGAACACATGGACACAGGAAGGGGAACATCACACACTGGGGCCTGTTGTGGGGTGGGGGAAGGGGGAGAGATAGCATTAGGAGATATACCTAATATTAAATGACGAGTTAATGGTGCAGTACACCAACATGGCACATGTATACATATGTAACTAACCTTCACGTTGTGCACATGTACCCTAAACACAGCCAAATGAATGGGCAATAACTGGAAGCATTCCCCTTGACAACCAGAACAAGACAAGAATGCCCACTCTCACTAATCCTATGCAGAAGTCCTGGAAGTCCTAGCCAGAGCAATCAGGCAAGAAGTCCTAACCAGAGCAATCAGGCAAGAGAAAGAAATAAAAGGCATTCTAATAGGAAGAGAGGAAGTCAAACTCACTCTCTTCACAGACAATATGATTCTATACCTAGAAAACCCCATTGTCTGTAACCAAAGGCTCCTAGAATTGATAAACAACTTTAGTAAAGTTTCAGAATTCAAAATCAATGCCCCCTAAATCAGTAGCATTTATATACACCAATAACATCCAAGCTGAGAGCAAAATTAGGCACTCAATTCCATTCACAGTCGCCACAAAAAGAATAAATATCTAGGAATACACCCAACCAGGAAGATGAAAATTTTCTACAATGAGAATTACAAAACACTGCTGAAAGAAATCAGAGATGACACAAACAAATGGAAAAGTATTCCATGCTCATGGATAGGAAGAAACAATATTGTTAAAATAGACATATTGCCCAAAGCAATTTATAGATTCAATTCTATTTCTATCAAACTGACAAAGACATTCTTTACAGAACTTGGAAAAACTTTTTAACCCTTTTCTCATTTAGAAAAAAAAAGTGCAGCTCGTTGCCATTGCTCATTTAATTTTACATAAACAAGCTCTTTGAGGCTGAAGCAAATCTAATTTTCAAGGTAAAAATAAAATATGAAAACTGTTCTTAGAGTTATTTCTAAACAGAACTAACAGCAGAATCTGAATCATCAGAATCGTCTACTTTGGAAAAATTGGATGCATCAAGTGACTCTTCGGCCAACAACTGTTTGAGAATGATGTTAACATCAAGCATAGGAATGCTACATTTTCTAGGGTTTGACATTTTCAGTGATCAAGAATTACTATATTTTGTAAATGAAAATACCACTACTAAAAACTGAATGCTGTAAGTAGAATGATGTCTTTTGTTTCCAAAGTCTATATACTAGTGTAATGCAAAAATAATTTTAAAAATGAGATATTTTGTGGCAAAGTTATCTGAGGGTAAATGTTTCAGCTGCCAGCACTGGCAGCAAGTATTCTTGGGGCAAATGGGAAAAGAGTTAAAATTCACATGGAACTAAAAAAAAGAGCCTAAATAGTCAATGCAATCCTAAGTAAAAAGAACAAACCTGGAGGCATCATTCTACCTGACTTCAAACTATGCTACAGGGCTCCAGTGGCCAAAACAGCATAGTACTGGTACAAAAACAGAAACATAGACCAGTGAAATGGAATGGAGATCCTAGAAATAAAGCAGCACACCTACAACTGTCTGATTTTAAACAAGACTGACAAAAACATGCAATGGGGAAATGACTCCCTATTCAATAAATGGTGCTGGAATAATGGGCTGACCCTGTGCAGAAGATTAAAACTAGACCCCTTCATGTTATTGTATACAAAAATAAACTCAGGAAGGACTAAAAACTTAAATTTAAGACCTCTAACTATAAAAATCCTAGAAGAAAACCTAGGGAAAACCATTCTAGACATAGGCCTTGGCAAAGATTTCATGATGAAGTCTCTAAAAGCAATTGCAACAAAAATAAAAATAGACAAGTAGACCTACTTAAACTAAAGATCTTCTGCACAGCAAAAGAAACCATTAACAGAGTAAACAGACAATGCACAGAATGGGAAAAAGTATTTGCAAACTATGCATCCAACAAAGGTCTAATATCCAGAATCTATAAGGAACTTATGCAAATCAATAAGCAAAAAATAAACAATAAAAAGTGGGTAAAGGACACGAACAGACACTTTTCAAAAAAAGATATACATTCAGCCAACAAGCATATGAAAAAAATGCTCAACATAACTAATTATTACAGAATAGCAATTCAAAACCATAATGAGAAACTATCTCACACCATTCAGAATGGTTATTATGAAAAAGTCAGAAAATGGCAGATGTTGGCAAGATTGCAGATAAAAGGGAACTCTTATACCCTGCTGGTGGGAATTTAAATTAGTTTGGCCACTGTGGAAAGCAGGTTGGAGATTTCTCAGAGAACTTAAAACAGGACTACCCTTCAACCTAGTAATCCCATTACTGGGTATATACTCAAAGGAGTATAAATTGATTTATCAAAAAGATACAGGCACTTGTATGTTCACCACAGCAATATATACAACAGCAAAGACATAGAATCAACCCAGATGCCAATCAGTGTTGGACTGAATAAAGAAAATGTATGTATACACCATGGAATACTATGCAGCCATATAAAAGCAGAGCCTTGAAGGACCACAAGAAAACTGTTCAGGGGGTGAAAATGACAGTGGGGAAATCGCTATAGGATAATAAGAAAAAGATGACTAATGTTATATACTGGTGGGAAGGTTAGTAAAATTGTTATTTGTAGTAACATTGAAAAAATAATATGTACTTAATAAATTGAAAGTTCTAATGAAATACATTTTCAGGTACTTGATTTGTTTTAGCTTCATATGATAATTTATAAAGAGAGTTAAAGAAGGGACTATTCTGATTTTGAGCAGAATTTAGAGAAAATATGAAATAGAAGTTTCTCATCCCCAGTGATTCCAAACAGCAAAAAGTTCTCAAAATAACAGATGAACTCAGATTCATCAAATGTTGGGGGATGGCAGTACTATGTGGCTCCAGGTTAAAATTACCATCAAGGATATGGATTTTAGATTATTTGTAGAGACTTCAAATATTTAAGGTGGTGCCTAACACTGAACTAGAAAAAATGTTTCTAAGAACCTTAAGGATATTGTCCCACACAGGATTATAGCCAGGTCAAGTAGACAGGAGGTTGGTTTGAGAAAAATGTAGATGTGTATTCTGCCTAATGGAATTACTTCTACTTTGGTATATAAGAAACCCACAGAGTTTTAAAAGGAATTATATCAACTTAGGCTGAATAGGACAGAGATGTTCATTATAAAAAGAGGTCTCTAGGCCCTCATGTTTTCACTGCCAACATGGGCTATTTCATATGGAAAAAGAGTAACTCAACGGACAAAGTCAAGATAGCTTGGGCACTGCTGCTAGGAAGCAAGAGGTTCCAATCAAGTAAGTGGTGACATGTGCATGCTGGATTCCAGAATTGCTGTGGATTAGTGACTATCAGCCTCCTCTTCCATGCTCCTTTTTGAACAGGAGGGTATACTGTAGATATCTTATGTGTTTAAAAAACATTATGTGTTGAGTCTATAAGGGTTAAATAGCATATCTTGTTTTACATAGTTCTTTAGATCAAGAGGAACTACTTGAAGAGCAGCACTCAACAAATCTGCACATCGACCTGGTTTAAATGCTAAGATCCTGCCCTTGTAGATTCGATGCCATAATGATGAGACTTTCACAAGGTCAAGGGAGAAGGTGAGTATATTTTATTTAAGAGAGGGATGTAAATTGCCCTGGTAAGGGAGTATGCTATACCTTATTGCATTTTCCAAAAATAACCACAATAATATTTCCCATCCCACATGCTTTTCTACAATGTGGTCTTCCCACCCTACCAAAAAGGCAGAGTCTATTTCTCCACACCTTTGAATGTGGCCAAGACTCATAACTGCCTTGGCTAATAGAATATGGCCAAAGAGATACTGTGTCAGTTCTAACAAATCTCAATTTATCTGCTGTCTCCTACTTCTTTTTGTTAAAATATTCTTCAGACATTCTCCTTTGGAACTCAGCTGCCTGCTGAGAAGTCCTAGCTACACAAAGAGGCCATGTGTTGGCCACATGGAGCATCTGACTTCCAGCCAATAGCCAGCATCAAATGTAAACCATCTGAGTGAGCCATCTTGGACATTTAGCCTGGTCAAGCGGTAGACTCAGCCCCAGCTAATTTCTGACTGCCACCATATGAGATACTCCAAAAGAGAACCACCTAGCTGAGTGCAGTCAACCAACAAAACTGTGAAAGATGATAACTATTAATGTGTTTTAAGTTAGTAAATTATGAGGTAGTTTGTCACACAAAATAAATAGAAGACTGAATTACAATAAGAAGAGAGAGATTGAGAATGGTATTGAATTTTTAAGCCCTTTGATAGCTCTTCCAATTGGGAATAAAATTCAGTGTCCCATCAGTTATAATATTGATATTCAATAATTCTTTACTATGTGTCAGTCTATGTTCCAATTGCTTGCATGAATTATCCTATTTATTCTACAGAGCAACCCATAAAGTATTATCATTATGTTGTTTTTGTTATTCCTCTCTCACAGACAAGTAAACTGAGGCCTAGTAAATTTAAATATCATACCCAAAGTTGAACACCTCTTAACTAGCATCAGATCAAGGATACATATTCAGGTTTGTCTGATACCAAAGCGTATGCTTTTTACTACTATATAACGTGATCTATGACTAGAAAGATCATCATGATTCTCCTCTAAGCAGTAATCTTTTTTATACTTGGGAAAATAAGGCAAAACAGATTATTAAGTAACCCCTAGAAACAAACACTAAGTCTGGTGAGTTTTCTTCCTTTCATGTTCCTAAAGTCAAAGATTTGTGTTTGCCATATTGGAAGTGATGCCAAACTTCCGGTTAAGAAACCCAGCTTTTTGAAACAAAAAAGAAGCTAGGTGGGTGACAGGTAGTCCCAGCAGGTATCCTTTCTTTAGGGTCTCCTCTGTTTCTAGTGAGTCCCATTTACGAGGGCCAGCTTCTGTGACACAAATATAATGAGACTATGTTCAAACCTCTTTCCTGAAGCTACTAAAATATGCATCAGCCCTGCTGTATCAAGAAAGAATCACATGGTGGAGGTTAAACTTTCTGTCTTTATTCTCACATGTACCTTTGGCCCACACACTAAATATCTGCAGTGTGATTATCTATAGCTTCTCAGGAATTCAACTGTCATAGAAGTAAAGGGCAATCAAGCTCAGTAGAGTGCAAATAGGTCAATATTGGGCTTCCCAATCTATGCTATCATATCACATTATCTCCATATCTGTGGCCTCCAAATAGGTGTAACAGCATCTTATTTTGTTTTCACAGTGTTAGTAAGGTGAGTTGTGAGTTATATTTATGTAGTTAATTTAGCAAAAGTCTTTGATATCTGTGGCTTATGGGTAGGATTCAATTATCTTCCAGTCTTATACAAATTTCTCCTAATTTTATACTACTTTGCCTATTAAAACATTGTTACATATAACACTTTGAACAAGCTTATGAGTTGGTATTAATATCCAGCTTTTAACTGAATACACTGAAATTCACTCTGGTTGAGTAAGATGTTCCAGGTTAAATGGTTGAGAAGTGGCAAAGTGAGAGTGTGTACCCTGCATGTTTGGCTCCTTGGCACATGTTCTAGTCCGATATAACAGGGGTCCCAAACCCCTGGGTCAAGGACCGGTACCGATCCATGGCCTATTAGGAACCATACCACACAGCAGGAGGTGAGTGGAAGGTGAGCTAGCATTACCTCCTGAACTCCACCTCCTGTCAGATAAGCAGTGTCATTAGATTCTCATAGGAATGCAAACCCTATTGTGAACTGTGCATGTGAGGGATCTAGGTTGCATGCTCCTTGTGAGATTCTAATGCCTGATTATCTGAGGTGGAACAATTTCATCCCAAAACCATTCCCCTGACTCCCAGTCTGTGGAAAAATGTTTTCCACAAAACTAGTCCCTGATGCCAAAAATGTTGGGGACTACTGCTATCTAAGATACTACCTACCTATCACACTTGTGTTTGGAAAAAGAAGAGTGTTCGTTATAGAAAAACAGCTGTTATTGTAGACAAAGGTATTGAGTTTAAAAATCTGCTGGTGACCCACAGATTTTTGGACCTGAGTGTGTTTGAGACTCAATTTAACATCTGTAATACCAGCAAATTATCATGATGAATGCAAGACTTTGATAGACAACAATATCTGAAGGTCAGGATATCCAAAAAAAACAATAATTTCCTATGTAAATCTGTTTTTCCTCCCATTTTTGTACAAGGATAATCCCTGGTATCCAAGTTGGAAGTCAATCTTTGACTCTTTTTTTCTTCTCAGTTTCATTTTTATTTTTAACCAGGTACCAAATATTATTAATTCTCTAACCTGTCTGTTACAGTATTCCAGTTTTAAAATTTACATTTCCAATAAGTATTTTTCTGGTGCATAGACAACTGTAATTTCCTCTTTATTGCTCTCATGCCAGAATTGCTTTCAAAATAATGTTTTAAAATCTGAAGCCATGCCTCAATAAACTGGCCATATCCAAGTTTCATTTCCAAATTCTAGTGACCATGCCTCCTCCATTGAAACAAAAGTGAGCTATTCTTTATTATGGAGAACAGTTTTTTTGGTTTTTTTTTTTTACATTTTCATTCTCTATGCTATTGCTCACAGACTCTAAATGCTTTCCTTTATCCCCAATTACATGAAACTTTGAAGTCAGGACTCAAATGCCACTTCTTCATATAAGGTATTAACAATAAGTTCAGAAAGCAATAACCCCTCTTCCATATCTCTGTACCTCATGAAAGTGCTACTAAACTCTGTCTTAAATTAAAATGATTTGAATGTAAGCTTTGAATGAGTATGAACCCATATATAACATGGAATTATTATTTCTCAAAGTCCTTACATATTGTGTGGAGTCAAATTTGTGGATATGTCTTTATCATTTTTAATCTCTCATATATTTTTATTTTGAAACTATTTTTGAAAGTCCTCTACAGTCTTCTTATTCTGCAAAGATTCACTTTCAAGACTGCAAATATGAATATTGGGATTCATCGAGGAATTTCCAGTGAAGCTCGGGAAACAAATTAAGATGTGGCTTTGAGAAATAACACCAGTCAAACATAATTCTAGGGCTGGGCAAACAAGACTCTTCTTGTTTCTTCAGGGAGACTCTCATTGTCAAGCTTGAAAATAATGAAGGGTTGGTCTTGGTGAAAAGAAGCTTATGCATCTGAGTTCTTAGATGGAAACAAGCAATATGTATGCATCAACTTAGTCATAATATTCTAGTTTACCACCACACATAAAACTTATTGTGCCTTTTCCCTTTGGTGTTTTTTTTTTTTTCTTCCATGTGAACAGTCTTTTCTGAAGCATATATACAACTCAGGCCATAAATTAAGGCACATGTGCTTCTCTATAAAAATTCTGTGGCATTAAAACTGAGACAATCCAAAAATTGTAAACTTTCTGTCAAAGTAAAAAATAGCTAGAGGTTTCACCTTTGGTTGATTTAGTATTTCACTATTTAATAATTAATTGTTATTTTAAAATGGTAATTAAATTTTCACTAGGATTTTTTTCTTAAGGTTATTGCATTTGATGTCATTTTATGAACAAATTAGTAATTTAGGCTAAAGAAACCTAGCTGTTTTGGGTTCTGAATTATACTGGAAACATCATTCATAGTATGTAATACACTGACATAAGTGAATTGAATTTTAAACTAGGATCATTTTAAAAATTATATTTGAATTACCATATCTCTAAACTAAATTCATAGGAAAATGAAACTGAAATGTAGATAAGGTAATATATAACAGCAGGAAAAATACTGCCTTATAATACAATTATTCCACATCTTTATGATTATTTCATTTTTAGAAATATATTGTGTGCATTGGATTATGTATACTATCTATATGGATAAATTTTCAAATCATGAATAAAGCTTAAGACATTTGTTACAATATTAAACATCAACATTTTGGGATGCTACTATAATTCTATTGGTTTGTGTTTGATTCTAGCACTATTTTTGGCTTCCATTTACTTGTGAAATCTTTAGAATCAGCACCGCTAATTCATTCTGGTCAGTTTCCAGCTTTCACAGTAGCAGCATGAATAGAATTTGCTACAGATTCAGTTATGGTGTCACAATGATTTATTTTCCTTTTTAACATAAAATTTATTTTTTAATGTAAGCAAAACCTTTAAAATGAGAAGAAAATAAGCTGTCTTTTCTTTGTGGTCAATGCCAGAATATTAGCTGAACATCTAGATGCTGTCTTCAAAGTAGCAGAGCCAGTAAACTTCAAAACACCTCTGATGATTTAGATTACTAGCATTTCAAACCAAAGTCACTTAGATTTTACATGCAATAGCGATAATAACACTTCAGCAAAATCAGCAATAGGGAAGTCTTCAAATATTTAATAAATTTGTGTTCATAAATGACAGTTAATTGTTATAGCACATACCAAAAAAGTGTGTTTAAAGCACAAAACCAAACATGTTTTTGCATACATATTTATAATATTTGTGGAAGACTTTAAAACATTCAGTAGATACCCTTGAACATTTTCACCTAAAGTTCAATTTAAGATTCCATTCAAATGTTAGCAGATGCATGCCCCAAATTATCTGCTGCAAAAATTAAATTGCTACAGCATATTCAGTACTGCTTAGATATTCTAGAACTAAAACTGATTGAGATAGAAATGCTTACACATTTAAACTACAATAAAAATCATTAAAATGAAGCATGGTAGACTTTCAGTTTCAAAATATAAAGAACTTGGAAGTAGTCATTCTCATCCTTACAAAAACAACAGAAAACCTGGACAAATTGAAATTCAGTGACATTTCTTGGACCCATTAAAGAACTGAGGTCTCAGAGCAAATCATCACCCTGAAATCTGGAAAGGTGAATAAAGGGAATCACAGATGAAATCTGTTTATCTGGAGCAGAAACTGCTGGAGCTACAAGCTGTTAAGAACACTTAAATGATAATTTTGATTAATTTCTGGATACTGAGTGTGCACTAGCATGAGATAAAGACTTTCTGGGGGCCTCAAGATTAGGAGGGCAACATTTTCATAGTTTGCACTCCAAGAACCATCAAGTTCTTACAGAGGATCCAAGAAAAATCCTCAGTACCCTTGGAAGCAGGAGAGGAGCGTAACTTTGTAAAACATGTTTAGAATGTTCTCCATAACTAAGGTCTGCTGTCCTTGAAGTAATTGTCAGAGCACAATTTTAAAATCTTGCCTCAACCAGGAAAAGGATTCCTACCAATTATGGTGCCCTCTAGCCTATTATCTTACCTAAGGGGAAAAATTAGTCAACATGGTTGAGCATTTCAAAGAAACACACTGGGAACATTGATTGCATCTAGGATATGAGTAAAGGTGAAGGACAGGAACACTTGTGAAGGCTACAGCCCAGACACCTGGGCCTACCAAACGACTAAAACTTAATTGGATTTTGGAATGTCACCCCCTCTCACTGTTACTCTCTCACTGCATTAAGATTGTTTCAGTAGATTATAGCTGAAAGAGCTGCAAGATGTAAATGTTCGTTCGGTAGCAGTATACAAAGAAGTCCTAAAGTCAAGGGGAGATAAAAACAAGGACACTAGAGGACGCTGAAGCCTTGGGCACCTACAGCTACAACAAGCATTGAACACAACCCAACTCCTAGCCAGATTAACATAAATCTTCCCACCAAAGGCCCATTTACTTCAGTTGCTATTATTCATCATAGCCTGTCTGGCTTACAACCAAAAATTAAAATATATAACAAAAGGCAAAAAAAAAAAAAGTCTGAAAAAAGCAAACAGACATGACAACCAGAATCATATATGACACAAATACGTGAATTATCAGATAGATGATTTTAAATAATAATATGCTAAAAGCTGTAATGAAAAAGTAGAAAACATATAATAAAAAGATGGGTCATATCAGTAGAGAGGTGAGAAATTTAAGAGGAATCAAGAGTAAATGTTATAAATGAGAAAAGTAACACTGTCACAGAGATGAAGAATGCCTTTTGATGGCTCATCAGTAGATGACACAGATGAGGAATCAATGAGCTTGAAGATAGGTCAATAAAAACTTCCCAAATCAGCAAGAGTGAACCCTAATATGAACTATGAATTTTGGATGATAATGACGTGTCAATGTAGGTTCATCGGTCATAACAAATGTTCCACTCTGATGGAATGTTCATAGAAGTGAAGGTTGTACTCATGTGGGGGCAAGGGACATATGGGGACCCTGTGATTTCTTCCAAATTTTGCTGTAACTCTAAATAAGCTCCAAAAATGAAGTCAATTTAAAAAAAAATCAAAAACTTCCCAAACTCAAGTGCAAAGAGAATGAAATAAAAAAAATGTGGGACAATTTAAAAAGTTGTAATGCATCAATAATTGGGATAATACAAGGAAAAAAAAGAAAGAATGAGGTAGAAAAAATATTTTAAAAAATAATGGGTAAGCATCTGTTAAAATTAATGGCAGTAACCGAAACATAGATCATGGAAGCTCAGAGAACACTTAGCATGATACACAAAAAAAACAAACAAACAGAAAAATCACCTCAGCATATCATATTTAAACTTCAGAACACCAAAAACAAAGAGAAAATTATGAAGGAAGCAAGAGATAAACAAGGAGCAAGGATTACGGTAGTCTTCTCATCAGAAACCTGCAAGAAAAAAGAGACTTGGGCAAAAGGACTGGAATGAAAACAAAAACAAAAACACAAAACAAAACAAAACAAAACAAAAAACTTTGCTATCCTGGAATTCTATATTAAATGAAATCACCTTTCATAAGTAAAAAAAATAAAAGAAATAAAGACTTGCTCAAACTAACAAAAAAACTCAGGACATTCATTGTCAGCTTACCTGCTCTGCATGAAATTTAGATCTTCAGGCAGAAGAAAAATAATATAGGTTAAAACTTCAATCTACATAAAGAAAAGAAGACCATTATAGAAGGAATAAATGAAGGTAAAATATTTTACTTTCCATATTCTTAACTGAAATTTTTAAAAAGCTTGTTTAAAGTAATAAAAATACATTAATACTAGAAAAAGTGTATTGGGTAGTTATAGTATACAGGTTAGTGAAATGAATGACAGTAATTGATATGGACTGAATTGTGTCCTCCCAAAATTCATATGCTAAAGCCTCAGCCTGCAATGTGACTATATTTGGAGATAGAATATGTAAGGACGAAATTAAGTTTAAATAAGTTCATAAGGATGAGGTCCTCATTATAGGATTAGAGTACTTATAAGGAGAGACAACAGAGAGCTCAGTCTCTCTAAGGCTAAGAACCTTCAAGGAGTCCACTACACCCCCCTGCCACATCCACCAGAACAGGTGCTGGTATCCATGGTTGAAAGACCCACAGATATTTCACATCATAGGACTCTGTGCAGACAACCCCCAGTGGCAGCCCCAAGCTGGGTAGACTTTCTGGGTTGCTAGACCCAGAAGAAAGAAAACAATCACTGCAGTTTAGCTCATAGGAAGCCACATCCATAGGAAAAGGGGAAGAGTACTACATCAAGGAAACACGATGTGTGACAAAAGAATCTAAACAACAGCCTTCAGCCCTAGACCTTCCCTCTGACAGAGGCTACCCAAATGGGAAGGAACCAGAAAACCAACCCTGGTAATATGACAAAACAAGGCTTGTCAACATCCCCCAAAAATCACACGAGTTCACCAACAATGGATCCAAACCAAGAAGAAATTCTTGATTACCTGAAAAAAGAATTCAGGAGGTTAGTTATTAAGCTAATCAGGGAGGCACCAGAGGAAGGCAAAGCCCAATGCAAGGAAGTCCAAAAACTGATACAAAAAGTGCAAGGAGAAATTATCGACGAAATAGATACCATAAATAAGAAACAACCAAAACTTCAGGAAACAATGGACACACTTACAAAAATGCAAAATGCTCAGGAAAGTCTCAGCAATAGAATTGAACAAGTAGAAGAAAAAAATTAAGAGCTCGAAGACAATGTCTTCAAATTAACCCAATCCAAGAAAAATTAAAAAAATTTACTAAGAAAATATGACCAAAGCCTCCAAGAAGTCTGGGATTATGTTAAATGGCCAAACCTAAGAATATTCACTGTTCCTAAGGAAGAAGAGCATTCTAAAAGCTTGGAAAATATATTTGGGAGTATAATGGAGGAAAACTTCCCCAGCCTTGCTAGAGACTTAGACAGCCAAATACAAGAAGCACAAAGAACACCTGGGAAATTCATCACAAAAAGATCATCCCCTAGACACATTGTCATCAGGTTATCCAAAGTTAAGACAAAGGAAAGAATCTTAAGAGTTGTGAGACAGAAGCGCAAGGTAACCTATAAAGGAAAAATCTATCAGATTAACAACAGATTTCTCAGTAGAAACCCTATGAGCTAGAGGGGATTGGGGCTCTATCTTCAGCCTCCTCAAACAAAGCAAATATCAGCCAAGAATTTTGTATCTAGTGAAACTAAGCATCATATAAGATACAGTCTTTTTCAGACAAACAAACGCTGAGAGAATTTGCCACTACCAAGCCACCATTACAAGAACTGCTAAAAAGAGCTCTAAATATTGAAACAAATCCTAGAAACACATCAAAACAGAACATCTTCAAAGCATAAATAACACAGGACCTATAAAACAAAAATACGAGTTAAAAAGCAATAATGAAAAACAAATAAGCCAAAGTACACAGGTAACAGATAGCACGATGAATGCAATGGCACCTCACATCTCAATACTAACATTGAGTGTAAATGGCCTAAATGATCCACTTACATGTTACAGAACCACAAAATGAATAAGGACTCACCAACCAACTATCTTCTGCATTCAGGAGACTCACCTAACACGTAAAGACTCACAGAAACCTAAAGTTAGGGGGTGGAAAAAGGCGTTTCATGCAAATGGACACAGAAAGTGAGCAGGGGTAGCTATTCTTATATCAGAGAAAACAAACTTTAAAGCAACAGTGGTTAAACGAGACACAGAGGGACATTATTACATAATGTTAAAAAGCCCTGTCCAACAGGAAAATATCACAATCCTAAATATAAATGCACCTAACAATGGAGCTCCCACATTTTTAAAGCAATTACTAATAGACCTAAGAAATGAGATAGACAGAAACACAATAATAGTGAGGGACTTCAGTACTCCACTGGCAGTACTAGACAGGTCATCAAGACAGAAAGTCAACAAAGACACCATAGATTTAAACTATACCTTGGAACAAATGGACTTAACAAATATACACAGAACATTTCATCCAACAACCACAGAATATACATTCTATTCAACAGAGCATGGAACTTTCTCCAAGATAGACAATATGATAGGAGATAAAACAAGCCTCAGTAAATTTAAGAAAATTGAAATTATACAAAGCACTCTCTCAGATCACAGTGAAATAAAACTGGAAATCAACTCCAAAAGGAAACTTCAAACCATGCAAACACATGGAAATTATATAACCTGCTCCTGAATGAGCAATGAGTCAAAAGTAAAATAAAGATGGAAATTTAAAAATTCTTCAAACTGAACAACAATAAAGACAGAACCTATCAAAACCTCTGGGTTATAGCAAAGGCAGTGCTAAAAGGAAAGTTCATAATCCTAAATGCCTACATCAAAAAGACTGATAGAGCACAAACTGAAATTCTAAGGTCATACCTCAAGGAACTAGAGAAGCAAGAACAAAGCAAACCCAAACCTAGCAGAAGAAAGGAAATAACCAATATCAGAGCAGAACTAAATAAAATTGAAACAAACAAAGAAACAAAAATACAAAAGATAAATGAAACAAAATCTGTTTCTTTGAAAAGATAAATAAAATTGATAGACCACTAGCAAGATTAACCAAGAAAAGAAAAGATGCAAATAGCCTCATTAAGAAATGAAACAGGAGACAACTGACACCACTGACCAGACGAATTTACAGCAGAATTCTACCAGACATTCAAAGAAAAATTGGTACCAATCTTTTTGACACTGTTCCACAAGATAGAGAAAGAAGGAACTCTCTTTAATTCATTCTATGAAGCCAGCATCACCCTAATACCAAAACCAGGAAAGGACATAACCAAAAAAGAAAACTACAGACTGATATCCTTGATGAATATAGACGCTAAAATCCTTAACAAAATACTAGCTAACTGAATCCAACAACATATCAAAAGGATTATCCACTATGATCAAGTTGTCATACCAGGGATGCAGGGATGATTCAACATACACAAGTCAACATATGTGACACACCACATAAACAGAATTAAAAACAAAAATCACATGATCATCTCAATAGACGCAGAAAAAGCATTCAACAAAATCCAGCATCCCTTTATGATTAAAACTCTCAGCAAAATTGGCATACAAGGGACATACCTCAATGTAACCAAAGCTACCTATGAAAAACCCACAGCCAACATAATACTGCATGGGGAAAAGTTGAAAGCATTCCCTCTGAGAACTGGAACAAGATAGGATGCCCACTCTCACCACTCCTCTACAACATAGTACTGAAGTCCTAGCCAGAGCAATCAGACAAGAGAAAGAAATAAAGGGCACCCAAATTGATAAAGAGGAAGTCAAACTGTCACTGTTTGCTTATGATATGACTGTTTACCTTGAAAACCCTATAGACTCCTCCAGAAAGCTCCTAGAACTGATAAAAGAATTCAGCAAAGTTTCTGGAATGCAAGATTCATGTAAAACAATTAGTAGCTCTTCTATACACCAACAGCGACCAAACTGAGAATCAAATCAAGAACTCAACCCTTTTACAATAGCTGCAAAAAAAAAAAATACTTAGGAATATATATAACGAAGGAGTCCAAAGACCTCTACAAGGAAAACTACAAAACACTGCTGAAAGAAATCATAGATAACACAAACAAATGGAAAGACATCCCATGCCCATGGATGAGTAGAATCAAAAATTGTGAAAATGATCATACTGCCAAAAGCAATCTACAAATTCAATGCAATCCCCAGCAATATACCACCATCATCCTAAACAGAATTAGAAAAAAATTCTAAACTTTAGATGGAATCAGAAAAGAGCCTGCATGGCCAAAGCAAGACTAAACAAAAATAACAAATCTGGAAGTATCACACTACTTGATTTCAAACTATACTGTAAGGCCATAGTCACCCTGACAGCATGGTACTGGTGTAAAAATAGGCACATAGACCAATGGAACAGAATAGATAACCCAGAAGTAAACCCAAATATTTAAAGCCAACTAATCTTCAACAAAGCAAACAAAAACATAAATGTGGGGAAAGGACACCCTATTAAACAAATGGTGCTAGGATAATTGGCTAGCCACATGCAGGAGATTGAAACTGGATCTTTATCTCTCATCATATACAAAAATCAACTCAAGATAGATTAAAGACTTAAATCTAAGGCCTAAAGCTATGACAATTCTAGGAGATAACATTGGAAAAACCCTTCTAGAAATTGGCTTAGGCAAAGATTCCATGATCAAGAACACAAAAGCAAATGCAATAAAAACAAAGATAAATAGTTGGGACTTAATTAAACCAAAGAGCTTTTGCATGGCAAAAGGAACAGCCAGCAGAGTAAACAGATGGCCCACAGAGTGGGAGAAAATCTTCATAATCTATACATTTGACAAAGGACTAATATCCAGAATCTACAATGAACTCAAACAAATCAATAAGAAAAAAAACCAAATAATCCTATCAAAAAGTGGGCTAAGGACACGAATAGAGAATTCTCAAAAGAAGATATACAAATGGCCAACAAACATAAGAAAAAATGTTCAACATCACTAGTGATCAGGGAGATGCAAATCAAAACCCACAGCCAACATAATACTGAATGGGGAAAAGTTGAAAGCATTCCCTCTGAGAACTGGAACAAGACAGGATGCCCACTCTCACCACTCCTCTGCAGCATAGTACTGAAGTCCTAGCCAGAGCAATCAGACAAGAGAAGGAAATAAAGGGCACCCAAATCGATAAAGAGGAAGTCAAAGTAAGGTGATACCTTACTTTGGAGTACCTTATTCACCTTTGATACCACCTTACTCCTGCAAGAATGGCCATAATAACAAAATAATAATAAAAAAACAGTAGATGTTGGCATGGATGCAGTGATCAGGGAACACTTCTACACTGCTGGTGGGAATATAAACTAGTACAGCCACTATGGAAAACAGTGTGGAGATTCCTTAAAGAACTAAAAGTAGAACTACCATTTGATCCAGCAATCCCACTAAGTATCTATCCAGAGGTAAAGAAGTGACTATACGAAAAATATACTTGCAAACTCATATTTATAGCAGTACAATTCACAATTGCAAAATCATGGAACCAACACAAATGTCCATCAGTGAGTGGATAAAGAAACTGTGGTCTAGATATACAATGGAATACTACTCAGCCATAAAAAGGAACGAATTAACAGCATTTGCAGGGACCTGGAAGAAATTGGAGACTATTATTCTAAGTGAAGTAACCCAGGAATGGAAAAGCAAACATTTTATGTTGTCACTGATGTGTGGGAGCTAAGCTATGAGGATGCTAAGGCATAATAACGATACAATGGAACGTGGGGACTTGGGGGAAAAGTGGGAGGGGGCGAAGGATAAAAGACTACAAATATGCTGCAGTGTATACTGCCCGGGTGATGAGTGCACCAAAACCTCACAAATCATCACTAAAGAACTTACTCATGTAACCAAATACCACCTGTACCCCAATAACTTACGGAAAAAAAAAACAGTGTGAGATCACAAAAAAATATGAAAGGTTTAGATTAGTTAAAATGTATTTTATAAAATCTAATGACGTCACTAAAAAACAAGTTAAATGAGTACGAACCTAACAACTGAGCATCAAAATATATGAGGAAAAAAACTGATAGAACTGAAAAGAAAAATAACCAAATCCACTATTATAGTCAGAGACATCAACAGTCCTGTCAGTAGTTATAGATCAATTAGTCAAAAAATAAAGATGAATATGTATGACCTGAACAGCAATAAACTTGATCTAAATTACACCTGTAGATTTCTCTGGTCAACAGCAGAATAAATACTCTCAAGCTTACATTGAATGATCACCAAGATAGACTGCATTCCAGGCCATAAAATATACCTTAACAATTTTAAAACAATAGAAATTATATTGTCTGTCTACAGTGGAATTAATTTAGACATCAATAATAGAAAGATAGATAAAAATTCCCAACAATTTGGAAATTAAACAATGCACTTCTAAATAACCCATGAGTCAAAGAAGTCCCCATATGAGTTTATAAATATTTTAAGTAAAAAATAAAAGTACAACTAATTAAAATTTGCAAAACTCAACTAAAGCAGTCCTGGGAGGGAAAAGTATAGCATTCAGCATATATTTAAAAAGTAGAAAGATCTAAAATTAATAACCTAAGATTCTAGTTCAGAAAATTAGATAAAGAAGCACAAAAAGCAACTCCAGACTATGTATAATCCATGAATATAGAGATATATGAATTATGGCTATGTTTATATTTGTTTTTCTTAAATACACAATGATGTGGTTCTTGACATTTTATAACCAACAATGATTGTCTTAAATATCACAGAAATACTGTAAGATCTAGATCTCATTTACTACAAACATTGCTTTAGATTACTATGAAGTTCAGGGTATCAGAATTTGAGTGAGTATTACAAACTTAAAATAATAAACAAGTTTGCCTTTGGAAGTGATACACCAAGATCCTAATATTTTCATAATTTTCCTTATATTAATTTTACAATGAAAGAATAAAAGGGGGTAATGTAAATAAATATAGATAAAAGCTTAAAATAAAAATGTAAATAATAAAAAGGAGTATAAATTTATAACTGTGACAAATTAAGTATAGAATTTAAATGTGTCACATGTGGACTCTTTAATATCTTCTTATAAATTTAGAAGTCTAGGGGAATATAGTACATTTCTGTTCATCTGAACTAACAATTTAAAACAATCTCTACAGGAGGAGTTTACTAACTTGTTTTTATGTATTTTAAAGAGGCATTTTTTCATAAAATAAACCTTGACTAAATTAAGCTGTTTTCTAGGATCCAAGTTGCAATAAAAAATACAGATGAAGTGTGTGTGTGTGTGTGTGTGTGTGTGTGTGTGTGTGTGTATATATAGTACATATATTTGTATATACACTATATATGTGTATATATACGTGTGTGTGTGTATATATATATATATTTATTTATTTATGTCAGGAGCTGCACTTTGACATAATGGGCTATTGAGTAAAAACATGTATGTAGTTAAAACTTCTACTAAGGATCAATTTGACACATTGAAGTAGACATCATATGAAATGAACCTCCATGTACCCTTCATAGAGTTTCAACAATTATCAATTCATGAGACTTGTGAACTCACCCATTTTCCAAATCCATATCATTATGAAGTAAATCTCAGATATCATGTTATTCCATCCATAAATATTTTACTAAATCTCTCAATGATAGAGCTTTAAAAACATATTACTTTTATAAAAAAAGTTGATTTCTTATTATCTTTAAATACCTTATCAGTGGTCAAATTTCCAATCGTTTGTCATAAATGTCATGTTTCTATTTTAGTTTGTTTGAGACAGAAGTCAAATAAGGTCCACATTTTATGATCAGTTGACATGTCTCATATTTCTTCAATATCTATATTTTCCTTCTAACTACATATTTGTTGAGGGAAACAGGTATTTAGTCCTACAGAATATTTCTCCATCTGGATTTTGCTCATTGCATTCCTGTGGTATACTTACACACACACCTCTACCCTCTACATTTCCTATAAAATAAACATTAAGTTTAGATTAAATTCCACTAAGATTTTGGGGAGGCAGGTGCTTTACAGGTGATGATTCATGATCACTGCTTAGATCCAATGAACTAAGTAGGCATTGCAGACTATTTATATTCTAATTCTACCATTCTTTCTTCAATTACCTGGAACTTTTGCATTAAAAAAACTCACTCTTATTGATTATTCTTGCTTATTTTTCACGTTATCAGGTTTCGAAATAATGAACTGATTTACTAATATTCTTCAACACTGAATAATTAGCATATTTAATTTTAATTTAATTTTATTTTATTTTGTTATTTGTTTAGTTTGTTTGTTTGAGACAGGATCTCACTCTGTCACCCAGGCTGGAATGCAATGGCACAATTATGGCTTACTGCAGCCTTGGCCTCCTGGGCTCAAGCAATCCTCCACCTCTGCCCCCCTACCTCTTCAGCCCCAGTAGCAGGGAATATAAGCATGTGCCACCACACCCAGCTAATTTTTGTATATATACTTTTTTTTTTTTTGAGAGCCAGGACTTTGCCATGTTGCCCAGCTAGTCTCAAATTCCTGGGCTCAACTGATTTACCCACCTCCCCTTCCCAAACTGTGGGGATTACAAGAGTGAGCCATTGCACTAGCCCAGCGTCTTTTAAAGTATCATTATGACTTAAAAATATATGATAAACATTAAAATTTTAAAATATGTTATTTTTGTTATGTTGGTCAAATTGTCCCATATCTGAGCAATGGGAGCCTATTCACATAGGCTCCTAATTTTCTTTTTTTTTTTGGCAATCATGTATTTTTATATTTTTCTATATTTCTTATATGACAATATGTTTCAAGGATCATCTTGTACATTTTCTGTTCCAGACCCGAAGTCAGTCTTTTTTCTGAGATCTAACTCCTTTTTTTTCCCTCTCTTTTTGAAAATACCATTTAGGGATCACAATCTGTGTACAAGTGGTGCTTTCTACTACTGAGTTAGTCATTTTTTAAAACATATACAAAGCTCATAAAAAGTGTTTAATTTGTTAACACAAACTGTTAGGAGTTACAATATAAACTTTGAAGCTATATCGAATAAGTGTACCAAGTATATAACTTAAATATCCTAAGTCTTTGAACGTATGTGATTTTGTAAAAATTTACCAAAAATCTTTGACAACAGGAAACAAATATTTTGGAATTCACCGACTCAAATCGAATTTTATTTTTATCCTAGACGAGATTATTTATTTTAGTGTATGTGTTTTACAGATTAAGGGACTTATGCACAAATGGAATAACTGATTTTTCTGAATGACGGTGACACAGTTCACATTTATGTAAATAAAATTCCATATCTTCTTTATCCTACACAAATACTCCTTTCAGTTCACTCTGTTGTGCAACCTCATACTATTTTTTTCCTTTACTTTAAAATCTTGAGTCTCATGAATTCCTACACAATATAAAAATGTAAAGACACAACTAGGCAACATTGTTTTTCCAAGGGGTGTATATTAATAATGAAGGGAAATGTCATAATTCATTATTACCAGAGAGTTGTTTCAAGTCTTTGAAATAGGTGCCCTTTAGCCAATTGTTTTCAAAATGTTTAGCCTTGAAATTTGTTCAAATAAAACTTTAAAGCATCCCTTAATATGACTTCTTTGAACTTTGAAAATCTCTTCGAAATATCAAGTGATTTCCCTTTGGAAATCACTTGGACCGAACATTTTTCTCCAATCATGTTAAAACTCCTCTAAAACTTCTCACAGCGTAACAATTCTAGAATGGAAACACTGAACAGAGTTTTTTTCTTTGTTTCTGAAACTTTTATTAATTTCAGTGAGCCTCCTATCAGGACAGAAGGAATATATTTTGTCCCTTAGTTTTAACTTTTTCAGTGGCAGAAAATTGCTTCCAGGCATATCATTAAATACTGGTGTGCCTATTCATTTTCTCCTGTCACCAGAAGATACCACTTGATACCTTGTCAGTGCTTCAGTCTCCTTTCCATTCAACATATGATTAGCTAAGAGATGGGTCAGACAGATGTAGCTACGTGAAATTATACAATACGTGAGGCATCACCACTGATTTTTTTTTTTGCAGCCCAATAAATCAAACCTGTGCAGCAATCTCTATTCTATAATTATCATAATATTCTGATGCCCTTGTGTATCAGAAAATAAAGGGCAGATACTTCCTGTCAATAAACAGATCTTTTCCAAGTTTACTTCTTAAATCTTTACAACTGTGCCCATATAAGGCTAAGGTGTTTAGCCTCTGGGGACGAGTATCATTATGGATAATGCCAAGTACTGAAAGGAACGCATTTAATCAGACAAAGAGGTAAACCTATTACATTTTGAAATTTAAGCCATTTTCTATATTTGTACTTTTTCATTTTAAAAAGTGCTTTTTAAATTTATAGTGCATACATTGTCTCTAATTTCTAACATGTGAAGGATATAATTACAGGCTGTCATAAGAAATGTTTGAAATGGATTAAATTAGAGGCCACACTACATATTCCTTTAAAAATATTTTTATGCGCAGCAATTGAAATTGTGAATGTTTGATTTATTCACCACTTTAAAAAATATTCTTAAAAGTATATTTGTTTATGATACCTGAATCATTAGAATTCACGTAAATCTTTTCTATATTAATACTCATTTTATATTTTGCTATTTTCTTTGCAGATGTGAATTACTAGCATTCACTGTTAGGGTAAAGGAAGCCAAAATGTTTTAAATAAAAAACTTTGTTTCTTATATCTCTTAATTAATTTATACAATTTTAAGAATAGGTTTTCACTGAAAGATTATGCTTTTAAACTCTTTTCAAAATTTCTACACATTTATGCAACAAGAAAAATTTAAACATTTCCATCCTTTCGAAGTTGAGTCTGCAAGACACTGAAATAATTGATTAACTCAAGAAAACTAGGGGCTTCAAGTAAATACGTAAATGAATATACTGGAAATCATATCTGAAAAAATATATAATTTGACTGAGAAGCCAATCCACGAGAATGATCAGTCAGCTTGCCCAATATGAAACAAAGAGTGAGGTGGATATGTACTGACACATGAAAGTATAAAATATAATGATTTTGATGGTCATTTTCCAAAGTCTAACCTTATAATCGATAAAGCAAAAACTAATTTAGAGAAAAATGCCTTCTCTCAACTATTGTTATATCAGCAATTTTGACAAAGCACTTTCAGCAAAGGTATTTGTAGGCCTTTGCTTTAGAGACATATAGTTCTACTTGTTTTACTCAGAGTCCATCAATCTAATAATTGAAGACTAGGTTTTACTATATCAAATATTTCACTATGATGTTCATGGCAGCACCAATGGTCCTTTTCCTCATAATGCCTGCATTCTGGTACTTTGTCCTTGTATAATTCCCTCCCCTTGAGTGTGGGTGAGGCCTGTGACTTGCCTGTAACCAATAGAATATGGCCCAAGTGTTAAAATATCACTTCCATGACTACATTATTTTATACAATATGAGATTTCATCTTGTTTGCAGGCTCACTCTGGAGTCTCTCTCTCCCCTTACTGGCTTGATAAAATAAATGATGATGTTGGGAGGTCCATGAGGCAAGAAGTTGAGGATGGCCTGTGACACCAGCTAGCAAGAAGCCAGGGACTCTTACCACTGCAAGGGAATAATTTCTGCAATGACCTTAATGAACTTGAAAGCAAATTTATTCCCTGATATGGTTTGGCTGTGTCTCCACTCAAATCTCATCTTGAATTGCAGCTCCCATAATTCCCACGTGTTGTGGAGGGACCTGGTGGGAGACAATTGAATCATGGGGGCAGTTTCCCCCATACTGTGTTTCTCCATGGTAGTGAATAAGTCTCATGAGATCTGATGGCTTTACAAGGGGTTTCCTCTTTTGCTTGGCTTTCATTCTCCCTTGCCTGCCACCACGTAAGACGTGCCTTTTGCCATCCACCATCATTGTGAGGCCTCCCCAACCATGTGGAAGTGTGAGTCCATTAAACCTCTTTTCTTTATAAATTACCCAGTCTCTTGTATGTCTTTATCAACAGTGTGAAAGAGGACTAATACGTTCCCCATCAAGCCTCCAGATGAGAACCCTGTCCTGACCAACATTTTGATTGCAGCTTTGCAGAGGACCGAGATAAACCATAACTAGACTCCTCACCCATAGACACTGTGAGATAATAAATGTGTGGTGTTTTATACTGCTATATTTGTATGCAACTCTGAAAATTAATACGTGCTTAACTTTCATTTAAACTATGAAATATATTTGATAAAAAATAATATATTCATGTTTTGACAGAATAAATATCTGCAAAATAACATAAGTATTTTTTATTTTAATAAATAGAGTTTTCATTTCTGGAATTTATGTTTTATTCTGTTTTGAATATGTTTGGTCACTTTTATCACCTATTGTGTGTGCTCATATTTTTAATCCCTCCATTTATTTATTTAAGAGGTACTTGTTTTAAACTGTGTCTATTAAATTCAATATTTCACGTTATTATATTTCTGAGTTTGCTTAGTATTGTTTTTGATGGATCTTGTTTGTGATATTTTGTATTTTATCAGTTTTCTGATTTCCTCCTGTGAATGCTCACATTTTCTGGAGTTTTTAAGCATATGAATTATTTGAGGTCTGTGTGGAAGTGAGTTTCTTTTTTTTTTTTTTAATTATAGTTTAAGTTTTAGAGTACATGTGCACAACATGCAGGTTTGTTACATATGTATACATGTGCCATGTTGGTGTGCTGCACACATTAATCGTCATTTATGTTAGGTATATCTCCTAATGCTATCCCTCCCCTCTCCGCCCACCCCACAACAGGCCCCAGTGTGCAATGTTCCCCTTCCTGTGTCTATGTGTTTTCATTGTTCAATTCCCACCTATGAGTGAGAATATGGGGCGTTTGGTTTTTTGTCCTTGCGATAGTTTGCTGAGAATGATGGTTTCCAGCTTCATCCATGTCCCTAAAAAGGACATGAACTCATCTTTTTTCATGGCTGCATAGTATTCCATGGTGTATATGTGCCACATTTTCTTAATCCAGTCTATCATTGTTGGACATTTGGGTTGGTTCCAAGTCTTTGCTATTGTGAATAGTGCCACAGTAAACATACGTGTGCATGTGTCTTTATAGTAGCATGATTTATAATCCTTTGGGTATATACCCAGTAATGGGATGGCTGGGTCAAATGGTATTTCTAGTTCTAGATCCCTGAGGAATCGCCACACTGACTTCTACAATGGTTGAACTAGTTTACAGTCCCACCAACAGTGTAAAAGTGTTCCTATTTCTCCACATCCCCTCAGCTTCTGCACAGCAAAAGAAACTACCATCAGAGTGAACAGGCAATCTACAGAATGGGAGAAAATTTTTGCAATATACTCATCTGACAAAGGGCTAATATCCAGAATCTACAATGAACTCAAACAAATTTACAAGAAAAAAACAAACAACCCCATCAAAAAGTGGGCAAAGGATATGAGCAGACACTTCTCAAAAGAAGACATTTATGCAGCCAAAAGACACATAAAAAATGCTCAGCATCACTGGCCATCAGAGAAATGCAAATCAAAACCACAATGAGATACCACCTCACACAAGTTAGAATGGCGATCATTAGAAACTCAGGAAGTGAATTTCTATTTAGCACTCAAAGTGACTGAAAACAAATTCATCATATATTTTTCAAAGCCTATCTAGTCTCCTTATCTTTAATAATAATAATAAAAACAATAACAGCAAATGACACTTATGTGCGACATATGATGTACTGGATATTGCTTTTGGTGCTTTATGTGCATTAATCTATTTAATACTTTAAAAAACCCAATAGCATAAATATTATAATTATTTCCTCTTTGCAAATGATGGAATTTGAGATACAGAATTTAAATTATTTCCCTAAGGCCATATAGTCATTTAGTATTTGATCTAGCACCCACTGCGAGATTCAGGGTGTTTTCTTGATAAATATTTCCATGAGCAGCTAGTTAATGTAGTATGTCACCTCTCCCTTCTTTCCAGACACATATATACATACATGAATTCTGTATCTAAGCTGTAACACATCATAATGATCAACAGAAACAAATCACACTTGTTATAAATCCTAAGTCCTTAGTTCTTACTGCTAGACTAATTAATGTGCTAGAGGTAATTAAATCAGCATAAATATCATAGTTGAATTTCATGAAAAAGATCAGAAAATGTTATGCCCATTAATAATTTCTGTAGCTATTCAAGCAAATATAATGCAATAAGGATAATTAAATCTTCTGCTTCAGGGAGCAAGTGGGTTTGCTTAAGAAACAGAAAAGAAAATATGCCTTTATTCTCTGCCCGAGGGATAATAGTGGAAAAACTGACTAGGTATATTAATGGGGTACTAGAAAGGGTAACATCTGCTGTTCTCTAAAATATCAGAGCTTTGGCTGAGGTAGAATTAACTGATTCATATCTAATATTGAATTATAATAACTTCCATTTACAACATGGTGGAAACAGGCTCTTTTAAAATTTTATTTTAGCTTTAATTTACTAACTACAGTTTTAAAAAATGCTTGCTACCTCAAAATGTACTAAAGATTACATTTTTGAAGTGCTTGGCAGGAAATACTTTAAATTATATTTAATTTTTATTTGCAAACTTGATTTTAATGGTGTTACTTACTCAGAGTAAAAGTTTGTTTTTTTCCTCCCATGGTTTCTCCATTGGTCTGAATCTGAATTATCAGTGAACTATTGGAGGTAGCAGGAATAAACATATAGGCATTAGCATGATGCACCTGAAATACCAAACAAGTTATACAGTAAAAATCTTTAATTATAATTCATAGAAAGCAGTACTATTTTTAATCTTTTAAGAATAAAGATGCTGCATTATTGGAAGCAATTACAAGAGAGGACTATGTGGTAGACTCAATTTTAATGCCTGCAAAAAGATGATAATTTCTAATTTTAAATATATATCTGCCTGCAAATTTACCAATCTACTGTAGTCTTACATACTAATAGAAGGAAGTTTTAATAAGCTGAACAATTCTAATTCTACCTCTCAATTTCAGGTTGTGAGTGTATTTTCTAAAATATCTTTCCAAAATTTAATTTTATTCCTATCTGCCCTCACTTTTTTCCCTTCCTTTGTCTCTAGGCTATGCTAATTTGCATATTTGAATTAATGCACCAAATAATGTTTGAAAGTCTAATCTTATTAAATGCCTCTAAATCCAACACTTCTGCTAACTAGAGAGGCCTTATTAATTAATTCATATGTTATTAAAACCTCATGCTGGCTGCCTACTAGGTTGTCTCTGGGGGTCAAATGGACCAACTAGTTCCCTTAAAAAACCAGAGTGCTGAGACAGAGCAATTGATGTGAAGTCAGATCTCCAAAGAAGCTCATTTATCCACTAGCACAAGACTCCATGCATTCTAGAATTTACTGGTTGAATAATTGCTTAAGATTTGACAGTTTTTGAGCTAAGAGTTTTTCACCTTATTTTCCCACCCTTGAGTAAAGCTTTGTCACAAGGCAAGTTTAAAGAAGAGTGTCAGATAATTTATATGTACCATGTGCTACAATTGTACTAATGGTGACAGAAATTCTTTGAGTAGTGATGGGCCTAAGAAACGGGGAAGGGAAATAACTGATAATTAATTATAATTATATATCAAAATATGAATAGCAGCAGTTCCTTTCCATGAATAAAAATACAAATAAGATACCAGAGGCCTTATATGAAAGAAAATAAAACATGCCAAAAATACAGAAGTACTTACTATAAACTGCATAGAATATATATATATATATTTTGGTTTTTTTGACAGAGTCTTGCACTTGTCGCCCAGGCTGGAGTGCAATGGTGTGATACCGGCTCACTGCAACCTCCACCTCCAGGGTTCAAGAGATTCTCATGCCTCAGCCTCCTGAGTAGCTGGGATTACAGGTGCCTGCCACCATGCCCAGATGATTTTTGTATTTTTAGTAGAGACGGGGTTTCACCATGTTGGCCAGGCTGGTCTTGAATTCCTGACCTCAGGTGATCCACCTGCCTCGGCCTCCCAAAGTGCTGGGATTACAGGCGTGAGCCACCGCGCCCAGCCTAGGATATATTTAAAAAGTGTATGTGTCTGTGATTTGTCCTGTCTATTATATATAGCGGGGTCCCCAACCCCTGGGCCAAGGACCAGTACCGGTCCATGGCCTGTTAGAAACTGTGTCGCACAGCAGGAAGTGAGCAGTGCCCAAGCATTACCACCTGAGCCCGACCTCCTGTCAGATCAGCGGTGGCATTCAATTCTCACAGGAGAGCTAACCCTATTGTGAACTAATATGTGAATAATCTAGGTTGCACTCCTTATGAGAATCTAATGTCTGGTGATCCGAGGTAAAAGAGTTTCATCCAGAAACCATCCTCTCTGCCATCTGTGAAAAAATTGTCTTCCACAAAATCGGTCCCTGCTGCCAAAATGATTGGAGACTGCTGATATATGGGACATAATTCGTAATGAACTGAAGTAACACACCACTACCATTTACATGACACAAGTCAGAATATTCTTTACTGCTCAGCATCAAGTAGGAGTTTCGGATGGGAGATAATTTCCATAGTTACCACAGGCTGAGAAATAGCAATTGGGCCAAGGGCTACAGTTGTCCTAATAGTTAATATTTCTTGCTCCCGAGGAAAGTATTATAGATGAGATGTTCTGAGTAAAACAGGTAAGATGAAACATATGACCACTCTCCAAGAGGCTAGCCTTTGTGCATTCCTGTAGTTACTGCCAAATAAACATTTTTGTGGACTATTATTAGCCTTTACCATTTGATGCAAGTCTCCTTACACACGAAGTTGCAAGAGTGAATTTGGAACAAGCCTAATTGCCCATCAATTATCAATAGACAGGAATTCAAGGACTCTTTTGCCACAGTCTGGATAGGAATAGCTGATCATAAGGCTTCTAAAACCATAGCACTTCCAAACCTGTAAACATGGGTGTTAGAAAGAGATAGTCCATTACAAGGTTCTTGTGTTTGTCGTATTTGCTCAGTAATATTAGCCTACGTATATGTATTTTTGCTTCTTTTAGTAACAGATGTAACACAAATTTCTTATTTACCTACAAAAGTTAATAACAACAGTTCCACATTATGTATAATCAGGGTTTCTTACATGGACTTGCTCTTCTCCCCAAACTTGAGTGGGTGTGTGGCTGTGCGTGTGTGTGTGCGTGTGTGTGTGTGTGTGTGTAGTAAAAGTAAGGAGCAGGCACCCTTTAAAATTTGTGATATGCTTCTGAAAGAAATGCTCCAAAGTTGGCTAAATTGGACTGTCATTTTAATAATTATAATAGAGTGATTAATAGGACATTGTAAGTGCTGTTACAGCATTTGTTGTACAAAAGAATCGTTGAATGGTTATTTTCAAAAATTAAAAATAGAAAACCAATATGATTATTGCAAAACTAACTACTGTACCTGCTTTACAAATGGAAACTCTTAAAGAATGTGTATTTCCAAGAAATATTTCAAAGAGAAATTTGGGCCTGAAATCATTTTATTAAATATGCCTTCTCTTAACCATTAATAATATGCTTTTCTTGTAGTTAGTAATACAAAAGCTTAATATCCAGAATTTACAGTTGGAATTAGCAGATATTGCTAGCATAGCTATACAAGTAGATCATTATTGTCATTAAAAATAGGACATTCTAACAGCTTGAATTTCTGCATTAATAATAGAATTATACCTAAGAAAATAATTACAGTTGGACATTTTTATCAGCTTTTAAAATCATGTGTATCTCATGACTATCACATCAATGAAAATGCAGTTCTTTTACTATGCCAAAGGTAGGCATAAAATGAATTAAAACCAGTAATTCAGTTGAGAATAATATGGATCACAATATACTGAATCACTGGTGGGCCAACCCTGTACTGGGGCTTTGCATATAGTACACTATATACTTACACTATATACTTATTATAACATATAACTAATCATTACATGTTATTACTACCATTTTAAATATAAAGTACAACCAGGAGTTAGTAAGTGGTTAAAATCCTTGTTTAGGTTTTTGGTACACTCTTAACCACTATGCTACGATTTCATTCTTAGCTATATATTTAGAAGTTAAAATCATGTCTTCCTACAAGCATCTAATTTTTTATCCTTTCCTCATCATGAAACCTGCAAAAGTTTCAACCACATCATGATTTCAGGCTCCAAGTCCAGGATCTCATGATCTAGATGAACTCTACATGCAGTGCCTCTGAATCTACAGACCTATGAACTAAAAAGTCAAATAATCTGTCACATAATGTTAAAGAGAGACAACATAACAACAATAAATTATTTCATTTAAAAAGGGAAGAATAGGAGGTATTTAGCAGTCTCTTGTCCATAGCAATTCTGAAATCCCACTTGGCATTACCTGGGGCTAGGAAATATTCCTTGACTTAAAATTTGGGGGTATGACCATAGATCATTGTTCTCATCCTCTGCCTTCTGGAAGTTCATTTCTTTTTCATCATATTCCTTGGACAGTTATAAAGAGGGAATTGGTACATACATCTTTTTTTGGCAACCTGCTAACCACTTGTAGAAATTTGGAGACTAAGAAGTCTTTAGTGGAACTCTCAATCTCTTCTAGTCTAGATGGCAGTGCTTTTTTGCTAATAGAATTTTAGTTTTACAAGGTTATGAGTTTTCTATGTATTTTGAGGTCAACTCTCTTTGCCAAAATCAACGTCCATAATTCTTTCCAAATGCCTCTCTCTCTAGACTCAACTATAGGTACTTTAGATATATTATATTTTGATAAAAATACTACTTTAATCATTCTAGCACCACTTATCTCCTGTTGAAGAGCAAGCTAGTTAGTTTTTAGAGACATGATCTACAAGGTATGTTAATTATTTTAGACGTTTTAATGAAAGGTTTAATGACAACATCCTTCACTGAATATTTTTCCTGAGATGACTTTTAATGGTAATGCTCTGAATTAGGCCTTTTCCTTGAGGCTGTATTTTAATGGCTACATCTTTAATTTGGTGAAAAACAGTTTCATTTAGCAACTCTGCAATTCTGAACTGTCTCTGCTACTCCTAAATACTGTTTGCAAATTGGCTCTTTCTTTTCTGATTCCATCGTTTCCTTGTAGTACCTCTAGATGTTTATCACATATATAATCCTTTTTCCAGTTGCAGGCATTAGTTGTATTAAATGTTTCAGTACTACATATTGTAAGTCACAATTTTTCTAGTGTCCTATAATAGTTTTCTCACTGTTCTTCTGGCCAATTATTGTAGTTTTCTTGTCACTTGTAGCCTTGGTCAAAATCATATTTTAGGTTTTTCTTAAGAGTAACGCCTAATTTCCTGGGAGCAACTTCTGCAATTGTCAGTTATGGCTATAGTAAAGTTGTATGCCATAACACCCCAAAACTCAATGAGTTGAAATAATCATTTATTCCTATTTATGTGTCTGCAAGTCAGCTAGCGTAGGTCTTCTGATACCAGCAAGGTTTAACTAGATGTAATTCCCAGCTACATATATAGTTTAGTCTATTCTGCATGCCTCATTCTTCTGAGACTAGTAAGCTTCCTGGGTTCAGTTGTTCTCATGGTGGACAGAGCACAAAATGGCAAGTTCAAACACGTGAGCACATTTCCCTATTCTGCTTCAGTCATATTTTGCTAACACTTCGTTATCAAACCAAATTACATGGCCAAGCTCAAAATCAAGAGGTGGAGAAGTACATCTAGGGTTAGGATTTAGAAAGCCACATGGCAAAGATGCAGATACAAGTACAGACAAAGAATTGGGTCCTAAAATTTGATCTACCCTAGTGGGTCTGCACAGTCTTTTTTTTTTTTTTATCGTAATATTCCTAGTAAAGTCAGGTTTGTATTTCTTTTTTTTTTTTGTCAGATAGTCTACAGTGTTTATCTGTAATGACACTTATGGTAAAATCTTGATTAGCATATATTGGTTGTTGATAAGTCTGTTTAGGAAACTGTGTATAGAAAAATCTTAGTATAGGCTTTTAAACCTTTCCACTCCCTTCTAAAAGGTATTGTGAAAATTCTAGGATATTCAGGTCATGATGTCAAGCAAGTTGCCTCGATGGACATATGGCCTTCCTGGCATTATGTGAAAACAATCACCAAAAGCAGATGCCTCTCTACCAGCAACAAAGCATGTACCATTTCAAACACAACTTCATCACATTGGTAAAGGCTTGATTTTACCTGTAATTGGGGATTATGTAGATTATTTGATCAGTCATGTGTGCCTTTGATCATAGGAGTTTTTAGACTACGTGTGTGAGGTGATCATAACTCTCAAGCAGTAAATATTTGTGTAAATAATAAAATCTATGCTACTAACTAGATTTTCACGACCAACTCTTCTGAGTGTGAAAAGAGAATAACATCTCTTAACTGATAGCATACTCTGGAATGTGTGTGTATATTTTCAAATGTTGTTCGGTTCTTCTGCTAGGTGGTAGACGAACATAAGAACTTTTTTTGACCGAAAATTCTTGAATTTTGTGTAAAGTGCATTGCAAAAGGTAGTCTGGCCAGCATATTGCTTATATAAAATTCCTTTATAGGTTAGTGTTAAAGGCAAAAAGTGGAATGGATCTGCTAATGGCATTCTTATGTATCATAATATTCTTGATCAAAAAGAAATATGTTGAGTTTCCTAATGTTAAGGCCTAGAATTAGAGAATATAATAGATTTTCCTCCCTTAATCTGGCAGAGAGCTGTCAAAGTTGTAAATCACCATTTATCCAACAATCATCTATTTAGCTTCTTGGTTGTCAGGAAGAAACCAAATACAGAGACCTCCCACTTTCTCTCTACCACATCTGCTCTTGCAGGTGTAACTCATTGTGTGGGTGCAACTATAGGAGTCATTGCCAGACAGCAGTAACCTCAGCCTCCACACAGTCTGGAGGCACCTGGCCATTTACCAGTGGAGAAGGGAAAGTAGCAGTGAATGGCAATAGGGTAACACAGAGCGCCAGAATTCCCTGTTAGATCTTTGGACATATATCTGTGTAGGTTGCTAACATAAGTGGAAGCAGTGAGTTGTAGAATTGGACAGGGTGTGAAGCAGGTAGTTATAACTAAGGATGTGATTTACAGATGGCCAAGAGTGATACTAAATTATCTTCCTTTCCAAATCTAAGAATTCATTTTACCTTAGAAGTAGACATTTTGAAGAAGCATCAGATTCACTAAAGGAGCATGCTGTACATCGAATTTGTGACCTGTTATACTTATTTCAGAAACACAAAGTGCTCACAAATTAGTTGGAGGAAAGGTATCCTCTAGTCATCGAGGAATTTAATCTGGGGGCTTATAGGCACATTTCAAATAAGAAGGGTCTTGAAATTATTCTCTTAATTTCCATATCTTTTGGGTGGAAAATCCCAGTAAAACTTCAGACAGTAAGGTTTACAGGCAATAGTGGATTAATTCCTAGAAAGTCAGTAAGAGAATGAATTGAAGAACTGTGGAAGAGGGAAATCATTTCTATGTATCTCTCACAGTACTCTTCTACCTCTTGGCCTTAGGTAGCAAGAAAAGGCCTGAGACAACACGATTTATATTTTACTAAGTGCATTGGTTCCTAAGACAGGCATCTTGAATTAAGCCCCTCTTCTATTCTATACTACCTGTATGATCATGAGGAAATCTCTTTAACTCACTAAATATGGATTCTTCTCATGTTAAAATGGTTATCATAATTAGGACCTATTACATAGAGTTGTTGAGGAGATTAAATGTTTTTATAAACACAGTGACATTATTCCAGTACCTGATAAAAACTAAATACAGAAAAAATAGTACCATTCTTCCTCTTCTCCTTGTCTTTCCTCTTCTTCATTGTTTTCTTTTTTTACCTTTATCCACTCCATTCCTCTTCTTTTTCTGTATTTCTGCTACACTTCTTGCATTCTCAGAAATTTGTTTGCTTTCATAGACGTTAGATAAAATAATTATGTGACGACAGAATTTTCAAAATTGCTTAATCATAGAAAAAAATACTATTTGTTACATGCCGTTGTCATAAAAAATATATAAATATTCCTGTGCAATTTAGTAAAAAGTTCTTGAGGAAAAAAGTAATTATGTGATTAGCACACAAAATTAAACCCTAGAGGAAAAGTAGTAAAGACAATACTCATCTGAAAGTTGGACACACAAACCTAGGGATTTACATATAAGCCTGAACAAGTCTTAATATCTATAAAACGGTCTGGGTTTTTTGCAGGCCTATAAGTAGCATTGGAACTTCAGCAAACAATTGAAGTTGTAGAGCAACTTAGTGTAAATGGCTTAGCATTGCTTGGAATTTCAGTTATACATCCTTCTATTTAGAACACAGCTTGCAAAGAAATCACAACTTTAAATAACCCTTGGTCTTGATCTATTGCCCACTCTTATTCTAATGGCTCTATTATTTAAGCAATTAGAGAGATGGTTTTGAAAAAATGCTGGACCATGTTCCCAATCCCACAAGTGTAAATTACAGCTAGTCTACTTTGTCTTTTCCCTAATTTTGGTGTATGAATGAAATAAGCATATATTTTATTAATATTCAATTTCATTAAGTGCATATTTGATGGTGCTATGAGTAAAAGAGACTATTATGTCGTGCTTTCTACTTTATGTAGAAATGAGACTGTAGATATGATACTGTAAAGGCTATCTATAAAGAAAAGAGTTAATTGTATAGAACTTTAAATAACTCAGGGTTTTATTTTCCCATATTACAAAATGTCAGAAGGTAGGCATGTGCTGACATTTATATCGACTGATCGTGGCTATCAGAGCCCAAGACTAAGATCTTAGCTTTACCTTCAAAATGTGAAGAAAGTAAAGAGAGAGGCTATAGCTCTGGCCCTCATCTTAGTATTTAAAGCAGGAAGAAAGGAAAGGAGCAAAAGAAAAAAAGGAAGAAGCAAACTTATACTAGCTGACTCTTCTTCGGTTTTAAGATTCTTTCCTAGAAACTCTGTCCAATGACTTTTTCTCATATGTCATTTGGTAGAACTCAGTCACATGGTTATTTCTGTCTATAAGGATGGTTGGAAAATATACATTTTTAGAGGTTTTGGTGCTTACAACAAAGCTGGAGTTTAATTAGTAAGGAACAAAGTAAGACTATTTACAATGTAGGCCAAAAGCAAGTATCTCATGCAGTTCACATTTTGGCTCTCCAATATCCATACACTACATTTGTACATACATGATACCTTCCCATGCATGAGGCATACTTCCCACCTCCTCAAAGGAAATAACTAAAAAGCTTTATCCAATTCATACCCAGGTCAAAGTATAGGGTATCTAGGTGATGTTTAATTTTTCTGATCAAGTCTAGATATGATTCTTTGTGGTTTGATTATATCAAACTAAATTACAAGTTACCTCCTCTGTACATATTTGAAAAATGATGCCGGAGCACAAGAAAAATAAAACTAAACTACCATTAATAATGGAGGATAATGGCAAATGCACAGCACTTCTTGGTCTCTAGCCATTATAAATTCTGCTTGAAAGAAGTACAAAGGATCTCCTTCCTTTTCAGTGCAGAAATTTTCTAGGTTTGACAATCTGACAACCCCTTATTCTACATACTAAGAATATCTGCCTTAAATATTGTACTCAAAGACTATAATTAAACAGGGTTTTGGGAAGAATGGCCTTCACAGAGATTGAGCAGTTTTAGAAGTCTATCCCCTGCTGGTGCCAGTATAGGGACATGGAATATATTCCCCTTGTTAAAATCACTGGTTCTTTGGTCTCAACAGAAGAGTTTGTATCAGATTAACAGCCCCAACTAGTATAAATCTAAAACATGGATTAAAAAAGAAACAATAAACTTTAGAATTTGAGGGACCAACATCTAACAGGAAAGAGAAGCACACTGAGGTTTGGCCACATTTCCTCCAGGATATCAGCAAATTTCTTGTGCTGTAAAGAGAATACCAGTGTCTAGACATCCAGGTGCTTGTGGGAGTTTCACTGGGTTTTGGAAGCAAAAACCGGAACAGAAATGCCAAATCCTGAAGAAGAGAGAATCATAGATGTGAACCTGAAATTATTCAATTTCTCCTCCTCTAAGTATTTGTCAAACCCTAAGCTTCCAATGCAATAAACAAAATACTAAAAAAAGAGAAATAAATAAAAAAAGCAAAATGCAGGAAGCTGAAGGCCTAAGCAGAGATTTGACAGTTTCATGGAAGTAGGGTGACAAAAGTCAGTCTATGACTCAAGAAGCAGAGAGATTTTGTTTAAAACCCTGGAATTTCAACTGCAACCTTGGAATAGCCATGCCCTAGGTGTAAATTATTCCCAGGAGGAAGAACAAACAAGAAACAGTCTAACTCTAAGGAAGCCCAAAGCTAACTCTCAACTGGATCAGAGTAATCTGCATGTAACCTTTCCCTCTGCCAGGAGAAAATCAAATCATTTTAAATGAATGAAGAATATAACATCATTCAGGGCCTCTACAATTTCAATATACAATGTCAGGAATTCTATAAAAAATGCTAGGCATGCTAATAAAAAATGGTTCCAAGAGGCTCCATGAACTTGTATGAATCTGATATTAGCCCATGCATTACAACTTTATTTTAAATTATTGGGTTTTGCAGTTAAAAGATTCACATGAGGTTCATGCATCTTTTCCTTATGTTTTATTGGTTTTATAAATGTCCTAACCAATATAGCATTTTGTTTCAAATTTCATACTTAGTAGTCATTTTTTTCATCATATCTATATGTATCACATAAACTTTCTAGATTTTTAAATTTGTTTTTCCCTGCTGTTCAATCTTCTCTTAAGAGTGTAAGAAAGACAGTCTTAAATCGTTGAAGCCACCCTCCCTAATTCTCTGGCAGCAGTCTCTGGGTGTGGAGAGAAAATTTATGTGATTTGGAGAGGGTGAGTGCAGCGATTGTGAGACTTTGCATTGAACTCAGTTCTTCCCTGTCACAGCAGAAGACAAAACTGGGGTAAACTCAGCCAATGTTTACCCATGGAAGGAGCATTTAAATGGGCCCTATCCAGAGAGAAATGGCCCATCCCAGCAGTTGGAACTTGAGTTCTAGCAGGCCTCACAACCATGGGCTAACGTGCTCTGGGACCCTATATATATTTGAAAGGCAGTCTAGGCCACAAGGACTGCAACTCCTATGCAAGTCTGAGTGCTGAGCTGGGCTCAGAACCAGTGAAACCGGGGGGCATGCAACTTACTGAGACACCAGCCAGGGTAAGAGAGTGCTTGTCCCACCCCTCCCCAAGCCTCAGGCAGCACAGATCATGGCTCCAAAAGAGGCACCTTCCCTCTGCTTGAGAAGAGGAAGGGGGAAAGAAAAGAGGACTTTGTCTTTCATCTTGGAAACCAGCTTAGCCACAGTAGGATAGAGCACTGATCAAAGTCATGTGTCCTGTGTTCCAGGCCCTAGCTCTGGGATGACATTTCTAGACACACCTTAGACTAAAAGGAAATCTGCTGCCTTGAAAGGAAGGACCCAGTCTGGGCAGGATCCATCACTTGCTTAATAAAGAGCCCTTTGGCCCTGAATAATCAGCAATGATACCTAGGTAGTATGCCATGGTCCTTTGGTGAGATTCTGAGTCATGCTGACGTCGAGTGAGACCCAACACATTCCCAGATTTTGTTGCTATGGTGAGAGACTCCTTTGGTTCGAGAAAAGCAGAGGTAAAAATAAAAGGGACTTTGTATTGTACCTTAGAATCCAGCTCAGCAACAGGTGGGTAGAGTACCAAGTGGACTCTTGGGTTCCTCAATTCTAGGCCTTGGTTCTTGGATAGCATTTCTGGACCAGGCCTGGGCCAAAGGGGAGTTCACTGCCCTGAAGGGTGAGTCCCAGGCCTAATAGCATTCACCACAATCTGACTAAAGAGCCACTGGGCCTGAAATGAATGTCAGTGGTAGCCTGGCAGTACGCCCCATGGGCCTTTGGTGGTGGTGGCCACAGAGTGATATCCTCTGCCTGTGGAAAGGAGAGGAAACAGTGGGAAGGACTAAGTCTCATAGTTTGAGTGCCAACTCAATCACAGTACAATAGAACCCCAGGTAGACTTCTAAGAATTTGACTCCAGCCTGTGGCTTCTATATGAAATCTCTAAACCAGCCCAGAGCCTCAGGGAACTTGCTCTCTTGAAGAAAAGAACACAAGCCTGACTGGCTTCACCATAAGCTGACTGTAGAGCCTCAGGGCCTCAAGAGAACATAGGTGGTAGCTGGGTAGTAGTTACAGTGGGCCTTGGCAAGAGAGACCCAATGCTGTGCTGGCTTCAGGTCTGACAAAGAACAGTCGTAATGGTGGTGGCCACCGGGGTGTTTGCTGTCATGCCCTCCCAACTCCAGACAGCTCAGCAAAGACAGACAGTCCATGAGTTTGGAAGCAAGTAAGGGAAAAAAAAAGTCTCTGCCTGGTAATCTGGATAATTTTTTCAGATCTCATGTAAGACCACTAAAGTGGTAACTCTACAAATCTGCAAGAAACTCACTGTTACTGGGATTCAGGTGCCCCCTAGTGTAGACATGGCTTAGATTACAATACTCCAGTCCTTTTGAATACCTGGGAAACCTTCCCAAAGATGTCCAACAAGCCCAGACTGTGAAGACTAAAATAAATACCTAATTCTTCATTGCCCAGACACTGAAGAACATCTACAAGTACCACCACTAACCAGGAAAACATGACCTTATCAAACATCAGGTCTGTCCTACAAGATATGCTAAAGAGCATACTTTAATTAGAAAGAAAAGGACATTAATGAGCAATAAGAAATCATCTGAAGGTACAAAACTCACTGGTAATAGTAAGTACCCAGAAAAACACAGAATATTATAACACTGTAACTGTGTTGTGTAAACTACTCTTACTTTAAGTAGAAAGAGTAAATGATAAGCCAATCAAAAACAGTAACTACAACTTTTCAAGACACAGACAGTATAACAAGATATAATAAAAACAATAAAAAGTTTGAAAGTGGGGTGATGAGGTTAAGGGTTAGAGTTTTTATATAGTTTTCTTTTTGCTGCTTGTTTCTGTGTGCAATCAGTGTTAAGTTGTTATCAGTTTAAAATAATGGATTATGAGACAGTATTTGCAAGCTTCTTGGTAACATCAAATCAAAAAACATACAATGAATACACAAAGAATAAAAAGTAATAAATTAAAGCATATCACCAGAGAAAATCACCTTCACTAAAAGGGAGATAGGAAAGGAGGAAAGAAGACAACCACATAACAACCAGAAAACAAATAACAAAATGGAAGGAGTAAGTCCCTACCAATCAATAACAACATTGAAGGTAAATAGAATAAACGCTCCAATCAAAAGACATAGTGTAGCTGAATAAATGGAAAAAAACAAAGACGCAATGATCTGTTGCATCAATGTGCAACATTGCATTGTGAAGGTGCAAGAAATATACTTCACCTATAAAGATACATGCGACTGAAAATAAAAAGATAAAAAAAATTCTATGCCAATGAAAACCAAAAAAGATGGGGAGTAGCTATATTTATATCAAACAAAATAGATTTCAAGACAAAAACTACAAGAAGAGACAAAGAAGGGCACTATATAATGATAAAAAGGTGAATTCATCAAGGGAATACTACAATTGTAAATATACACACACCCAATAATGGAGTCTCCAGGTATATAAAGCAAATATTACTATAACTAAAGAAAGAGGTAGACAACAATAGAGTAATAGCTGTAAATTTCAACATCCCACCTTCAGGATTTTTCAGATCTTCCAGACAGAAAATCAAAAAAGAAACATCTGACTTAATCTGCACTATGGAACAAATGAACCTAATCGCTATATACAGAATTTTTTTTTTATCCAATGACTGTAGAGTACACATTCTTCTCTTAAGCAAATGTATTATTCTAAAAAATAAACCATGTGCTAGGTCACAAGATGAGTCTTAAAACATTCAAAACAATTGAAATAATATCAAGAATCTTCTCTGACCACAGTGGAATAAAACTAGAAATCAATAATAAAAGAAATGTTAGAAACTATAAAAACACATGAAAATTAAATAATGTGCTCCTGAATGATCAGTGAGTCAATAAAGAAATTAAAAAGAAAATTAAAAACTTTCTTGAAATAAATGATAATGGAAACACAACATACTAAAATCTCTAGGATAGAGTGAAAGCAGTACTAAGAGGGAAATGTATAGCTTTAAATGCCTAAACCAAAAAAGAAGAAAAACATAAATGAAATAATATAATGATGCATCTAAAAGAACTAGAAAAACAAGAGCAGACCAAGCCCAAAATTTGGAGAAGAAAATAAATAACAGACATCAGAGCAGAAATAAATAAAATTGAAATGAATAAAATAATACAAAAGATCATTAAAACAAAATGTAGATTTTTTGAAAAGATAAAAAAATTGACAAACTTTTAGCCAGACTAACAGAAAAAAGGGGAGAAGACCCAAATAAATAAAATCAGAGATGAAAAAGCAGATATCACAACTGATATCACTGAAATTCAAAGGATCATTACATGCTACAATGGGCAAATACATGCCAATAAATTGGAAGATCAAGAAGTAATGAATAAATTCCTAGACACATACAACCTACCAAGACTGAACCGTGAACAAATCCAAAATCTGAACAGATTAATAACAAGTGATAAGACTAAAACTGTAATAAAGAGTATCCAAGCAAAGAAAAGCCCTGGTCCTGATGGCTTCACTGTTGAATTCTACCAAACATCTAAGGAAGAATTAATACCAGTGCTACTCTAACTATTGCAAAAATATAGAGGAAGAGAAAAAACTTCTACAAGGCCAGTCTTAGCCTGATACCAATGCCAGAAAAAGATACATTAGAAAAAGAAAACTACAGGCCAATATTTCTAATGAATATTAATTCAAAAGTCCTCAACAAAATACTAGCAAACCTAATTCAGCAATACATTTAAAAAGATCATCATCATGATCAATTGAAATTTATTACAGGGATTCAAGGATGGCTCAACATATGCAAATCAATCAATGTGATACATCATATCAATAGAATAAAGGATAAAATCGATATGGTCATTTCCATTGATGGTGAAAAAGAACTTTATAAAATTCAACATGTCTTCATGATAAAAACCCTCAAAAACTGGGTATACATGGAACATACCTCAACACACAAAAAGCTGTATACAACAGACCCATGGCTAGTATCATACTGAATGGGGAAAAAATGGAAAGCTTTTCCTCTAAGACCTGGAACAAGGCAGGGATACTCACTTTCACCACTGTTATTGAACACAGTACTGGAAGTCCCAGCTAGAGCAATCAGACAAGAGAAAGAAATAAAGGGCATGTTTACCCATGGAAGGAGCATTTAAATGGGCCCTATCCAGAGAGAAATGGCCCATCCCAGTGGTTGGAACTTGAGTTCCAGCAAGCCTCACAACCATTTTAGAGATATCTTACTTCTTTGAATATGTTAATTCCTAGATTTTTAGTTTTATTTGTAACTATTGTAAATGGGATTACAATGGGATGAATAAGACCGTGACTGTAGTCAACAATAATTTAACTGTACATTTTTAAATAATGTAAGAGTATAATTCAATTGTTTGTAACACAAAATATAAATGTTCAGGGTGATAAATATCTCATTTACTCTATTGTCATTTTTATGCATTGCATGCCTGTATCAAAATAGCTCATGTAATCCATAAATATATATACCTTCTATGTACTCACAAATATTAAACATTACAAATTTAAAAAATAGCATGCTTTACCTTCTTTCTGATTTCTCCTTTTTAGGTTTTCTGTTTTTATAAGTTTTACCTTTATAGTGGAATATCCTTACAAGAAAAAGAAAGTAAAAATTAGGAGTGATATAAAATTATTCTAACCTACTATCAAAAACTATCAATAACTATTTCTAGTTATATTATCTATAAATGACGATGATTAATTTAGGACCAAACAAGTATCTCTATTGTTGTTCATTTCATTATATGCAAATGTAATTTCATAAAGATCCTGTGATTTTAGTTACTTGTGAATTTACTTTTGAAAAATTTACAAGTATATACTATAGTTATCTACCAACTAAGAAATAATTCTCTTTGGGGTTTATCAAGCATTTCTAGATACCACATTGTCATAAATTTTACTAGAGGTAACAATTTTCTCATTGCACTTTAATGTCCTGAGTGAATCATTCTATAGCATAAACAATGTTCTCCCATTACACTGTTAAAACTGAATTAAGTATCAGAGGCGTACAGTACTCTCCACAAAATGCCATTTTAACAGGGTTTAACTGCAACACACTTAGGTAAATCATTTTAATATATAACTGCAATAGTGCTGAACATTCAGTAATACAAACAATACTTGGTAACTTAAACCACACACAGCAAAATTGAAAGTAGATTTTTTTGAATGCACTTTATTCTTTTAAAAAGCAAAATCTATCAGTTTGCATAGTAAGAAAAGACATGAATGTCTGAGCATAAAATCAAAAAATGATATAAACACTAACTTTTGCCAGAAGAGAGAAGTCATTAGAGATACAACGATTATACACATACATCACCATACATCACTTAAGCACTTCCTACATCTGCAGTAGCATTGCTTTCTAAATGGTTCCTGCCATAACTCAGTCACACTGATGAGGCACATACCTTCTCCTTGAGCCTACACTATGCAGAAACTCATAAGTCATTCTGATCATGACAGAAAAAGAAATGCCTCTGTCCAAAGAACTCATGATTAACAATTCATGCAGCCACTGCTTTTCCAGGTAGATTTTTCATAAGTATTACAAATACTTATTCAGAAAATCTGCATATAGGTTGCCATTTTTAATTACCAAGCCAACCAAACAAGCAAAAATAATAAGTAACCAAATAAATTGCTGTGTGAAACATACAACTGACACAACTTATTTATTTACTTATTTTTAGTGTACTTTTCCCTGTTTTCACAGATCTAATTACAGGATAAGGGATAGTGATTCAGAGGTGGTAGCTGGACACTGAGCAAGATTCACTACTCATTTCTTCAGAAACACAATGCTTATTCCCTTTTTAAAGCATTTTTACATGATGTTTAGGTATAGTTTTGTATCACCTTCCCAAACATATGAGAATATTGTATTTTTAGAATAATCAGAAAATTCTACAGTAAAATTAGAGATTTGCTATATTATTTCCAAGAAGAATATGACACACTTTCAATAAATATCTCTCTCACAAAGAAAAACCAAGATTACAGAGGTGAAGTAAAACATACATTATTTCACTGGTTTATGAGTACCTTCTATACACATGGCCTCAAAGTATTGTGTGTGTGTATATATATATGTGTGTGTGTGTGTGTGTGTCTGTGTGTGTGTATAGAAATTTTATTTTTACAGTGAGCTCAACAGTCATGATTACAGTTAGTAGTTATTTCTGTGTTGATTTATGGATAATTTTTATTTTCTTTATTAAATTTACTACCATTATTCATCTTTATAAAATGAACACATGTAATTAGAAAAATATTTGAAATATTACTCAAACAAAAATACTTATTTGTTACACTTTTTACTGCAGTGAGATCAACTGATTTTAGCTTATATATATGAGTGAGAACATGTGGTATTTTAACTTTCCATTCCTGGCTTAATTCACTTAACATACCATCCTCCAGTTCCATCTACGTTGCCACAAATGACAGAATTTTATTCTTTAATAAGACTGAATAATATTTTATGGTGTATATAAGTCGTATTTTCTTTATTCATTTATCTGTTTTTGGACAGCTATGTTGATCCCATATCTTGGCTACTGTGAATAGTGCTGCAATAAACACGAGGTTGCAGGTATCTCTTCAATATACTGATTTATTCTCCTTTGGATAAATACCCAGAAGTAAGATTGTTGAATCATACAGTAGTTCTATTAATATTTTTACTTTTTTGAAGAACCTCCATTCTGTTCTCCATAGTTGTACTAGCTTACATTATCATCAGAAGTCTATGAGTTCCCCTTACTCTGCATTCTCACCAGCATTTGCTGTTTTTTATCTTTTTCATAGTGGCCACCCTAACTGGGGTGAAATGTTAACTCATGGTGGTTTTGACTTGCATTTCCTTGATGATTAGGATGTTGTGCCGTTTATATATTTCTTGGCTATTTGTGTATCTTTTTCTGAGAAATGTTTATTCACATTATTTGACCATTTTTTAATCAGGGGAATGTTTGGATTTTTGCTGTTGAGGTGTTTGAGTTTCTTGTATATTCTGGATAGTAACCCCCTATTGGATAAATAGTTTGCAAATATTTTCTCCCATTCTGTCAGTTGCCTATTACTCTGTTGTTTCCTTTGCTGTGCAGAAGGTTTGTAGTTTGATAGGGTCCCAATTGTTTATTTTTGCTTTCATTGTTTGTGCTTTTGAGGTGTTATTCATAAAAATTTTCCCAGACCAATGTCCAGAAATCCCCTATGTTTTATTACAGTAGTTTTATAGTTTCAAATCTTACATTTAGGTCTTTGATCCATTCTGAGTTGATTTTTGCATAGCATGGGAGGTAGACGTCTACTTTCATTCTTCTGGATACCCAGTTTTCCCACCATCATTGCCTGGAGAGATTTCCTTTCTCCAATTAGTATTCTTGGTACCTTTTCAAATATCAGTTGGCTGCAGATATGTGGATTAATTTCTGGCTTCTCTAGTCTCTTTCATTGGTCCATGTGTCTGCTTTTTATGCCAGTATCACACTGTTTTGGTTACTACAGCTTTGTGGTATATTTTGAAGTCTGGTAGTACGATTGATGCCTTCAGCTTTGTTCTTTTCTGTTCAAGATTGTTCTGGATCTTTGGGGTCTTTTGTGGTTTCAACAAATTTTTAGGTGTGTGTGTGTGAAGAATGTCATTGTTATTTTTAAAGAGATTGCATTGAATCTGTAGACTGCTTTGGGCAGAGCTGGAAAATGCAGGGAAATGGGGTTATAGGGAGGGATTTGTTAAAGGATACAAAATTTGGGTCAATAGAGGAATAAGTTCTACTGGTCTATACCATTGTAGAATGACTATAGTTAACAATAATATGTTATATAGTTTCAAATAGCTATCAAATATATTATATAGTTTCAAACAGGACATTGAATATTCCCAAAGAAATGATAAATGCTAGAGTTGGTGGATATGCAATTACCCTGGTCACATTACTATTCATTATATGTATCAAAATATCACTATGTACCCCATAAATATATGCAATTATTATTTGTAAATTAAAAAATTATTTTGCCTAGCAAGTTAATTTAAAAACCTTCCTCAAAATTCAAAAATGAAATGGAAAGACAAGCTTTAAAATTTCCCACTCATATCCTCTGGGTGAAAATGTAAAATCAGTGTGCCTCTTTAAGGGGTCTTTTGTCAATGTCTATTACAAGGAAAAATAGAATAGCTGGGTCAAAAGCTATTCTACTTTTAGAAATCTGTGTATTCTCACAAGTGTGCAAAGAGACATGTATAAGAACGTTCAGTGAAGCATTGTCGATTTTACATTAAAAACAGCTAAATGTCTCTCAAAGAGTTATCAGGGAAATAAATCACAGTAAATAGATGTAGTGGAATATTATGCAGCAATTTAAAGAATAATGTGGATATGTAAGTGCTTACATGGAAAGCATCCAGGTAATACTATTTTAGAAAGCCGGCTAGAGAAAAATGCATATTAAAATGAATTTTAGTATGTACACGTGAAAAATTCATATTAAAATGAATTAATATAGTATGATCCAGCAATTTAACATCTGGGTATACAGCCAAAAGAATCAAAAGCAGGGTCTTGAAGAAGTATTTGTACACCATGATCATAACTTCATTTACAATAAATCCAAAGGTGAAAGCACCCCAAATATCCATTCACAGATGAAGGAACAAAAAAAGTGGTATACCATTAAAATGGGATATTATTCAGCCTTTAAAAAGGAGGAAATTCTGACACATGCTACAGCGTAGACGAACATTGAGGACGCTATGCTAAATAAGATAAACAAGTCACAAAAAGACAAATACAGTATGTTTCCACATATATGAGGTACTTAGAGTAATCAAAATCATAGAGACAGAAGATAGAATGGTCCTGGCTAGGAGCTGAGAGGAGGAGGAAATGGAGAGTTGTTGTTTTATAGGTACAGACTTTCAGTTTTGCAAAATGAAAAAGTTCTGGAGATTGGTTGCACAACAGTGTGAACATAACCACTACTGAAGTACACACTTAAAATGGCTAGGATGGCAATTTTATGTTTATTTTATCATAACTTAATATTTTTAATAAAAATATTTATTTGCACAACAATAATTTTAGAGTTTTAAATTTAGATTTAGTAAATATATATTTGTATGTATCTGCTTCTTACATATGGATATATCTTTCTTCTTTATATAAAACCAAATTGGCTTGGAAAGTTGCTTGAATAATGTTTCACAAAAATATAATGAGAAAGAATATAATATTCATAGCAGTCAATATTAACTAGAGAAGAGCATTGCAAAGAGATGATGCATTATATAGAAGTGAAAGAAGATGCAAAACTTGAAGAGAATTTTAAAGAATAAATAGATCATATTTTCTAAGTTTTACTCTGCCTAATGGCATTAAATTACTCTTGGCTTTCCCTCTAGGACATAAGATACTATGCTAAAATAGGCTGTATATCTAGAAAAGTTTTTTGTACAGATAAAACCATCTGGACATTAATTTGCCTTGAATTTTCTGTGAGGTGCTGAGGGCAAAGCAGCAGATGTCATCAATAAGCTATGCAGAGACAATGAAATCATGTCCTCTTACCTTAATATATAAAACAAAGAGGGGAAACGGCATACATAAACAGAAGGAGGTTTAAATGCCCTCAAAATATTAATCCAAAAGTGAAGATTATTTGATTGAGCTTTAGATTTTGCATTTATTTCTACAAAATTCACTAAAATTGAGAAATATCTATTAAATGGAAACAAGTTGTATTGATTTCTATTGGAACACATCCAGAGTGGGCCACCCAAATGTGGACATTATTATTATTAATAATGTCACATATTAATTATGACAATCAAATATTTTTAACACCTTTCTTTTAAATAAGGCAGTGATTTCCAACTAGGAGTGACTTTGCCCCCCAGGGACAATTGCCAAGCCAACATTTTTGGTTGTCACCACTGAGGGATTCTACTGGGATCTACGGGGTAAAAGCCAGGGATGCTGCAAAACATCCTACAAAGCACAGGACATCTTCCTACAATAAGAATCTTCCAGCCCAAAATGTTAATAGTGCCAAGGTTCAGAAACCATGTTTCAATAAAAATAATGCACTTAAATTATTTTAAATTGAATGTGATCATAGCACAATCCAGAGTTTTTAAGTTATAAGAATTAGAAAGATTGACATTGTTATAAAAACATAAAACAAGGAAATTGCAGAATTCCTTCTACAGAAACAATGAGTTACAAAAATGGGTACAGGTCCTATATAGCACTGATACTTTAGACATATAATTTTGTGCTTCTAATCTTTTAGAATACCTTTTAAAATACTCTTTTCTCAATAAATTCATGTGTGTATGTGTGTGCATGTGTGTGCATATGTGTGTGAGTCAATATACAACTATGATTTTATAGTGAAGAGATACTTTTGCTCTTAAGAGAAATTGGACCCTAAGAAAAGCCTAAAAGAGGCAAAGATTTTTAAATGCATATAAAATCCACAGCTACTTAGACATAAATATACAAGAAGTGAGGATGAGAAATCTGTACTCCTCAGGGAGAGTTAAAGGACAGTTAACCTTCTAAAGTTAATGACATGGAAAATTCTGGGACATAGAATTTAGGCTTTGGACTATCTGACTGAAATCTATCACTTATCTATATCAGATAAATATTCAGTGAAAGATTTAAAATAATGGCAAAAGTTATTGTCATTTTGTCTTCTACATGATGATTAATTTCTATCAATAATACCAAGAATCATAGGGTCTAAAAGGATTGATTTTAGAGTTGGCTGGTTTCATTCTTCTACTACCATTTCATTGACTTCTACTACAGCTATCTGATTGCTATTAGTCTTCTTAATTATTTACTAAGAATCAAGGAGTATCCAGAAAAATTACCTATATCTTCTTTACAAAGATTACCTCCTCATGCCAGAGAAACTGGAAGTGCTATTAAGCATTGTGAGTGAAATACATCAGATAAGTCTCAATCAATTTAGAAAGTTTATTTTGCAAAAGTTAAGGACGTGCCTGTGACACAGCCTCAGGGGGTGCCTAAGGTGGTTGAGGCACAGCATGGCGTTATACATTGTAGGGAGACATAATACACCAATCCATATATGTAAGATATACACATTGGTTTGGTGTGGAGAGCCGGGACAACTCGAAGGTTTGGGGGGAGGGTGGGGAGGTGTCATCTTGGTCATAGGTAGATAAGAGACAAATGGTTGCATTCTTTTGAGTCTCTGATTAGCCTTTTACTAAATACACAATTTACATGTGAGAGCAGGGTAGAGGAAACATCATTTATGCCTTAGTCTGGCTCAGTGAATCTGCAGTTTTACATAAACAATACGGCAGTGGAAACGATCAGATATCCATTCCTCTCAGGTCAGCAGAGGGATGACTATGAGTTCTGCCCTTTGTCCTGAACTCGTGATGATAAGCTATCAATTTACATTGCCAGACTGAAATTCAACAGAAGTGTTTTAGGTAAAAACTTTGATGCCCACAAGGAATTTCTTTGTGGGCAAATTGTGAGAGAGGTATGTAGCTTTTTTTTCTTTATAGCTAAGCTATTTTACTTAGGAATAAAATGGGAAGCAGGTTTGTCTGACACAGTTCCCAGGTTGACTTTTCCTTTTGGTTCAGTGATTTGGGGGTCTTGAGGTTTATTTTCCTTTCACAGTACATCATCTGGGAAAACATAAAGATTATGTTGTATGAGGCATTTGAAACATTGCTAAGTAATATTTTGCCAATTCATGACTTTGTAGTAGGAGGTTTTCAGAAAGGAAACAGCTCCTTCTTATCAACCTGTTTCAATTAATTATACAGGTGTCAATCAATACCGTATAAGCCATTTGTTTTTTAATTTATTATACATAATGCTAGGACAAAAATATTTAGTGTTATTCATACTTGATTGATTAAAATAAATTTCAATTTAAAATATATGGTTTTAAAACAATAAGAAGCATTTGCTGCATCGATTTCAAAAATGTGATTAAGAACATTAATCACAGGAGAGTAGTTGCTGAACACAGTCTGGATCAAGCAAGAGCCAATGCAAGAGTCTCATTTCAATTAGGGAACAAAAAGCAGCAGAATCTCTATATAGTAGTCTCACAGAGCTTCTTTATTATTTTGTATTTTCTTTATGTTTGTGTTGTTGTCATCAGGTGACCCAGATATTTTCAAGAACTATTTATACTTTTAAGTGTGAGGTCAGTCAGAACCTGAAGATTTCAACAAGTTGTCATGTTGGAATGGAACAAAGAATTTTTATTTAATGTAGACTATTATGGTGAAAATATTCTTAATTAAAATGTATGTGCATTTTACCTGGTGATTTAATAGACTATTCAAAAAGTGCTAATATTTGGTGAATTCTTAGCTGTCACACATGTTGTAGTGTTTCCTGAGTACTGAAAAATCGTACAGTGGTGGAGAGCATGTTTAATACTGTGGGGGGTAGTAAATAAACCAATGAACTCAGACACTGCTAGGAGTGAAAAAAAAAGACTACCTATGCCAAGTCTCCCAATAGCATGCAGCGTCTCTTATCCAAATGCAGGGACTGAGAGCCATTCATCCCACCTCCTCAGGTCCTCCATGCATCACTGCTGTCAGAGAGATTCCAGCTCCTCTCCAATGCTCATCAAAGATATGAGAGAGATGAATGCATATAACAGAAGGAGTGTGGATAACAGATACCTAAGAGAGAATGAGAATTGGAAAAGACCGACTGAACAGACAAGGGAGCTAAATACAGGTGAGTGTTTGGTAGGGAGGTCAGAGTAAGAATTAGAGAGTGAGATAATTTGAAAGAATTTAAGGCTGCAGGACACTTGCAGAGAGAATGCAAGAGGATTCAATAAATGCACGCTATAGGCTATAAGTTTTCCTTACATGGACTTGGGGAGATGAAAGTATATATTTTACTTCTAGGTTATATATAGTATTTCTCTGAATTCAATGTTGCAGTAGGATTGAAATACAAGGGGTCCCAGAATTAATTCAGATATATTTATGCCTATTTAATTATTTAAATTTTGAAAATTAGATAGCCATGTCCTTGCATTAAAATGGCCATTTAGCTAGAAGTCTATTACTTATATATTTCTAAAGTAACAGGAAGTATTAACCAAAGTCATTAGAAAAAAATATGTGTGACCCTGAATCATATAAATAGTTTCCTAAATATCCCGTATTTTTTGTGTTACAACAGCCAATATTTTGTGCTGATAAAAAAAAAGCACATGACTCTTATTTAACTGTGAGAATCTAAATAAATTTAACACCATGGTATAAAATTCTCAGGAAAGAAGAATAGTTGTTATAATTTTTTTGTGTTATAAATTTTTTTATTATGTGTTATAATTTTTTTTCTGAATTTAGAGTGTAATTTTTCTTTGTTCCTTCTGTTGGTTCAAACTGCATTGACTATCAATCTAGTAAGTTCCTATTACAAACTGGTTTGGGTTTCATGAAGGAGAATTATCCCCAAGAATATGTAACATGATGTACAAAAAAATATGGCTCACAACAAATATGTTCCCAAAGACACCCGCGCTCCTATGCTGAGTCAGAATACTAATGTCCTTTGAGCCACAGCCAAAAATTCTAAGTGTGTGGTTTTAGTGTGCTTTTTTGCAAAGCTCAAAGCTTGTTGTCTAAAAAATGCAAATAAGTATTATTATAAAAGATCAAATGGAAATTGCTATGGGCTGAATCGTGACCACCAAAATTCATATGTTAAAGCTTTAACCTTCAATGTGACTGTACTGTATTTGGAGATAGTGTTTTCAGGAAGTAATTATGTTTAAATGAAGTCATCAGGGAGGAGCCCTAATTTGATAGCATTAGTGCCCTTATAAGGAGAGAGATACCAGAGCTCTCTACCCTATGAGAACACATAGAGAAGGCAGCCCTCTATAAGCCAAGAAGAGAGCCTTCACCAGAGCCCAAAAAGCTAGTACCTTGATTATGCACTTCCCAGCCTCCAGACTGTGAGAAAATTATTTTCTGTTTTTAAACCACCCAGACTATTGGGTTTTGTTATGCCAGCCTGAGCTAATACAGAAATGTATACAAGTGCCACTGCCGCTTTCCAGATTGAAAATTGAAGGAAATTTTTAGATGTGTATCCAAAGAAAGATATTGGAAAATAACTTAACACATTATATACAATATAAAGATATTTTAGCAAGGTATGTCAAAATGGTCAACATTTTCATAATTTGTACTTTTCAATTTTTTCTTTTATGGATCATGCTTTTGGTTTTGTATTTGAAAACTCATTGCCAATCCAGGCATGGTGGTGCAACTGTAGTCCTAAATGCCAGGGAGGTTGAGACAAGAGGATCACTTGAACCCAGGAATTTGAGGTACAATGAGTTGTAATTGTGAGAACTGCACTCCAGCCAGGGTGACAGAGAGAGACCTTGTCTCTAAAACAAATAATTAATTAATTAACCGAAAATAAAAATAAAAACTCATTGCCAAACCCTGTCACCTATATTGTCTCCTATGTTTTCTTCTAGAAGTATTAGAACTTTGAGTTGTACACTAATCAATGATCCATTTTGAGTTAATTTATGTGCAATATATTAAATTTGTGCCTAGATACATTTTCATATGGATATCCAATAGTTTTAGTATCATTTGTTGAAAAAACTATTCTTTCTAAATGTAATTGCCTTTGCTTCCTTGTTGAAGATTTATTGACTATATTTGTAGTCTATTTCTAGGCTCTTTATTCTGTTCCATGTCTATGTGCCTATTATTTTTCCAATCCCATACAGCCTTGATTATTTTAGCTGTATAGCAAATCTTGAAATTGGGTTTTCAAACTTTATTGCTTTCATACATTATAGTACAGCTATTTTAGATCTTTTATCTTTCCATATAAACTTAGATTCCTTTTTTCAATATGATGAAATAGCTTACAGAATTTTGATTGAGGGTGTCTTGCATCTATAAATCAAGTTGAAAAAAATTATATTAAAATATTGAGTTTTCCAATCCATGAACACAAAATATCTCCATTTATTTATATTTCCTTCAATTTCTTTAGAGTTTTATAGTTTTCCACATATAGGTTCTACACATACTTTGTTGGATTTGTACCTAATTATTTCATTTTTATGTGCAATTATGAATGGCTATTATAAATTTTGTATCTCAAATTACCACTGTTTATTGCTATAAAGTAAAACAATCGCCTTTCATATAATAACTTTGTATCCTGTGACCTCGCTATACTCACAGATTTGTTTCAGGAGGGGTTTGTTTTGCTTTTTTGTTTCATTCTTTGGAATTTTCCACATAGACAATCATGTCATTTGTAAGCAAAGACAGATTTAGTCCTTCTTTGAAATCTGTATTCTTTGTATTTATTTCCCTTTCTTGTCTTATTGAACTTGCTAGGACTTCCAGTATGCTATTAAATACCAGTAGTAAAACAGGACTTAACTTGGCTCGTATTAAGATATGGCCAAATATTCAGTTTCTCAGCAGTAAGTATGATGTTCACTGTAGGATTTTTTTGTAGATATTCTTTATAAAGATGAAGACGCTCCCTCTATTCCTAGTGTGCTTAGAGTTTTATTGAGAATGGTTGTTGAATTTTGTAATTCCCTTTTCTGCATCAATTGATATAATCATATAATTTCCCCTTTATAGCCTCTTGATGTGGTTTATTACACGAACTGACTTTCAAATGTTGAACCAATCTTGCATACCTGGAATAAATATCATTTGGTTTTGGTGTGCAATTCTTTTTTAAAAAAAATCATTGTAAATCCTAAATCAGATCACAGAATTATCCTGTTTTAAATTCTGCAACAGCTTTCTAGTGCTATTACTATGTTCTGTTCCCTCTGCCCAGAATATTTTTGCATAAATGGCTCCTTCTCACCCTCAGGCCTCAGATATCTCTTCAGAGGGTGCTTCTTTAAATTCCTATCTAAAAGTGTCCCCACTTCCAGTTACTCTTTATCACATCACCATATTCTCTTGTCCTCAGAGCAATATTTAAAATTTAAAAGTTTACTTGTTTGTGTATCTTATTTGCTTTTTCATTGAGAGTGGAAAAAATGTCTCTCTCAATCATTTATATATTTCCAGTGTCCAACATATATTCTGAATCATAGGAACTAAACAATATTTGTGTTTAGAGATCCTTGGAGGTTCTCTAGTCAAACCCTCATCTGTTGTTGAAATATCTGCCACAAACATCATAGACAAAGAGTTTCTGCCTACATATCTCCAGTTATGGGGATCCTATTACTTCCTGAGGCAACCCATTTTATCTTTGGACAACTCTGAAATCTCCATTTACCCCAGGTTTTAGTCCTGACCCCAGTGCTATGAAGAACTAATCTACTCACCTGAGAGCCCTTCAAATAATTAAGGCTCTCCAAGCCTGGCTTTACTAACCAATCTCTCTAGTTTTCAGTACCTTCACCATCCTAGGTGCTTTCCTTGGAGTGCATTCACTGCATTGATTTCCACCTTCAGGTGAAAGCCAAGAAATAAACCTGGCCCCCAGGAGTGGTCAGAGAAAAGCAAAGTGGAGACCAACACCGTCCTTATTCTGGGTTAGTGAATTTCAAAGCATTGTTTCCAACAGCAGCTCCACCTCCATGGTTTATTTTTAAGTAACATCTCATGTGGCACTTTAATAAACATAAAAACTGGGCGTTCTGGCTGAAATGGAGCGGGGGCCAAGAATCTCATTTTCTTAGCCTCTCCCTCAGTCTCCACCTCTCCTAGGCAGCCCTTAGGCAAACTCCTCAGAACCCTAAAATCTATTTCTATGCATTCCAACTCAAAGACTTTTCAATTTTGGTAGCTGTGCCCAAGGTTGACTCACAGTAGGATTATGGACAGGAAAACTCTGGAACATTTTTTTTAAAGTACATGAGTAACACATGAAAACAAGCTTTTGTAATTAGTCCAATTAAAAATAAAATAGAAAGAGCAAGAAACAGGAATGCTGAGGGGGTGGAGCAAGATGGCAGAATAGAAGCCTACACCTTCATTTCCCTTGCTGGGACACCACATTTTAACAACTATATGCACACAGAAAAACACTGTCACAATAACCAAAAATCAGGTAAGCATCACAGTACATGGTTTTAACTTCATATCATTGAAAGAGGTATTGAAGAGGGTAGGAGAGATTGTCTTGAATCACTGACACCACCTCTTCACCATTCCCCAGAAGCAGCAGGACAGCACAGAGAGTCTGAGTCTGTGCACTTTGGGAAGGGAAAGTGTATTAGCCTGTCTTCACGCTGCTGATGAACACATACCTGAGACTGGGCAATTTAAAAAACAAAGAGGTTTAATTGGACTTAACAGTTCCATGTGGCTGGGGAAGCCTCACAATCATCGCGGAAGGTAAGGAAGAGCAAGTCATGTCTTACATGGATGGCAGCAGACAAAGAGAGAGCTTATGCAGGGGAATTCCTCTTTTTAAAACCATCAGAGCTCATGAGACTTATTCACTATCATGAAAACAGCACAGGAAAGACTTGACCCCATGATTAAATTACT